>NC_000007.14:154326933-154639998 GCF_000001405.40 Homo sapiens | reverse complement strand
ATTACAGGTGTGAGCCACGAGTTTTTTTACTAGCATGGGATTTCGAGTCAGCCTGACTTACGCTGAGACTCAAGCATACAGTAGCTAGGAGGTGAGGGGAAGGTGATGACCTCTTGGAGCTCTCACTTAAAATGGAAATAAGGATGCTTTTCTTGCAGGTTGTTGAACAGGGATAAAGGTATATGAAAGCTAACCAATAAACCAGGGGCATTATTCTTGCTCTGATTCCATTAAAGACACCAGAAGCAGCTCCCTCCGTGTTGGGGTCATCTATAAGGCAGATCATCACCAGGCTCCAGGTATCTAAGTGCAGAAGCCGAGCCTTCAACACAGACTATCATGGCCTGAGCTTTGCTAGCTTGTTCAGCAAACTCCTGTGCCAAGTTCCTAGAATCTGTTTCCTCCAAATGCTGACTGATGCAGTAAAATATTAACACAATACGTTAGGCATCAACTGCTTTTAGAGTTTCGAGTTTTACAAATTGATATAAGATGGAACGAAATATCTATCATCTACAACAAATTCTATTGTTCCCAGAAGGGGCAGATAAATCTCAAGGCATAATTATAGTCCTGCCTGCCATGACCTCTGAAGATATATATCTGCTTGGGAAAGAATGGGATAATTCCTCTTTACTGAAGAATATTTGGGTTTCTATTTAAAACATACTTTTAATGAAAAATTTGTATGAATACTTTATTTTTGCAACTTGGGCCATCTTTGCTTTCTTTGGGCTTCACTTTTCTAATAATCTAACAGAAACTATTGGTCACAATTTGCTGAAGATCCACATGCGTCTTCCCTTTGTCTAAAGCCCACATTAAATTAGTTTATTCGAGTTTGTTTTCCAAGGACTTGCCTGTATTCTAAGCTGAGTAGAAAACAGAGAGCAGCAGCTATAAACGCTCATGCTGTGATTAATGCTCACCTATGGAAAAATGCTTTCTAGCCACTCCTGCTGTTAAAATTTGCTTGGGAAATGAGGATGCCTCAACCTAGATATTCACAGGAGCCTACATGACACTATCTGCAGCACAATTCAGTTTCTTTATCAACCTTTCCTGAGCACCTCACCTTTGCAAAGCATGACAGTAGAAACCACAGAAGACAGGAAAGAGAAACATGAGGTGGGGAACAGGAAGGCCAGGAGAAGGGAATGAGAATAGGGGAGGGAAGGAGGAGGGAAGAGGAGACGAAGAAATAATGAAGATAAAACAACAAAAAATTCTCCTCGACAGACTTTCCTAGTTCTGCAACCATTTTTCATCTGTGTCTGACTCAACATGTGGTTTCACCAAACCCTAACCAATGTCTTTTCTGCTCTGGGTTCCAAAGGTGAAGCTGATCAGGCATCTGAGGGTCGTGTGGGGGACGCCTGCCCAGCACTGAAAACTAAACTCGCTCCTGCTCTGGACAATACATTATTGAGAGACCAGATGAGGTTAGCAGTGCAATGTGAGGTCATGAAAGAATGAAGCCGGGGGGCCCAGTCAAAAGCAGGCACTGAAACCCGGCCCTGGGAGCACAGCCAAGCTCAGAAAGGACAATAAAACAAGAACAACACGCCGCTGAAACCCCCTCGGAGTGATGGGTAGAGCAGCACTAATACCACTTGCCCAACCCATTCCCAATGCACTGCTGAATGTCTGACCAGAGTAGTTTACCGTAATCCCATAGATATGTTCCAGATTTGTCTCTGATGACATGTGGTGGGCTGAGAGAGGCTTCTATTCTGCTAGTGTGGGTATAACCAGGAACCCTCGTGGGAGGCCAAGGGCCACCTCACCTTGCCTGAGAGGAGGCTGCAGGTGATTACAAAGCAGAGGGGAATGTCCGGCTCTGAAGAACCTCCAGGGTCAACTGCAGGAACCAGCACAGGAAGAGGGCAGAGTTGCTCTAGGAAGGGGGCTTCACAAATGGGGAAGTGAGTGGACTCAAGTGACCCCCTGACATCCTTAGTGTCATTATCTAGGGAGAGTCCCAGAGGTGCCACGATACCAGCACCCTTGGCTGTGAGAACTGGAACGCCATTTCCCGCCCTAAGGGTTAAACAGCTCGTCCATGTTCTACCCTTCACTTTGCCCTGCATATTTCTAATTAAAAGAAAGAAAAGAACACTCTTACCCATGAGGAATTTTGCTCAGGACGTAATATCCAGTATACGAGTGTTGATATATCTGCAACAGACAAAAAGGAAAAAAGGTAGGCATTGAGACAAAGGCTGTTACGATGATATTTTTCAAATCACTGTGAATCCTAACAAACATCAGTGAACCAAAAGCAGCTAATCCCAACACCTGGAGACAAAGTCTTTTATTTACTTAGGAAGTCAATTTGCATATCCTGTTTATTTTATTTTCAGCATTTGCAATGGTTTATAGGGCAGCCAGAGGCTTGATGTCATCTCCATGGCTACCTGGTGTGTGATTAAATTAGGGGCACAGATTTCAGGCTTAACTAAATATAGCACAGAACTAATGAGGACACCTTGGTCATTGGAGACCATCAGGCACCGTCAGCTAGACCCAACGGGTCAGTAAGACCCATGTACGGCTAGAGTTCCCTGTGGGTTATGGGAAGGGGTCCACCAGAAATTCCACTGTGTGTCTTCAGTGAGTTGCAATATTGAAGTCAAGGCAGGCTTAATTGGGCACACTTTTGACCCCCTGTACAACGGGATATGCATCTTTTGGTTTCAAGAGAGTAGTCAACAAGAACTTACTGAAAAAAGGGCAGTTGGAAGTATCACGGCTTTAAAATGGAGGTAACAGAAAACCAGAAAAACAGTGCTTCCAAACTCCTGTAACCCTCAAATCTCGGACGCCTTTCTTAACCTCCTGAGCCAGGAAATGACTCCACAATCCATAGATAACCATAAGCAGAATTCGAGGGTTACCCAAAAGAAGGGAGAAGATGGCGGTTCAAGAAATGTTAGCATCCTTCATCGCCAGCCTCCTGGGTAGAGACCTTGTCGAACATACGGAATATGTGGGTTACTCTGTTGCGTTGAACCATATTTCATTTCCCCCAACCCTTTCCTTTACTTGTGAAACCTCTGAGAGCTGGTGCCCTATGTGGCTAAATGTTCAGTGACCAACATTTAAAACCACCTTTCTAAAGATAATAGGTGAGGGACGTGGAGGCAAAGGCAGACATATCCAAGGTAGAGTACTTTGAACAGGGAAATGCATTTGGAGGACCAATGATGGAAATGAGCTTGCAAAGAAAACAGGTAGGATTTGCTAATACCACCATTCCCTACCTAGCCTGCACCACTGAATTAACTTCTCGAAAATCACAATGGTCTTGGAGTTATTTGGAGGAACAGGACCCAGATATAAAAATAAACAACAGCACTTAAATCCCAACAATCTGGTGCTTTCAGAGATCTTGAGACTCCTGAACCAGAAATATGCGGCCCGGGGCCCCTTGCTTTGAGGGCAGCAGATGGGAAAGTGCTGCTTTAGTCATAAAGAAACAGCCACTAACAGACAGGACTGTCTAGGAGAGCTTTATGGAGCTGCTACAGCAATCTAATAAGGAACACAGGAACTTAACTCCTTTTTCTATTTCTGCCGGGATGAGTGGTGCTGCTTGCCCAGGAGAAGGAAGGAAGGGCCTGGTGCTGGCTCCTGTGTCCTGAGCAGGTCACCGCTCAGAGAGGACCCATTAAAGGACCCCATGCTGCACTGTGACTAAGCCATGCCTGTGTGAGCTGGAACGGCTTCTTCAGATGCAAGAGCAGGAAGCTAGACAGAGCTGATCTCAGGTTTCCATGGTTATGGTATATGGTATATTATATAGAGTTTCTGAACTCTCCCTCCAAAACCGCCTTTTCATATGATTGATCTCACTTTGTTTTCATAGCATCCCTAGGGGGCAGAAGTTACCTTTGGTCAGGTAAGAAACTGAGGCACAGAAAGAGAAGAAGAGGATAAAGGAAAGAGAAAGGGGGAAGAGGAGAGGAGGAGAGAGAAGAGAAGAGATGGAACCTAATTCTGTACCCTTTAGTGTTGGCTGACTTAGTGACCCTCATGAACAGAATACAGTAGCAGTGAGGGTGTTAGGCTTCTGCAGCCAGCTTATAAGAGGTATCGTGGCTTCCTTCTTGCTGTCTTTCATATCACTTGCTCTGAGGAAGCTGGCTGCCATGTTGTGAGGACACTCAAGCAGCCCCATGGAGAGTCTGAGGCTCATACCCGTTAGACTGCCTCTTGCCAGAAGCCATGTGAGTGGATGTGGAAATGGGTTCCCCATCTCCGGTCAAGCCTTCGGATGACTGCAACCCTGGCTAATGTCTTGATGCTGGCCTCATGAGGGACCCTGAGCCAGAGCCACACAGCTAAGATGTTCTCGAGTTCCTGACCCACAGTGACTGCAAGATTAAATGTTGGCTGTCTTAAGCCACTGAGTTTGGGGTAATTTCTTATACAGCAATAGGTAAGTAATATAGCTAGTTTAAATCCAGAGAAAACAGATAATTTTAAAATCAGATTTAGATACGTTTCTTCTGAACTACTGGGTTTCTTCTTTGTAAACTTCCAGCAACTTCTAAAGCAAACAGATAAATTCCTTGTTAAAATAGTATCAGGACAGAGGTGGTGAGGGGCTGGGAGAGGACCACTCACAGACTGAAGCACTCAGAGGAAGCCTTTGATATTACTTCAGCCAAGCCAAGTCCCAGAGATGGTGACAGTGGTGAGCTGAAGTGGGTGGTGGGGGTGGGTGGCATTTATGGAGCACGTACCACATATTAGGTACTCTGACAGCTCCTTACCATGCAAGAACTCATTTAGTCTTTATGAGGCAGATATTATTGTCCTATTTGTACAGGTAGGAAAATAAAATCTTAAGGAATTTAAGTTAAAGTCAAGTGGGATTTGACCTGAGTTCTGTCTCTCTCTAAACAATCCCTTGGAAATTGCCTGAACCAAGCTTGTATCTCGTAACTCTCAAGTCAGAAGTCCGTGTTCGCTGTTGTCAGCTGAAAATTTCAGTATAGCAACAAATATAATAAATATGCAAAGTAAGAATAGCTGCCATCTTTCCTGGTTGAAGGTCCATTGCTTTAATCCATCTAGAAACAGTGATTTAAATTCATTCCCTGGTTATGCCATCCCCAAAACAAACACCTAGAGTTACATCTTTACATTCATCTTTGAATATACCACTACACACCCCTGCAATTCAGCTCTGTGGATATCTTTTAAGTGGTGCTCATAAGAAACGGGGAGAGCAATTAAAATAACCCTATCAAGGCCATGGCAAGAAGAAAGAGAAGAAGGAAGAAGAAGGAGAAGAAGGAGACGAAGGAGAAGGAGAAGGGGAAGAGGAGGAAGAGGAGGAGGAGGAGGAAGAAGAGGAGGAGGAGGAGGAGAGAACTGCTTTTAATTGTTCGTCTGTACCGTTAGGCAAGAAACCCCCAAACCAAACCAAATCAAAACCAAAATGTATGCATGGGGACTAGAATAGAATATCTGGAAAATGGAATCGCCTATAAGAAAGGCTGAAACATACATGTGCATGTGTCTTTGTAGCAGCATGATTTATAATCCTTTGGGTAGGAACCAACCCAAATATCCAACAATGATAGACTGGATTAAGAAAATGTGGCACATATACACCATGGAATACTATGCAGCCATAAAAAATGATGAGTTCATGTCCTTTGTAGGGACATGGATGAAGGTGGAAACCATCATTCTCAGCAAACTAGCGCAAGGACAAAAAACCAAACACCGCATGTTCTGACTCATAGGTGGGAATTGAACAATGAGAACACATGGACTCAGGAAGGGGAAAATCACACACCAGGGACTGTTGTGGGGTGGGGGGAGGGGGGAGGGATAGCATTAGGAGATATACCTAATGTAAATGACAAGTTAATGGGTGCAGCACACCAACATGGCACATGTATACATATGATATAAACCTGCATGTTGTGCACATGTACCCTAAAACTTAAAGTATAATTAAAAAAAAAAAAGAAAAAAAAAAGAAAGGCTGAAACAAAAATGAATAAAGTCAAGAAATAGAGAAAACCTGAGAAGCTGGGTCTGCCAAGTGTGGGAATGTGAAAGTGGCATTCCAGAACACACTGTTGATACAAATAGAAGGCTTCAGCGTGGAAGTGCAAGTGTGACTCGAGCACTACTCTTAAAAAATGGGGAAGTGGGAAGAAGAGAAACAATTTTCTCCTTGCTCCAAGATGAAGCAATAAAATATCATTGTCTTCCACAAAATCTTCCTCAACATCAAGCCAAAAGAACTGCAGGCACAAAGGGAATGACTGTTTAAAGAGTGCAAATTGAAGCGTTTTCATTTGTACAATGTTTTATCTAGAAAGGCACTAAGAAAGCTGCATCTCACTGAAAGAATTTGTTCCTTAGAGAGATAAAGTCTTTTTCTTTTTCTGTGGTCAATGTTGTATTTATGTTTCTTTCTTTAAAATAATAGACTCTAGGCCAGGAGTGGTGGCTCACGCCTGTAATCCCAGCACTTTGGGAGGCTGAGGCGGGTGGATCACCTGAGGTCAGGAGTTCAAGACCAGCCTAGTCAACATGGTGAAACTCCATCTCTACAAAAATACAAAAATTAGCCAGGCAGGATGGCGGGTGCCTGTAATCGCAGCTACTCCGGAGGCTGAGGTGGAAGAATCACTTGAACCCAGGAGGCGGAGGTTGCAGTGAACTGAGGTCATGCCCTTGCACTTCAGCCTGGGCCACAGAGCGAGACTTCATCTCAAAAACTAAATGAATAAATAAATAAAAATAAAAATAAAAAATAAAATAGACTAAATATTTCTGATCATAAAAAATACAAAGATTGGAAATTAGTAAGGCTGCTTTCAGTTATTTTTCTAAGAGTGCCATTTTTTAGAAGTTCATGAATATGAGTTATTTTAGTCTCATCCTATAGCATTACATTAATATCTCTCCTGGAAAATGAATAAAGGAGAACTTATTTCCCAAAACACTATCCACAAGATGGAAAAACAGTTTCAGCAAATTATTTTTTTAATATATTACACACAAAATAGTTGACATTGGCATTCAATAATTTTTTAGAAAGCAGTTGAGGATTTGTCACAGGGTGAGTTCATATTTGGTCTGCTTCTTATCTCTCTAAAATTTCCCTCTAGTCAGGAAATTTCTACCCTCTCCCCTCCTTCTCTCCGATGGACCCATACTTTAGATTTCTAAGGTCTTTTCTTTCTCTGTACCATCGTGGACACTGAGTTTTTTCTTTGGCCACTCATCTACTCCCTTTACATCCTCCTCCCCTATGAAATCTTCCATTCTTGAGATTTTAAACCGTAACCTAAATTACCTAAATATCAGTAACTCCCACAGGTCCAGCTACAGACCAATATATCAGATGACTGCATCCTATGTCTCACAGGCACCAAAAACTCAATTTGCTCCAGAATAAACTCTTCAGCAGCCCCCAAACCTTGCTCCCTTTTGATAATCCCTATCTCAGTTGGTAGCTCCATCATGCACTCAGTAAGCTGAGTTGAAAATGTAGTTTTCCTTCCCTCCATTCTTTGACCCCTTGCTTCCCCTACTCCAATTCAATCAAATAGCGCCCAATTTCTAATCAGTAACTTTCTAAGTCTTTCTCAAATCCATCTTCTACTCTTCCTTCCTAGGTCAAGTGCCCTAAGTCAGGCCTCTCCTCCATCCTTCCTCTCCTACAAAGAAGCTACCGTTAAGTCACGTTTAGCCTAAAGCTGCCTCCTTACATGTTTTAAGTTCAGCCTAAAGGTTTCTCTGCACATTGTGAATTATAACCAGTGGAGGTGTAAACAGACCATAACCTACTCTTGCGCCAATCACCAAGTTTTGGCTAATCAAACGTAGCCAATTGTTTGAAGCATGTTCAAATAAGGTGAATGCTGAGCTGTAACGAATCCAGCTGTTTCTGTCCCTCACTTCTGTTTTCTGTACATCACTTTCCTTTTTCTGTCCATAAATCTTCTACCACCATGGGGCTGCACTGGAGTCTCAGAGCCTATTGTGGCTCAGGAGGCTGCCCAATTTGCAAATTGTTCACTGCTTAATTAAGCTTTAAATTGAATCCGGCTGACGTTTTGAAACTGCCATCTTCCTTTGCAAGACTAAGCTCATACCCTCCTGCTTCTTGTTGAACTTTAACAACTTCTCCACTGTGCCTTACATTTCTAACCACTCATTCTCCCCTATTACTTCTTCTAATTCTGTAGAATATAACTCAAATCTCCCTCATTGAAAACAAACAAACAAACAAAACAAACAAAAAACCTCTGGCCATATTCCCTTGGAACTGCTCCTTCCTTTTTTTTTTTTTCTTGAGACAGAGTCTCGTTCTGTTGCCCAGGCTGGAGTGCAGTGGTGCAATCTTGGCTCACCGCAACCACTGCCTCCCATGCTCAAGTGATTCTCCTGCCTCGGCCTCCCAAATGCTTGGATTACAGGCATGAGACACTGCACCCAGCCTCCTTCTTGTAACTATCATGGCCCTTCACAAGCAAAGTCTACACTGCTTCACTGGCTCACTTTCTATTCACTTTTAACCCACTGCAATATACTCCTAGCATTCTCAAAATGAGTTCTCCCAGCTAACCCTTATCTACCAAACACGTGGCATCTTTCTGATTTCCAGCCTGCAGCACGTGATGAAGGCAACAGGAGCTGTTCCCCTTTCCTGATTCCAGGACCTGCTCTCCTTCGCCTCCTGCCCCTCCATCCAGGCTCTTCACCTTTCTCTCCTGCTGCTGCAGACCCGAATGGAAGGCAGGCACCAACCTGCCATCCCAGGGGCTCCTTCCTCACTGGTCTAAGCCTTGGTCTGGCAGGTCCCCATCATTTCTGCTTTCTGACACAGCTTCCTACTGAATTTACGTCTTTATGCTTCATGTATCTTCTGAGTTCTAAACTTATATTTTTAGCTTGGGCTGGACCTTTCCACATGGATGTTTTTATGCCAAACTTTAACCCCAAATTCAATATTTTGAAAATGAAATACATTCTTTTTTTTAGGTGAAATTTTTTATTATTTTATTTTTAAATTTTACTTTAAGTTCTGGGACATGTACAGAATGTGCAGGTTTGTTACATAGGTATACATGTGCCATGCTGGTTTGCTGTACCCATCAATCTGTCATCTAGGTTTTAAGCCCTGCATGCATTAGGGATTTGTCCTAATGCTCTCCCTCCCCTTGCCTCCCATCCCCCGACAGGCCCCAGTGTGTGATGTTCCCCTCCCGGTGTCCATGTGTTCTTATTGTTCAACTCCCACTTATGAATGAGAACATGTGGTGTTTGGTTTTCTGTTCTTGTGTTAGTTTGCTGAGAATGATGGCTTCCAGCTTCATCCATGTCCCTGCAAAGGACATGAACTCATTTGTTTTATGGCTGCATAGACATTTATGCAGCCAACAAACATGAAAAAAAGCTCATCATCACTGGGCATTAGAGAGATACATTCTTTTTCTGCTAAAGAATTCTCTGTTTCCTTCCATGTACCTGGTCTTTCCACAGAAAAATATTGGAATTCGCATCAGCCATTCCCCTTGCTTATTTTCCTTACTGTCCATGTAAACATGATTACCAAGTTTCACTTGACTTTGTAACTTGAGAATGCCCCTTAAATTTACACCACGTTTTCTACCCTCTAGCACGGCCCTAGTTTGGGATGCTGGAGTAGCCAAAGTTGCCCCTGTCTGGCCTGCCTGTGCTCCCCTCCCTCCTCCACATCACCTCAGATATTCCCTTCCTAACAATGCACCAGGCTGAGGCCAGCAGAAGAGGGTGGCTAGGTGTAGCTCTGGAGTAGGACACAGCTACTACTATTAGGCAGTTTTAGAGTAAGGCGCAGAGGTCATCTGAGCCTGTTATTCACTTGCTGGGTGAACTTGCACAAGTTGCTTATCTGAGCCTCAGTTTCCTTTTGTGTAATACAGGGCTAAGGGTTGTGAGGAAATTCAAATCACAAGAAAGGAATAAAAAACACTCTTTTCTAAATTCTGAGAATTGCATGATCTAGTTACCAGCATTGTGTAGAGTCCACGAAACTCTTACTTTTCTACTCTCTGGGGCTCTTGGCAAACCGGAATCCCATTAAGAATGGCAGAGTTGCAGCTGCCTTCAATGACTGAGATTGTTACCCAGGATTTTGGACTGGGTGTCTGGTCAGCATTAGTGCAGTCCACTTAGAGCATGTATGAGGATGGATGGTCTCCCTGAGGTGGTGAGCTCCCCAGCATGGATAGCATATGAGCAGGGGCTCGAAGCACCACTGGAGTCCTCTGGAATGGGTGCATGCATTGCAGGAAAATTGCTTCAGGGGACCTCCACAGTCCTTTCCTTATTTAATCCTACAATTCCATTCAAAGAGGAAGTGAAAAATAACAGGAGGTGTAGATGAGCCCAGAGTCAGATTTTCTTAAGCTAGAATCAAGAACCCCATGGCTGGCATACACAGTTAAAGAAACACAATATAGTAACATAATGAGAAGCAAGGCTGAAAATACTGGAAAAGTTAACACAGAGAAAAGGCAGATGAGACAGAGAAAAGAAAGTGAGATTTAGAGACTGGGTGGTAAAAAAGAGAAAAAAAAGGAAAGTTATCTGCATGAGATGTCAGGGGTGAGAAGGGAAAAAAAGTAAAACCTGAAGGAAAAAAATAAAAGCACCAAAAAGAAGCTGGAAAATATTCTATTTCTTGGCTCTAAAACTGAGGAAAATGAGAAAATGAAGTGTTTACTCAAAGGGTTTATTTTCTTGCAATTTTGAAGTGTTCCATCATTAACAGATAAAAAAGAAGTTCCGTTAGGTGCTAGATGGCACAGTCATATCCATATCTGGAAATTAACACAATAGACAGTCCCCTAGGAGACAGAAAACAATCTGCTTTCACAATCCAAGCCGAGGTTTTGTGGACTGTGACAGACACTTCATGAAAGCAATGTCCTGTACATATTCCTTTTTTTACTCTGATAACCTTGAGGAGTCCGAGAAGATCAATCAAACAGTTAAGTCTGAATTACAGCCCCCATTCCCCGCCACACCTTTCACCTGACATGAGGAGAGGTGAGACCAGGAAACAGATGCCTCATTTTTCAGAAATACTTCGCGAATTGCCACATTTACATGGTATCTTCCTTAATCTTGGTCTTGGCTGGTTTTAGTAATTAATTCCATCCACTGTCATGGTCCTGCACGATGTAGCAGCTGCTGTGCTTCCAGGAAGCCCCTGGGGACTCGCTTTGTGGAAGGGCTAATTATCAGGTGGGCATTCAGGGCAGGGGAGGCAGAAGCAGACTTTCCCCATTTTCCACCCAGATCCTTCTTTGGATAGTTAAAATAAACGAGCTCATCTCTAATAATGTGGGCGGAGACAAGAGCTACCCAGCTCATAAGGTCTTTCTGGGAAGACATGTTGTCCTATCTTGTCTAAAACCTTCTCCCTTAACATTTGAAGTAACAGGTCCAGTTGAGGGTGTCACTTTTTTCTAGTGGTGAGACCAATAAGCCAAAATACTCCAGAGAAGATGACCAGGTTGGCTGAGTCTGGAAACAAAGCTACCTGAGAGATGCTTGGAGCAAGTGGAAGTATTCTGCACAGACAAGAGACGACCCGGGGGAGAGGGATAGATGTCTTTAAGGTTTTAGAGAACTTCATGAGTACATGCATGTCAGTAGGCCTGGTCTCTTTTGCTTCCATGGGAAGAATAAGGCTGACAAGTACACATTAGAAGGAAATAGATTTCAGAACCATGAAACTGTCTTTTGGTAGTCTGAAATACTTCAACACTGAAAAGGCTCAACAGCCCCTGTTAATAGAAGGATGGAAGCCATTTGTTGGTGCATTCAGAATGCAGGAATGCAGGAATTGGTGAGATGGAACCAGCAACCACTAACATTCCTTCCCGCTCAGAAACCCTGCAGCTCCCAGGCAAGCAGGTGCTGACCTCTGCCTCCCCGCTATCTGCTCTCAGTGGGTACATAACTTTAACTGCTTCTTGTTGTTGGCTACAGCTGCCTGAACCATGAATAAATGCATTCAGGCCTTAGCATGTCACATTTGGCTGTGATAAAAGTTATTTAAGTCCCTCCCACATGCAAAACCCACACTGCCCCCTTCCCAAGATTCTGCAGAAGTCACATCCCTCCATGGCGTCAGACTCCTGTTGCATTTGTACCTCTCACTGGGCACTCACCCAAAGACCCGGCATCTTGCCAAAACTTCTGACTTCTTGTCTGGTGTCTGGGCCCACTCCTGTGGCTGATGGTCCAGTGAACTGTAAGTCCTGATGCGGAAGTTGAAGGATGATGGAAAACTTCCTGAATGAATCAGTCCTCCCTAGAGAAGTCTTCCCTTCTCTTCTCTCAAGCAGGTCGTAGTCACCCCCATATTAATGACCATATTTGGCAAACATTTCTGCACTCCTTGCCAATATATTTTATACCATTTGCATGAAGTTAAACGTCTTGTTATAATGACTTAAAAGGAAAAAAGGCCGGGCGTGGTGGCTCACGTCTGTAATCCCAGCACTTTGGGAGGCCGAGGCAGGTGGATCACGAGGTCAAGAGATCGAGACCAGCCTGGCCAACATGGTGAAACCCCGTCTCTACTAAAAATACAAAAAAAAATTAGCTGGACATGGTGGCAGGGGCCTGTAGTCCCAGCTACTTGGGAGGCTAAGGCAGGATAATGGCGAAAACCCGGGAGGCAGAGCTTGCAGTAAGCCGAGATCGCGCCACTGCACTCCAGCTTGGGCGACAGAGCGAGCGAGACTCCATCTCAAAAAAAAAAAAAAAAAAAAGGAAAAAAAATTAGCCAGGCGTGGTGGTGGGTGCCTGTAGTTCCAGCTATTTGGGAGGCTGAGGCAGGAAAATAGCTTGAACCTGGGAGGCGGAGCTTGCAGTGAGCCAAGATTGAGCCACTGAACTCCAGCCTGGTGACAGAGTGAGACTCTGTCTCAAAAAAAAAAAAAAAAAAAAAAAAAAAAAAAGAAAAAATTTCTAATGGACCCCAGATAAAATTTGAAATATTTAGTAAAAGGTAAAGATGTTTAGCTCATATGACATAAAACAAATATTAGGAAATAGCTCCATGTAAACCGAAGGTTCTTGATCTTTCCCTTGGCTGCACATCTTTCCTTCACTGCTCTAGGCAATTTACTGCAACCATTTATACAAGGGTTAAAATATAGAAGACATACAGTTGTCAGATTCCAAACACAAAAATAATGGACAAATCCTTAGGATTCAGTATTTATATCTCAGCTCTTTCTCTCCTCCTGGAATAAACTAACTTATAGTAGTCACTGGTCTTTCACAAAACTTACATTTAAGAGAGTAGAAATGGTGAGTTCTTCTTGAACCTGTAGCTTCTTCAAATATGTATCTCAAACGACTTCTACTTCCATACCACACCCAACGCTATTATACCTTAGTTCCTTCTTTTCTGATCAATCCCTAGTTGTTCAGGTCATTGATAGAGAATGTTTCTCGCATTCTCTGTACCCTTCACATAGAATGCCTTCTTTTTGCAATGAGTCGTTAAGAGGAGAACATCTAAGTATAACAAGATGATTAAAACCGAGGATGCCTCTAAATAAAATAAAAAGCTTACATTTAGGAGATGAACAATAAAAATTTCACTTGTGATTTCAACTGTGTTTCCAAATATGCGTTTCAAAAACATCTGTGACATCCAGAAATAGCTGAGTAATTACAAAATATATATTTCCTTCAGTCTCCACTTGGACATTTCAATTCCAATAGCTGCTCCTATGTGTCTTCAGCTCATCTTCTGGGAAACAAATGAAATCAGCCATAGCATTGCTAGGAGGAAATTCAAAGGAAGAAACCCATGAGAATTTCCTCCTAACTAATTTTCCAGGATGCACACCAGCATGCCTGCTTTCTTCCCAAGCTTGTCATATCCCTGTCTTCTACTGGCGGCCACTGAGAAACAGGTATCCGAGCTTCACACCAGCCTGGCAGCCAACCTCCTACTTTACTGCCTTTGTATTTTGTTTTGTCAGACCTTGCTGCTGACTCATTCGTAATTCTGCTCCAGAATACAACATTTTCCTTTTTCTTGCTCGATTTACTGTCTTCTTTTTCTCTCCTGCATATACTGGCTCCAAATCCAAAACAGGTGCTGGGAGATGGGATGAATTGTGGGAAGGACTGAGGGCAGCTGAAAGAGGCAACAGAGGGGGAAAGGCACAGGGGGCTTGCCCCACAAACACAGGGTGGGTCTGTCTGTACCGTGCGCCTTGCACACACCCTGCCCGCAGCAGCTTGGGGCTTCTTTGCAGCCTTCCCTGCTGTATTTCACCTGTCAGCCCCCTGGTCCCTCATAGCACTGAGGGTCAAGTGCATTGGGCTCACTTCCAAAAACAGACAAAGAGATGGTGCTGCACAGCTGGTTCTCTTCCTAGGTCACTAAGGGAATGGAGGACATCATTTGGCGCTTAATTACAACCATACAAAGACAAACATCTACCTGTGCTTCCTTTATAAGAAGGCACACTAGAAATATCTCTATGCTTGCATGTAGGCAGCCTGTGTCTAAACTTATCCTTCACCAAAGGTTAGCAGTGAAGAGTCCAGTCAAGTCAGCATCTTTCTTTCCACTTCTTCCCTCTCCTGCTGTTTCTCCTTCTATCTTAAAAAAAAAAAAGTGTCTGTGTGTGTATCTGCATGATGCCACATAGCTGCTTAGTTTATTCTTGGCAAGTCAGCTTCACTTTGCTGACTTTCAAGCCTAAAGTTTCCATCCTTAACTTTTCATCAGCTGCTTACCATGCCCACTTGGATGTCAACATTCTGCCCCACGTGCACATGTGGAAGACTGAGGAGTCTGTCAGATTATTCACGGATGCTCTGATGATTACCTGCTCAGTTTCTGACTCATTGTTTTCTCCTAATCTTTAAGCTGTTGACCTGCCCCTTGGTATTGCTGTATATTTATCCACTGGCCATTAATCCACACAACATAAATCCCACTGGTGTCCGGGTGATGGTGATGTCACAGTTTATGGTGGTGTCCACATTGTTGTGTGTGTTAAGGTGGGAGCCAACTCTGAAATGTAAAATGTTGGTCATATGCTCAGCCCTGAAGCATGCTCACAGATGGGAGGAAGACGGGGCCGCTGTGTGCCTGCTTCTGTTAGCATAGCCAGTGTTTCTCACCCATCACTACTGGTAAGAATCCTGGGGTGGGGTCCCTGACATGGTGCAGATTAACAGGTTTCTTCCTGGGAGACACTGTTTCCTAGGCTCCAGGCTTGGAGCTTAGAAATATGTGTTTCTAACAAGGGCTCCATTGCTTTCTATTGTTTGTGTGCAGAGCAGCAAGGTACCTGACCACCACGGGGTCATCCTCTTAGTGCCCACATGCCCTGAACAAATGCCTGGTGACAACTTCGGAAGCAGATGCTGAGCCCTGACATCTCACCCTCCCACTGTGCTCCTAAGTACTCTCTTCTCTGCATATATTTTTTGTTTGTTTGTTTGTTTGTTGAGACAGAGTTTCACTCTTGTTGCCCAGGTTGGAAGGCAGCGGCGCAATCTCTGTCTCCTGGGTACAAGTGATTTTCCTGCCTCAGCCTTCTGAGTAGCTGGGATTATAGGCACCTACCACCACACCAAGCTGATTTTTTTTTTTTTTTTAAGATGGAGTCTCACTCTGTCGCCCTGGCTGGAGTGCAGTGACGTGATCTTGGCTCACTGCAACCTCTGCCTCCCGGGTTCAAGCAATTCTCTGCCTCAGCCTCCCAAGTAGCTGGATTTATAGGCACCCGCCACCACGTCTGGCTGATTTTTGTATTTTTAGTAGAGACAGGGTTTCACCATTTTGGCCAGGCTGGTCTTGAACTCCTGATCTCATGATCCACCCGCCTTGGCCTCTCCAAATGCTGGGATTACTGGCGTGAGCCACTACACCCGGCCTAATTTTTGTATTTTTAGTAGAGATGGGGTTTCACCATGTCGGCCAGGCTGGTCTCGAATTCCTCACCTCAAGTGATCCACCTGCCTTGGCCTCCGAAAGTGCTGGGATTATACCATGCCCAGCCCTCTATATAGTTTTGAAATAAACCTTTTTCTCCCAGATTATTTGTAAATAAATTTTTAAAGCATAAATACTTTGGGGTAAGTTTATGCTGTGTGTATTTATATCAATTAAATGCTATACATAGTTATAACTTGATAAATGGTAATATTGGTAGATAAAATCCCAATTTATATTTTCAGAGCACCAAAAATGTGCTAAATTGTTTTCTGTTGTTGTTTTTCCTGAATGACTCTGTGTGTGCATGTGCGTGTGTGTGTGCGTGTGTGTGCGCGTGTGTGCGCGTGTGTGCACGCATGTGTGCGCGTGTACGTGCGTGTGTGTCAGCGTGTGTGTGCGCGTGTGCGTGCGTGTGTGTGTGCGTGTTGCGTGTGTGCGTGTGTGTGTGTTTGTAAAATCCTCTCCCCTTTTCTGGGCAGATCCAAGGTGACACATACATTTTTATTATTTGAAGTATCATATTCAAGGTCTTTCAGCTCACCCTGGTGGGATCAAGAGGTTCCCGACGCAGCAAAAGGCACCGCCCCTCCCACTGCCACCACACAGGCCAGAATTAAAAGCGCACCACTGACTGCCCAGGGAATAGTTTGTTTCCAGCACAGCGATGGACAAAGTTCCACAGATATAAAGAGAAATATTCCCTGGGCATATTTTCAGTAGCAGGCATTTAGTGCAACGCACCGGCAACAGCATACACCCTCAGGATGTATCAGTAGACTTGCACCCAACACATAAGCAAAGGCTGGAGACTTTTCTGCAAACTGTTACAAGGCTGCTGAACATGAAGGGTTTATCTCACCAAGTAAAGGCCAGGAAATAACAGAGTGGACCCCACTGATGAGGCTCAGTGCCACCTGGATACAAGACTAGGAGACAATCCAGACGGGTCCACAAAGTGCATTCTCTCCATCACCCCCAACAGAGTTTTCTGCAGCAACTGAAATTGATTATCTGTATCAGAAACCTGGCATTCTGCATTTAAGATTGCTTTAGCTTAATCCACCAAGTCCCTTGTAACAAATCCCTTCTTGGGTAAGACAGACAATTAGATTGGATGAAAGTGACCAGAGAAGGTTCTGGAATCTAACAGGCAAAAATCTGCTGAGAGAGATTCCCACAGCAGGCTGCCCTGGCTGGGACCGTGGTCCATGTGTGCTGTACTTTAAACCATAAGACCTCATAATCCCTGCAGTACTGCTTCCCCATAAACGAATGACCATTCATTTAATGGTCATTCGATGGTGTTGGTCTCATTCATGCTGCTATGGTATCCACGTGTATCTACAGTTAGAGTAGGAAGAGACGGGGATGTTTGGTAGACATAGTCTTTCTTGCTCTGATTCCAGCTTGTTTTCTGTCTCCTTGGCTACCTCTTTCTGGAAGAATCAAGTCTTCTGATCAGCAAGCCAGGACTTCCGGAGTAATTCTAAAAAGCCAGTGGGTCTTGTCCAACCAGACCCTGTACAGACTAGGAGGTCTGGGATATTCTGTGACAATTCCAGGCTGAAGCAGAAAAGCAGAGGCTACAGGTAAACAGGAGCAAGCAGGGTCAATTGGGCCTCCACCTATTTCCAGCATAATTCCCATCTATTTCCACATATGCCACATATCTGGCATATGTGATTCCGTCAAAACCAGCCTCTGTAACATCTTCTTGAGCTGCCAGTAGCAAATGTAGTGCCATTGTCGCTATATCATTTGCCATCCAAAGTGGCAAAGTGAAAGTGGTGCTATTAATAACTATGTTGGGAAAACAGGCATCACCAGACCAACTGGGCTATGTGGTCTCCCTCATTACCGTCTCTTGGTGAGTGATCCTACTGCCTGGCAGAGTAATAAGTTACTTTTCCAGTTTAACTAGGAAAAGAAGAAATTCAATAAGGACCTGATAAAGGAGGGTAAAACCAGAGAAAATAAGCAATCATTGGGGGAAATATATTAAGCACATCATTAAGAAGGAATCACAAAGCTCCTAAAATTGTTGAGTGCCGCACGTTTGCACAGTTAGTACTTTACATCACATGGTACGACAAGCCTCTTTTCCCAGACATTCTATGGACTCATGTGCCAGTGTTGGGTGGCACTGTTTGCCAGCAGGTTGAAGTGCCACCTGACTTGAGGTGGGCAGGGAGGTCATGGAAACAGATAAACGGTAGGCATGAGGAGGGAAGAGAAACCAAGAGAAGGGCATGGGAAGACCCTTTTTATCATGTTGGAAGAGAAAAAATTACGGCCTAGAATTAAAACCTTAAAAATTAGAGGCCTGGTGCGGTAGCTCATGCCTCTAATCTTAGCACTTTGGGAGGCCAAGGTGGGCGGATCACCTGAGGTCAGGGGTTCAAGACCAGCCTGGCCAACATGGCGAAACCGTCTCTACTAAAAATACAAAAATTAGCTGGGTGTGGTGGCATGAGCCTGTAATCCCAGCTACTTGGGAGGCTGAGGCAGGAGAATCGCTTGAACCCAGGAGGCGGAGGTTGCAGTGAGCTGAGATTGCACCACTGCCCTCTAGCCTGGGCGACAGAGTGAGATTCTGTCTCAAAAATAAATAAGTAAATAAACAAATAAATTAGAAATCATATATCAAAATCAATGTTGAAAAGGACTCTCGGTCAACTAATTACACATAGGGTTATATTAAGTTATAAGACCGTGGAGATTTTTAATACATGACATAAACATATTATAGACTCATTCTTAGCAGGCTTCCAAATCATGTCGTAGTTGCCAGTAGAAGCTAAAACCATCAAATAAATGACTTCTCAGATAGGGAGGAAACAGAGAGGAAATAATTTTTAAAATTCAGGTTCAGAGTTGACTAGCATTGGGAAACAGGAACTCTTGAAAACATAGGGGTAGTATTGAGGTAGGGTTTCAGCTCTGAGTTCTAAAAATAGGTTTTCTTTTCAGCTATAAATGTCCATACAGTTCTTGTAGTCTTAGAAGATTTCAAGTGTATGGCATTCTAAAGAAAAGCATCAGTGATCCTAAAATGGCATTAATTTGAAGTTTGAAGCTATTTTGATAGGCCTCTGATTGTATGTGGTGAAAGCTTCATATTTAATGTGAGTTGTCTGCCGCTGTGGATGGGGAGGAGTCCACCAAAACAATTTGGAAAAGTACTATCTGGTATTTGTTTCAATCCTGTATGTAAAAACAAAACTGCAAACGAAGGTATGGAAGTATAACTAATGGAAAAGCATGTGCTACTTGCTGACGGGGACGTCGTTACAGCTCGTAACATCACCTCTGCTATAGAGAGGACTCCACAGGCAGTGCCAAATGGAGGAAAAAAAACTCATTCAGAGTGAAAACACCCTTGAAATTATTCATGTAATGCAGAAGGAAAAAAACACTGCACACTTGTGTCATTAAGATCATTTCTGAGCCTCCCATCCTAATTGGCAATTCTGCGTGTAGTGAAATTTTGTGTTCTACATTAAAGGCCTCTAAATATATCCTCTGGTTTTGACAGTTCCAAAAACATTTGAGAAATCACAGTATGTTTTGCCTTTGAGATGAATTTTAATCCTGGGTTGGGAAGAAAAGGACCTAACATTTTAATGTGTGGCATTCGGAAGCCGTATGATTACGATGAAACTGACATTAAAAAGTGATCAGTCGCTACTGACTATATAGTCACCATATGCTCAGGGTCCTCTACTGAACATTTAAGAAAGAATCTTTCCATATTTACACTGGGTGCTAAATTCTTTTTACATTTTCCCAGAGTTAAAAATACTGATGTAATTAGCTAATGTGGGTCTTCAGTCCTCACCAGATGGCAATGCAAGTCCTCTAGAGGAGCTGGGGTCTGTGCAGAGCTTTCAAGGCGTGGTCCTCAGACCCTTCACTTGCATCAGAATCATTCAACGTGCTTGTGAAATGTGCGGATTCCTGGGCCACCCCAGATTACCTGCATCAGAATCTTTGAGGCTTTGAATCTGCATTTTGACAAAGCTGTGCAGATACTTCAAGTGCTTCTCTGTGAGCACACCAAGAGTTGAAAACCTCTATCCTAGGTACCTGGTTTGCAAACCTGGCTCCACTTAGACATCACCTGGGACTTTTTAAAAAAGTACTGATGTTGAGGCCCCACCATCAGAGAATCTGATTTGCTGGATTCTGTATAGTGATTCTAATGTGCAGTGGCGTATGCAACCCGCACTTCTAAGTATAACGTATAATGTGGTTGTATATCTACACATATACACATCTATGTTTCTGCACATAAATACACACAAAACAAAGTACTTAACCTTGGTGCTGTGGGCTTTCTGCTGTCAATTCCATCCCTGAAGGTGACCAGGGCTCTTTCACAAATTTTTACCTGTATTGTTATGCTATAAGCTTATTGATCCCTCATCAGCCACAAATACACTAGCCTCCCTGGCTGTGTAATATAGGTGAGAGTTTCATAAGTGTGTTCACATATCACTGGTGGCAGGTGAAGCCATCTTCAGTGGTTTGTGAGCAAACATTCTTTTCATTATCACAATTTTCCATTGTTTTTCCTGTATAATTGAAAAGATATAAGTAGCTCATCCAACCTAGATACCATTAACATGATTGCTTAGGACAAGGCAGCAATAGGTAACGCTACGAGGCTTACGTTGATTTGAAGATACTAGTAGGCAGTTAACAGGTGGTAGATGGTACCCTTTGGAGTCATGAACATGGAGTGCCTATGCTGTGCCAATCGATGGTATGTGCGTATTAGTCTGTTCTCACCCTGCTAATAAAGATATACCTGAGACCGGGTAATTTACAAGGAAAGGAGGTTTAATGGAGTCACAGTTCCACATGGCTGGGGAGGCCTCATCATCATGGCTGAAGGCAAATGAGGAGCAAAGTCACATCTTACATGGCAGCAGGCAGGAGAATGTGTGGAGGGGAACTGCCCTTTATAAAACCATCAGATCTTGTAAGACTCATTTACTCTCACGAGAACAGCATGGGAAAAACCTGCCCCCATGATTCAGTTACCTCCTACCAGGTCCCTCCTACAACATGTAGGGATAATGGGAGCTACAATTCAAGATGAGATTTGGGTGGGGACACAGCTAAACCATATCAGTGTGTAACTCTGGGCAAGTCACAAACATACTCTGCATCTCAGCTCCCTCCTCTGTGACATGCAGATGATAATAGTGCTGAGATTACATGAGTAAGTGAAGTTAAAATGAGATAAAGCCTACAGAGCATTTAGTAGGCATGTGCTGAGTTTTCAGTACATGTAAGAGCAGCACATGGATATGGTCCCCATCAGGAGGGTGGAAGCTGGGCTGTGGCCCCGGCTTCTAGCGATCCTGTGCGTGGCTCTGAGCACATCATAAACTCTGTGGGTTTCTGCTTTCATATGAGGAAAATGCAGGGCTATATTAAAAATATGATGAGAGTCAAACTAGAAATTGTCTAAGGCTCCTACCTGCACCCTGATTTTGATCTTCTAAAGGAAATCAATGGTCTAACAAGACAAAGGGGAAGCATGTCTGGGCAAGCAACAGTGTGTGTGCACAGGAAGGGTCTGAAATCCAGCTCGCTGCAGTTAGAGGGCTGGTCTCCCTGAGACCTCAGTTCAAACAGCTCCGTTCACCCGCTCAGTGAGCCTAATCTCATCCTGAAGCATCTCTGCTGAGCTTCCTCAGGGGTTGGGAAAGGACACGACCCTGGAAACCCATTAGGGGCAAAATAACTCAGGGCTGGACCTCTTTACTCTGTGAGAAAAGCAGCTATGCTTTTTCACAGGGTACAATTCCGGGATCATACAGCTCTGGAACCTTCCAGCAGCAACTTTAATAGCCTTATGGGGGAAAGAGCGAGAATGCAACCAGCAACAGTGCAAAGGGGGAAAGCCTGTGTGAGCAGACAGCATTGTGGGAGAGACCAAGAGAGAAACTGAGGCCTTTGCACATCGTTTGAGTCCCGGGTCTGCAGCCCCTATGGCCTAGCTCTCGACTGGTCACTTATGAAGTCCCTCTCCCTTCTTTAATGAAGCCACTCTGGGTCAAGTTTTCTTTCCCATGAAAAAAAGCACGACGCCTCCCGATGACCTGGAGAATCTTTGTCCTCCTGGGTTTTCCAGTGCTACTAAACCTTCTGTCTTTAACTTGTTTTCCATTGGCCTGGACTCTAGCATTTCTCTTTAGTCTTCCAACTGAGAATGATTTGCTATTTTCTTGGGGGAAGGGTATGGAGCAGGTCTTTGCTTATTTCTCTAGTAATACATACTCCAGTAACCAATACTCTTACATATTTATTAATTTATTTGTTCACACATACATTTGTCCATCCATCAACCAAATGTTCACGAGCAGTCACCAACGGGCAGGGATGGTGGTGGGAGGTGAAGTTCTTTGCTCCATATCACAATTGTCAGAGAGAAAATAGAGTCTGGTGGCTGATTTCAGTTGTGGTCAGTGAGTCTCATTAGATGACCCTTGATTCCTGGCCATCTGATATGACCTATTCGCACAATCGGATTGCTTACCTCAAATTGCCATTTGCAATTGCATTTCTATTCCTAAGATGGATATGGCAGTAGAGTTAGAACATTAGATGCTGTAATTCCAGGATCCTTAACTGCACACAAAAACAATTGCCAACAATACATTTTATATCCCCAAAGAAACTTCTTCTGCTTCCAGAGTGGACCATGGGGTGGAGTGAGAGACTCACAGCATAAAGAGCCTGCTTCCCTGCCCTTCTGTCCTCAAAGCTGGGTTTGTATTTTTGGTCTCTGTACCAAACACAAAGTGCAGGGCCCTCTGTAGGAATTCCAAGGCTTGGTAAGTATATGCTTTAGGTCATGGGCTAAGTCAGTGAGCCTTCTTAAAAGCCAAACCAAACACATTCTATCCAAGATGCATTCATATGGAGCAGAAACTGAACAAATACTTGGCGTTGGGGTGATGAAGGCTGACTGCTGATGGCATCTGACATCAGCTACACGTGGAGATTCTTTGGAAAGACAGTTCATGATCTCCAACTTGCAGCTGTTGTTTTTTCTTTGCTAGAGGTTATAGATTTTTATCTGGATAAAATAATATTTTTAAGAAGACAAAATTTGAAGATGTAGGCATCTGCTTCCTACAAATGAGATGGAACGTTTAACATTCCAGCATGTTTCCCGTCACTGTGGTTCCCTGGAGGCGAATGCTCACGGCTCCTCCTTAGGTATGTAAAGACCTAGTTTCACTGTTTGTGCTGCTTTTCTTCTCTTATTTGTATTTGCTCTATTTACTTAATTGAACCTAGGTCCAGATGAAAGAACCATCTCATGTTGTATTCCCAAAGAGGAAATGATTCTCTGGTGACCCCCTTGGGGATTCGCTCGCGCCCGAGAGTCACAGAGAAGGAATGTTTTCTCTATGCCTATGGTCTCCCATAGCCTCCCAGCCCTCCTAAACCAGCAACTCTCTGTGTTTGCATTTTTAGACCCCTCTCAGTATTGTTTTTGATTCTACCCTCTTTCAACTCAAAAATAAAGGAGGGGAGGGGGGCGTTAGAACTTCCTTAAGCTCAAAATTTCATGGACAATTGTGAGCTGTTTGCAGAAGACAGTGTTCACTGTTGAAAAGGCACTGGGATCAATGGAATCTGTCTTTAGAATGCAGATCCCTAAATCTTACCCAAGACCTGTTGAATTACAGTTTCTAGGGGATGGAGCTGTGAATCAGCTCCAGACAGAACCACTCCTGGGCATGGGGACAGCTGACCATCCTGTAAATGTAGGGCTTCCCAAGCTCATGGGTAGGCGGGCTTTTCAGTGGGGTGACTGACTCTGATAACGCCAAATTAGAGACATCTGGGTGGGGCTGTACCCAAATCATCCCAGGAAGCTGAGCTGGCCGCCTCCTGTTCTTATCAAAAATCTCCTTGGGAAGAAGCTTCTCCTAAAACTGGAGGGGGAGTAATTATGCTAAGAGCAATACACCAGATGCAGAAAGATAGACACTGTACGAGGTACCTGGAATAGGCAAACTCCTGGGGAATTCAGGCAGAGGGAGACTTACCAGGGCTGGGAAGAGTGGGAAGCGGGAGTCAGTGTTTAATGAGGACAGGGTTTCTGTTGTGGATGATGAAAAAGTTTTGTGTATAGATAGTGGTGATGGTTACACAACATTGTGAATGGTAAGAGTAGGAAAGGGGAGTTAGTATTTAACGGGGACAGAGTTTCTGTTGTGGATGATGAAAAAGTTTTGTGTATAGATAGTGGTGATGGTTACACAACATTGTGAATGGTAACAGTGGGAAGGGGAAGTCAGTATTTAATGTTGAAAAGGCATTGGGATCTGTTGCGGGTGATGAAAAAGTTTTGTGTATAGATAGTGGTGATGGTTATACAACGTTGTGAATGTGTTTAATGCCACTGAATCGTATACTTACTTACGGATGGTTAAAATAATAAACGTTATGTGTATACATTTTTTTCCACAAAAACTGGAGGGAAAATGGATTATAATATTTTAAAATTCAATATGTGATTAATAGTCATTTGGAAAGAAAATGTGAAAGTATTGTACGGTGAATAAAAACCCTAGGAAGAAACCCATTTCCTAATCTGTAGGGCTGGCCTATGAAGCATGAGTTCATGGGCTCCAGAGTTATTTCACTATCAGGAATTGCACGTTATTGGCTTTTCACAGAATACATATAATTGCTGGAACTACAGAGCAAAGAGGCTCGTTAGGATAATCTTCCAGGCCTCCTCATTTTGCAGGTCAGGAAGTTATTTGGCTCTGGTTCTGGCTCCAGAAATCTACCCATGATAAAGATGGGCAAGAACCACGGCCTTTTGATTTCCAGCCCAATATGCCTCCCTGCAAAACTCTCCTGTACAGGAAAATCAAAACAGCCCCAGAAAACACACACTAAGTTCTGACCGTCTCTTGTCAAATAGGGGCCTCCAGCTGACCACAGCGCCCAACGTAGCCTGCACTGAATGAAAGATTCACCCATGGACTCCACATGTATTTGCCCAGTTAAACTCACAGCGGTCCCATGAGGGAAGTGAATGATTAGTTTGCACATTGAAATGGGAATTGGAAGACAACAACATTTGACATACTTGGCCTCTTTTGCAATTTTCTCATCAAAGGCAAGTTCTCTATAAATGTCTAACAGAAATGACTTACAATAATTAGGCCTTCTCCCTTCTTCCGTTTATCTAATAAAAGTGCTCTAAATGGTTAATGCTAATATCTCAGAATGCTTCAATTAAATGAAACATTAACATTTAAAGTTAGCTTTCAGGAGAATTTAAACTTGAAGTTTCTACTGATTGCCTTGCTGCTGACATTAATTTAAGCACAAGCAATCATGAAACCACCAAATAGTTCAGAGAAACATGGTTTTCAAGCAAAGGTGAGATAACTTTGTCAAGAAAAGAAAACAGAGCTATAAAACCTAATAAACCATTGAGAACAACCACACACAGTACTCTGACTTGAGTCAGATTGAGACCTTTCCATTTGCACCTAAATTCTGCCTGGAAAAAAAGCTACATCAAAGCTTGATACAGAAGAAAAAATGCAAACAGAATGGAACACACCTTTCCTTCCTCTTTCTTTCAAAAAACCTAGGCTAATTCCATAATTATTTCATTAAAATAGCCTCTAACTCCTCCCATAATTAAACCAATCCCAAAAATAGGAAAATTAAAACCAACAGAACAACCAGTTAAAAGAAGCTAACGCAAGCTAACCCTATGTGAGCCTGATTTATGTGATGAGAGAAGGGAAAATAGGAGACCAGTGTACAGGAAGGAGAGCCACACTGCTGTGCTGGATTGGGAAGGGAGAATAGCTGCAAAGAGAGAAGAGAAAGGGAAGACAGCTGTGGATGGGCAAGGTGGGGTGGAGAGTGGAGGCACAGAGGCTGGCCGTGCTGCCGCTGGAGAGTGGCTCTCAAGAGGCCATGTTAAAAGAAGACACTGTATGCGGAATGCGGAAAGCAGCAGAAATGATTTCCCACCAAATCCTCTCCATCTGGAGGCTTGGCGCAGGGCGTGGCTGGCCATGTGGTTGCATGCTGATGGAGGTCCTGCTGCTCAGCTGTGGCTTGTGTTTGACATTCTAGAATGAAGGTAGGACGTTTGGGGAATGGGTGGCCCAATTTTGGGAATAATAGATTTTATTATCAGTTAGAAGCTCAATTTAATCAGGACAACATAAAACAATGAGGGAGTAATGTAGGGTTGCAGACAAAGCTCTACCATTGATTATTTTGTGACTCAAACAAGTGTCTGATTTGAGCAACTTGCTTCATCTACTTTTTTTTTTTTTTTTTTTTTTTTTTTTTTTTTTGAGACAGAGTCTCGCTCTTGTTGCCCAGGCTGGAGTGCAATTGCACGATCTCTGCTGACCACAACCTCTGCCTCCTGGGTTCAAGCGATTCTCCTGCCTCAGCCTCCCGAGTAGCTGGGATTACAGGCATGCACCACCATGCCTGGCTAATTTTGTATTTTCAGTAGAGACGGGGTTTCACCATGTTGGTCAGGCTGGTTTCAAACTCCCGACCTCAGGTGATCTGCCTGCCTCAGCCACCCAAAATGCTGGGATTATACGTGAGCCACAGCACCCAGCCTGCTTCATCTGTTAAATAAGGTTTACAGCATCTGCAACCCTTAACTCCTTGGTTTATGGTTATTCAATAAACAAAACAACATTCAAATACCATTTAGAAAGTAAATGTCATTACATACCTGTTATGAACAGAATGTCTGTGTACCCCAGAATTCATATGTTGAAACCTTACCCCCTGATGGATAAGGAGCTGTGGACTTCAGGAGGTAATGAGGATTAGATTAAGTCATAAGGGCAGAGCTCTCATGAATGAGATTAGTGCCCTCATTATAGTAACGAGAGAGCTTGTTTCTCCTCTCTGCTCTTCACCACATGAGGCTACAACAAGAAGTCAGAAGTTTGCAGCCTAGAAGGTGGACCTCACCAGAAATGGACCATGCCAGCACCCAGATCTTAAACTTTCCCCTGAACTGTGAAAAATAAACTTCTGTGAAGCTACTCAGTCTATGGTAATTTGTTACAGTAGCCCAAATAAGACAATAAGCCCAATAAGACAAGTCCTATTAGAATGCCTAAAATACAAGATAATGAAAACACCACATGTTGATGAGGACAGAGGGAAACTGAGTCACATATTGCTGGTGGGAATGGAAAATGGCATAGTCTTTCTGGGAAACAGTGACTGTTTCTTTAATAAACTAAACTTCCAATCACCACGCAACCCAGCAGTTGAATTCATAGACAAGAATCCCAGAGAAATGAAAACTTACACTCACATACCATACTTGAATGTTTATAGAAGCTTCCTTTGTAATAGCCCAAAACTGGAATAAACCCAGATATCCATAAATGAGTGAATGGTTAAACTGTTACACCAATACCATGGAATATTACTCCGCAATAAAAAGGAACCCGCTATGGATACATGAACAGCTTGGGTGGATCTCAGGAGTTATGCTAAACAGAAAAAGCCAATCTTACAAGGTTACATATTTTATAAATCTGTTTATATAACATTCTTGAAATGACATTATTAGAGACGGTCAATAGATTGATGGTTGTCAGGGGTTAGGGAGGGAAGGAGTGGCTGTGGCTGTCAGAGTATCACGAGGGGTCCTCATGACAGAACTGCTCTGTATCTTGACTATGGTGGTGTCTTAGTCCTTTTTGTGCTGCTAAAACAGGATATCACAGTCTCAGTAATTTGTAATGAACAGAGATCTATTGGCTCGCAGGTCTGGAGGCTGGAAAGCTTAAGATCAAGGGGCCCACATCTGTCAAGGGTCTCTGGAGGAAGGCAGAAGGGCAAGACAGCAAGCTCACAGACTCAAGCTGTTTTTGTAATCAGTATCAATCCATGGCCTAAACACCTTTCATTGGGCTGTACCTCCCAGCACTATTGCAGTGGAGATTAAATTTCCAACACATGTTTTTGTAAGAACACATTCAAACCACAGCAGGTGCTATTACACAAACCTACACATATAATAAGATTGCACAGAACTAAATACACCCATACACCACACACACACACACACACACACATATATGAAAGCAAAATGGAGAAATCTAAATAAGATTAGTTGATGTCAACATCTTGGTTTTGATATTGTACTATAGTTGTGCAAGATGTTAACTTTAGGGGAAGCTGGGCAAAGAGTACATGGGATCTTTGTGTATTATTTCTTAAAATTGCATGTGAGTCTCCAATTATTCCAAAATGCAAAGCTATATCTTCAAAAAATAAATAACATACATGAGATAAAGTGTTAGCACTATTAGAAGAAGTCTCATTGTTAGAAACAAGGATATCTTCTATTGGTAAAGAATGGCTGGTTGCTTAATATTACACACACACACATGCACACACTCCTCTAGGATGTCTATGAGAGATGAGGAAGCAAGAAAAAATTTCTAGAACCAAAAGACAAAACATCTCTCTTGGATAACCAAAGAGGTCCACTTTTTGTTGTGGGGGCTTTTTTGGCATCCCACAAACATTTGCTGAACCACTATTTTGTGTGAAGTGCCCCTCTCTCAGCACTAGATATAAAATGAATAATACACTCTGCCCGTATCCATTTCCCAAGCTAACGAGATAAAGTGATGTGTGTTCGTACGTAACAAGCAACATCATTTATCTGAACTAATATAGGTCTCCTATCAAAAAGATTCCACCTTATCTAACCATGGTGGAGGGTAGAACTGTTCATTGTCAAAACATGTACAAGTCACATGAGTCAGAAGACACGAGGTAACAAGTAGTTTTGGCCATCACAGCTATAATTAGGCCCTTTGCAGAGATGGCTGCATGAAACCATCTATAATGTAATAATGGACACAAATTCATCACAGGCAAGTTACCAGATACACTCTAGCACAGTAAATGAATTTAACAGGCAGCCAGCTTGGAGTTAAAATACCATTTATACTGAGAGTGAGGAAAGATGATTCAGTGTCAATGTCTTACAAAGGTGAGAGGTTAGAAGTTGGAAATTACAATCCAATAAGCCAAAGTCTAGCACCACATAAAATGCTGGGATTAAACTGAAAAAGGATATTTCAGATGAGTGAATAAGGGTGAAAATCAGTGCAAACCCTGGGAAAAGAATAAGAGAATTTTCCAGATGAGAAACGCAAATACAGGTGCACAATCACACACACACACACACACACACACACACACACACACAGAGAACAACACAGACACAAATAATAAAAAAAAAACATAAATTGGAAGAGATTTTACTCAAGGTTCAATATAACATTTGATTTAATGCTAATGTAAGACCTCACTATCAAAGACAGAATGTTGGCCGTAGAAGCAATATGCCATTGCAGAACTCAAAGAGACTTTTAGCTACATAAGACAGGTGCTGCAAGAAATGACAAGCTCATTGTCACAACTTGGTACCTACAAGTGGTAGGAAATTCAATTTTCAGCCCAACTCTTCTCTGCTCTCTCCTTGCTTTGAATCATCCTTTCTTTTGACCCCATGTAACACCTCAGGGTCTTTCTTCATTTCCTTCTCCCACCTGAAATGCCTCCCCATCGATATTTTTTACCTAGATTTCTGCACCCTTTTCAAGACTCAATTTCAAGGCTGTCAAGTGAAGCCATTTGGAACCATATCAGCCCACAAATAGGCAGCTGATCTCAATACCACTCATTTGGTACTCAGAATTTGCTACTTAATATTGTTAGTTAATTAACAGACGTCTTCTCTCTTCAGTTGGACTATGGGTCAAGAAAGGTAAGGCGAGGGATATTCTTTCTTTCTTTCTCTTCCAGGGGTCAGAGACTATTTTGTTTCATAGAACATACCCAGCATCTAACACACCGCATACAACATGATAGCTGCCCAACAAAAATCTATTAACCAAAGGAATAAATGAATGGATTGTTTTTAGTTTTGTATGGTTATATGTGATATTGAAGACAAGGGTCAAGGCAGGTGCTTTTGTTTTTCCAAGGAGAATATAAAAAGCAGCGATCATTTCTGGAAAGGAGTGAATGGATCTATTGAAAGCAAAGATTTATTCCAGAAAAGGCATATTATAACTTATAATACATTAACTGGAAATTCTATCAAACGAACCACAGAGGTAAAGTAGAAATAACTTGGGAAGGGCAAGTCGTAAGAACAGCAAAGAGGCCAGGTGCACACATATCTTCCTACAGACAAGGAAGTTTGTTCTGTAGTGTTTGTGAACAGACTGTCCCACTGTGTGCTGTGTGTGAGCATGTATGTAAATGTGTGTGTGCTCATGTATGTGTGTGCATGCATGTGTAAAAGTATATGTGTGTGCATGTGCATGTGTGTGTGAATGAGAGAGACAGAGTGATCTAGAAACACTGGAAGAGGTATTGAAATGCTTGAGAGTATAAGATAGTGTATTATACCACAGGCACAAAAGAGTAAACAAATACAGTTGTAGAAACAAGGGCATTAAATTTAGATCAAAATCAACATGTCTACAGAGTAAATCCCCTAGTGAACTCGCTTGTAAGCTTGCATCTTAGATGTGATGACTTCTTTAGAAAATACTCTGAAAATGTGTAAGAAAGTCTCAGCAGACAAGATGGTTATATTGCAGGGCTCACTTGCATGGGCAATGCAAAGAAAGATAGTACTGGGTTCCTGCAACATGCTGTTTTAAGTTAACAGAGAATACCCTCCTATTACGTACACATGGATACAACATAACGAAACTGTTCGAGAATACGTAAAGTGCGAAATAAGGGAAATATCTAGATGCCAGAAGTGAAGATAAATTCACGATGAGAACATTTGAGTTTTGGCGAAAGTCTGGGCAGCTAGTGGGGCAGCAGGTCTGAATACAGGCCTAGGGTCTGAGGTTGTGATGACCTTACAGAAACAGGGTGAGTGCCTTGGGCCCTCCTGGGGTTAGGATCTAAAACTGTTGACCCTTAATAAAGCCAGTACCCATACATAGATTAAACTTTCTTGAAAACGGGACTGGAACTAGAAAATTCCATCTACCTGAACTGAAGCAGTTTATCAGTCACAGATATTCACGGAGATGACTCCTAAAGGTGACCAAATTCAGAAGGGAGGGGTAGTTGTCAACGATTAGCAATCAATTATTGAATATGTATAAATTAAGCTGTATAAATCAGTAATGATTATTATGACTAATTGACAGAAGGTTAAAATGATGGAATCAAAAGACCCAAGAGCAATAACATGAAATGAGTACAGGGATGACTGGAAAGGAAAACAGCAACAAAGAACATATGATCGGCCGGGCGCAGTGGCTCAGCCTGTAATCCTGGCACTTTGGGAGGCCAAGGCAGGCGGATCACTTGAGGTCAGGAGTTCAAGACCAGCCTGGCCAACATGGTGAAACCTCACCTCTACTAAAAATACAAAAAAAAAAAAAATTAGCCAGGTGTAGTGGCACGCTCCTGTAGTCCCAGCTACTCAAGAGGCTGAGGCAGGAGAATCCTTTGAACCTGGGAGGCAGAGGTTGCAGTGAGCTGAGATTGCGCCACTGCACTCCAGCCTGGGTAACAGAGCGAGATTCCATCTCAAAATATATATATATATATATATATGATCACTCCTAAAAAATGCAAGCATGGTATTTAGAAAAAACTAGGTGGGGCACAGTGGCTCACGCCTGTAATCCTGGCACTTTGGGAGGCCGAGGGGGCGGATCACGAGGTCAGGAGATCAAGACCATCCTGGCTAACACAGGGAAACCCCATCTCTATTAAAAATACAAAAAATTAGCCAGGTGTGGTGGCACATGCCTGTAATCCCAGCTACTTGGGAGGCTGAGGCAGGAGAATTGCTTGAACCTGGGAGGCGGAGCTTGCAGTGAGCTGAGATCGTGCCACTGCACTCCAGCCTGGGTGACAGAGCGAGACTCTGTCTCAAAAAAAAAAAGAAAAAAAAAAGAAAAAACTAAATATTATTTTAGGAATAGTTCAAGTTTACCAGTACAGTTGACCCTTGAACAACACAAAGATTAGAGATGCCAACTTCCCGTGTAGTTAAAAATACATGTATGATTTTGGCTCCTCCAAAACTTAACTACTAATAGCTTTACTAATAACATAGTCAATTAACACATATTTAGCACATTATAGGTATTATATGCTGTATTCTTGCAATAAAGCAAGCTAGAGAAAAGAAAATGTTATAAACATCATAAGGAAAAGAAAATACATTTACAGGACTATAATAAGTTCATGTTTTCTGTTTACAAGATGAATCGTCTGTCTAACATGGTGGGTAACCATTCACTCTATAGTACCCATCAAGCAATTCAACTTTTTCTTTCCTTTTTTTTTTTTTTTTTTTTTTTTTTTGAGACAGAGTCTTGCTCTGTCGCCCAGGCTGGAGTGCAGTGGCGCGATCTCGGCTCACTGCAAGCTCTGGCCTCCTGGGTTCACGCCATTCTCCTGCCTCAGCCTCCTGAGTAGCTGCGACTACAGGCGCCCGCCGCCATGCCCAGCTAATTTTTTGTATTTTTAGTAGAGACGGGGGGTTTCAGCGTGTTAGCCAGGATGGTCTCAATCTCCTAACCTCGTGATCCGCCTGCCTCGGCCTCCCAAAGTGCTGGGATTATAGGTGTGAGCCACCGCGCCCGGCTCAACTTTTTCTTGCAATGTCCTAACTTTCTCTGCTTCATGGGAACACTCCCAGCATTACTAGTGGCACTTCATATGTGTCCCATAGTTTTATTTAAGGTTTACTGTATTGCACTACCCATGAGGAAAAATACGTGAGAGATCACTTTTTCCTGTGATCCACAGTTTACTGGAGAAATGAGCTGCTCATGTGGAGATGATTGGCATCGCGTGGCATTTCATGCAGCTACTTGCAATCTACCACACTTAGCTCACCATAATAGCAGCAGCAGGTGGCTACAAAATTATTACAACAGTACAGTATGCACCACAGTTAATCTTACGCAGTTGTGGTTGAATGCTGTATCTTTACATTTATGTACATTTTTCTGGACTGTGAATGCTGCCATGTACAGTCTATAAGTATGTGTGTGTATAAAAGTTTTGATCAATTTTAACTTTTTATAATTTGTGTATATTTTATAGAAGAAAATAACAAAAAAGACTAGTATCTACATATTATGCATTTATGACCATCTAACTTTTCTTAATTGTTTTGATATTTCTAGGCTACTCAGTTCATCTGTGAGTTTTCTCAAATTGTCATAAGTGTCCAAAAATTATTCTAAAATATTGTAAAAAATTCACTTATCAGTGGACTTGCACAGTTCAAACCTGTTATTCAACTGTAATCATACTAATTATAGGCAGGTTAAATTCCTTTAAGTTAGATGTTTAAAAACATATGCAATTCAGGAAGGACATAATTAAATCATAAGGGCCAAGAAAGGTGTAAAGTAAGGGTTAGGTAAACACATTCCAGGCAAATAACCAAAAGGAAAACAAAAACTAGTGCAATTATACTCCCAGCAGACAAATATAACTTTGAGAAAATAGAAATGGAAACAAAAAGACACACAAATTTCATTGCTAGGAATACGGAGAGTTAATGATAAAAAGAAATAATTGATCAGGAAGTGATTACAATCCTGAACTTGTAGGCATTTAGCAACATGGCCTCATAATACATAAGGCAAAAGTGTATAGAATTATAAGATGTTTAATACATTGCTCTCAAAAACTGATAGGTCATAGAGACTAACATCTAGTAAGGATAGAGAATATTGCAACAATATAACTAATAAGCCAGTGGCCAATTGAAGGGTCCTCTTTCAATGGTTATAAATTAATCCTTGTCATGAAAATTGATCAAATACAAAGTCTCAAATATACAGAAATTTCATCTCAAACTGAGTAAACTCTTGATTGTATTGTAATAAATTAAGAAAATTCCTAATTTATTATAATCAACAACTTTTTGTGAAAAGGGTAAATAAAGCATATATTCGGAAACAAAATAACACATGAGTAAAAAATTATAATGCAAAATATGAAATATTTAGCATTGAATGTAATGAACACTCCGTATCAAGACTCACAGATCCAGCTAAAATAATAGAGAAAAATTTGTACCCATTATTTCATAGAAAGGATAGAAAACTGAAAATAAATGTGCCATATTTTATCTTAAAAATTTAAAAATAGATTAAATGCAAAGATAGCAGAAAGAAGGAATCAATCAATAAGAGTAGGTACTAATGAGAGATTAAGCAAAGATAAAAAGAGAAAATGAAAACCAAACTATAGGTCTTTGAGAATAGTACTAACATGCAAAATTATATAAAAATTGATCAAGATCAAAACAGAAAAGGGACAAACACTATAAGGACAGAAAATGAAAATGTAATTAGTAGAAAAATATAATATGAAAATATACAAAACTTTATTAAATAATTTTGAACATTTAAATGTAATTGGTAATTTTCTAAACAAATCTTAGAATTGACTCAGGAAGAAATATACCTGAATAGAAGTATAACCATTAAAGGAAGTGAAACAGTAGTTTAAAAGGAATTAATGAATCATCAGAGGATCAAGCTCAGATGGAACAGATACCCTCTTGCTCGTAAAACTGACTAAAAATGTACAAATAAAGATGAGGACCCTCAAAGTACATCTGTCAATGTATATTTAAAAAAGAATAACATATTTAAATAAGGTGTATTTTAGGAATATAATCAAGGTTGGTTTAATATTGGACATTTCATTTAGGTAAATCATTATAGTAGTAGATTAAACAAAAAGGAACAATACGATCACCTCTATATGCAAAGAAAAATAAATTCTTTGAAAACACAGTGCATATTTATAATTCAAAATATGAAAATTAAAACAAGGGATAGAAGAGATCTATATTAATCTTCTCAAAAAAAAAAAAGAGATACCAAAGCATACAGAAAACACACTTAGGCATGAAAATATGGAAATATTCATTTTAAATTAAGAGGAAGACTAAAGTGCATGCTGTCATGGTTTCTGGGCTAACATTGGATGGAAAAGAGTAGCCAGTGTAGGAAGACACAAAACAAACAAACAAAAGAGATAGGCAAGGACGGGGAGAAACAAAACCGTCATTGTTTACAAATGTCCATATAGACTATCCAAGAGAATCCAACCATTTGAACTTAGCAAGAAAATGGTAACTTCACTATATACAAGATTCCTACTAATGAGTCTTTAGCATTTCCTTTCACTGGTAACACTCAATGCAAAGTGTGTGATTAAAAAGAAGCACTAATTTACCCTATTTTAAAATTATGCAGAAGTAATTATTCTAAATTATATTTAAGACATCTATGATGAATATTATAACATTTTATTAGAAGACTTAAAAGAAGTCTTTGTGCTTATATTATCTAGCATATTCCAGGATGGGATAATTCAACATCATAAAGTAGTCAATTCTCTCCAACTTAGTATCTCAATTCAATATCATTTCAATAGGATTTTTAATAAAATTTAAAAGCTGTTTCCTGATTTACATGTAAGAGTAAAAGGCAAATAATAGCCAAGGCAATTTTTAAAGAAGAGAATTAGAAGGGACTGACCATATCAGGTGCAAAGATTTGTCATAAAGCTATAGAATGTCTAATGTGTGGTATTGTGTAAGGATAGATAAATAGAACAGAAGAGAAAGACGAGAAAAGGATCGTGCATACATGGCCAAGATTATGATAAAAACTACCAGGAAATGATGCAACATTCATGATGAAGAGTTGACTATTATTGTAGGAGAAAAATAAACTTACCTTCTCCAGAGTATAAATAAAAATACATTCTGAAAAGATTATGGACCCAAACAAAATGTATGACTTTTAGAAGAAAAACACACGGAAAGCTATTTTTGATTTTTAAAATAAACTTTTAAGTAAAAGAATAACATGTCCAGAAAAAGTACACAAATCATGTGTACAGTTCCATGAAGTTTTGCAGTGAACCCACCTGGTCTAACAACCATGCAAATCAAGAAACAGAACTTTATCAGACACTAAGAAATCCCACGTGCACCTATCAATCATTACATTCTAACCCTACATCCGAACCTGACTTTTATTTTCATAGATTAGTTGGGCATTTTTTGACTTTGCAGATATGGAACCATCATAGTTTTATTCTTTTATGTCTGACTTCTACTTCTTAACATTATATTTATGAGAAAAGAAGAAAAAGTAAATAAGTAAATAAAAGAAGAACAGAGAGTCCAGAGCCTGAAATAATTTTTTTTTTTTTTTTTTTTTTTTTTTGAGACAGAGTTTCACTCTCGTCACCCAGGCTGGAGTCCAGTGGCACAATCTTGGCTCATTGCAACCTCCACCTCCTGGTTTCAAGCAATTCTCCTGCCTCAGCCTCCCGAGTAGCTGGGATTATTAGCTCGGCTAATTTTTGTTGTATTTTTAGTAGAGATGGGGTTTCACCACATTGGCCAGGCTGGTCTCGAACTCCTGACCTCAGGTGATCTGCCCACTTCGGCCTCCCAAAGTGCTGGGATTACAGGCATGAACCACCGCACACAGCCAGCCTGGAATGATTAAAATGGCCGAATATCCATGTAAGAGTAGACCCCGAAGGAAAAACAAGAGAGGATGGGACAGAAGAAACACATGAAGAAATCATGGCTGAATGGAAGACTACCAAAAACAGATGTGCAAAGTTCACAAACTCTAAACAAATTACATACAAAGAGAATGACATCTATGCACATTGTATTCAAACTGCTGAAAATCAAAGATAAAGATAAAATCTTGAATGAGTCAAGAGAGAAAAGAAACATATACACAAAGGAAAAAAAGATGAGAATGGTAATAGAGTTCCCCTCAGAAACTAAGCTAGCCAGAAGACAAGGAATGATATAGTTAAGTACTGAAAGAAAAATAATGTCCACCTGAAATTCTTTATGTAGCAAAAAAACTTTAAAAAATGAAAGCGAAATAATTCTTCAGATAAACAAAAGTTGAGAGAATTCATTGCCAGTAGACCAGCATTACAATGTTAAATAAATTCTTCAGACAGAAAGAAAATAAAGCCAGAGGAAATTCGTTTCTATAAAAAAGAATTAAGATGGGAGGCAGAGGTTGCAGTGAATAGAGATCGCACCACTGCACTCCAGGCTGGGTGACAGAGTAAGACCCTGTCTCAAAAAAAAAAAAAAAGGATTAAGAATTAAGAAATAGGCCAGGCATGCTGGCTCACACCTCTAATCCCAAAACTTTGGGAGGCCGAGGCAGACAGATCACCTGAGGTCAGGAGTTCGAGACCAGTCTGGTCAACATGGTGAAACCCTGTCTCTACAAAAACACACACACAAAAAATTAGCCAGGCATGATGGTGGGTGCCTATAATCCCAGCTACTCGAGAAATGGGAGGCTGAGGCGGGAGACTCACCTGAACCTGGGAGGCAGAGGTTGCAGTGAGACAAGATCGTGCCATTGCACTCTAGCCTGGGCAACAGAACGAGACTCCATCTCAAAACAAAACAAAAACAAACAAGAATTAAGAAATAGATAAATATAAAGCTGTTTTTTTTCTTAAAGACAGTTGATTTTCTAAACTACAAATAATAACAATGTATTATGGGATTTAAACATATGTAGAAATGAAATGAACAACAAAATATCAGAAAGGATGGTATGGTGAAATGATGGAAGAATACTGCTGTAGGCTTTTACACGATATACCAAAAGTGGTCCATCAATCAAAGATAAACTGTGATAACTTAAAAATGCCCATTGTAAACATAGATCAACCATTAAAAAGTAAAACAAAGAGCTTGTTAATCCAACAGTGAAAATAAATTGGAATAATAAGAAACTCAAGTAGCCAAAAGAGGACAGGAAAAATTGAACCAAAAATCAGAAGAGAGAAGCATAAAGAAACAAGTATTACTTTTACTGGCAAGAACCACAATTACTTTTGCACCAACCTAATAGCAAATGGTAGATTTCAATTAAATCATGCTGACAATTACATCAAATGTAACATTTAAAATAGGAGTCAGCACATATTTTCCATAAAGGGACATATAATAAATGCTTTTGGTTTTTCAAGCCATACGGTCTGTATTGCAACTACTTTGGAAGTACAAAAACAGCCTTGGACAATACCTAACAAATGCTCATGGATGTTTTCCAATAAATCTTTATTTACAAAAATAGGCACTAAGATAAATTAGGCTCAGGGGCCATAATTTGCTAATCTGTTCTCTAAATATTCTTTTTAAAAGATAGAGATTGTCTCACTGAAAGAAAAAAAAAGCAAGACCTAACTACATGTTATTTATAAGAAACATACTTTAAATGTAAACATATGAAGAGGTTAGAAGTAAAAGGATAGAAAAAGTTCTACCAGGCAAATATGAATCAAAAGAAAGCTGCAATGGTTTATTATCAAACAAATGGACTGAAGAACACAGAATATTAACAGAGACAAAGGAATACTACCAGGGACATTTCATAATGATGAAAAGGTCAATTCAATGATAAGACAAGAAAATCCTAAATGTATATGTGCTTACTGTGAGAGCTTCAATATTTACTAAGCAAAACGTGACAGATTTGAAAAGAGAACTAGACAAATCTCCAAATACAATGAGAGATTTCAATACTTCTTACACAGTAATTCACAGCAAAAGTAATTAAATAGAAGACTGGAACAAAATATCAACTAATTTGACCTAATTGACATACTTTACAACAGGTCATCCAAGTGCATCAGCATACATACACACCTTCAAGACCCTGGACGCATTCAACAAGACAGATCACACTTGTTAAATTTGAGCATTCTGGATGTGAGTGGTTTTTTGTTTTTGTTTTTGTTTCTTGAGATGGAGTTTCGCTCTTGTTGCCCAGGCTGGAGTCCAATGGCTCACCGCAACCTCCGCCTCCAGGGTTCAAGCGATTCTCCTGCCTCAGCCTCCCAAGTAGCTGGGATTACAGGCATGTACCACCACGCCTGGCAAATTTTGTATTTTTAGTAGAGATGGGGTTTCTCCATGTTGGTCAGGCTGGTCTCAAACTCCTGACCTCAGGTGATCCACCTGCCTCAGCCTCCCAAAGTGCTGGGATTACAGGCATGAGCCACTGCGCCTGGCTGCAAGTGGTTTTAAGTAATGCCATCTGTACTTTTCTGTACACTTGAAACAGTTCATGATTAAACTATGACAACAAACCAAATATGCCATTACTTTAAAATAAGTGCAAGCTTTGAAAATTAGTAGATCTGAGTTTCCAACTTGGCTTCCCAAATTCCCAGCCGAGTGACCCTGGACATTTCATCATATTTCCTTTAGCCTTGGTTTCATCATCTATAAAATGGTGTAAGAGTTACCACAATAGGTTTCTTGTGAAGATTAAAGGAGATACTGGACAGAAAGTTTTTGACATGGTGCCTGGCACCTATTAATCACCCAAAAGTGCTACTTATTATTATTTTATAAAATTGTCTTTGGGACAGGATAAGAGATTACATAAAAGGGCCGGGCATGGTGGCTCACGCCTGTAATCCCAGCTCTTTCGGAGGCCAAGGCAGGTGGATCACCTGAGGTCAGGAGTTCGAGACCAGCCTGGCCAACATGGTGAAACCCCATGTCTACAAAAAATACGAAAAATTAGCCGGGCACGGTGGCAAGTGCCTGTAATCCCAGCTACTCAGGAGGCTGAGTCAGGAGAATCGCTTGAACCCAGGAGGCAGAGGTTGCAGTGAGCTGAGATTGTGCCACTGTACTCCAGCCTGGTCAACAGAGTGAGACTCCATCTCAGAAAAGAAAAAAGGAAGTTACATAAAAGGAATAATGACACCATAAAGTTTACATTTCCCAAAAGAGCTGGGAAATTGGAGTAAGCCAGGAGCAGGAGGATAGCTTTATTTGGGACTGGAGCCATCCATGAGAAAGTTTTATGAAGAAAAGGATAGACCTTATGGAGAAGAGCGGGATTGAAGTGCCACAGCAGAGAGGAAAGTTTGCCAAAACATGCGGGACTGAAGAGAACATTTTGGAGCCCAGATTCAGCCATTTTACTCGGTGCATGTGTGCCTACCATGAAAGGAAGGAGTGGGGTCAGCTTAGAAGGGACATAGATGAAGCTGGAAACCATCATTCTGAGCAAACTATCGCAAGAACAGAAAATCAAACACTGCATGTTCTCAGTCATAGGTGGGAATTGAACAATGAGAACACTTGGACACAGGGTGGGGAACATCACACACCAGGGCCTGTCATGGGGTGGGGGGCTGGGGGAGGGATAGCATTAGGAGATATACCTAATGTAAATGACGAGTTAATGGGTGCAGCACACCAACATGTATACATATGTAACATGTATACATATGTAACAAACCTGCACGTTGTGCACATGTACCCTAGAACTTAAAGTATAATGATAATAATAATAATAATAATAATAATAAAAAGAAGTCCACTTGAGTAGAGAGAACTGACTGAGAAAGAAAGAAAGTTCTTGCCTTACCCACAAATATTCACCTCGTCACCTGAGCCACGTTTTCTCCATATAAAAAGTGAGGATAATATCTTCTACCCTGTCCACTTAATGCGGTGGTTTTGTGAAATAAAAGAGGTAAACAGTGTGAGAGTACTTTATAACTTTAAAACGGAATGGCAGTCCTTAGACCTATGCGGGGCCATCTGTCCCCATTGTGGGGCCTTTGTTTTCCCTGGATTTTACGCTACAGAGAGGGGAGACTGCTGAGTTCTCTACCAAAGCATCAATATGCTCTTTTGTTGACTTTGGTTGTATTTATTTGCAAGTACACATTGCTCTATAAAGATGCTGGCAGAAAACTCACACCACGCACATTCCCAAAATGTATCGCCCTTAGAAGAAAGTGCAGTTATCACCCAGCTCTGCCACTGGGAGAGCTGAAACCTACTGCTGCAGGGTCTCTCCCAAAGGCCAATAGCAAGCTCTCCCCAGGGCATCTATACCATTTGGCCCCCTTAACCCAAGGTCCATGGGAACACCAATCATCAGCATTAAAGGTGGTGGTTTCAAGGAAAAGTCCCTAAGGATGAACATACTATAAATAACACTTTATAAAACAAACAATGACATAAAGAACCATGAAAAACAAAACAAAACAACAATGCTATAAACCTCTCTGAGCCTCCTTGCACACTTCAAGATGCCTGTGGGTTGTACTAGCCTGTTCTCAGTTACACTGCAGCAGCGCTGAGTTCCAGAACATAAACAAGGAGGCACTGCATATTGTCTGTTGTTAGGTTCCTTGAATTACAAAGAGGTATTTGGCAAGACTTTTACTGGAATTGTGTTTGATTGTTTCTAGGGGATAACTGCAGCCTTTTGTCTAACAGACGTGCTGTCATCTATTTATAAGGTTGTTAATTTCATGCACCAGTGTTTTGTTCTTGGAATCAGTGACACCAACAAACTCGGGATGGCAGCTGGAAACTGGGCAATGATCTGGGAGCTCCCATTTCACCACATTTGGGATCTACACAATGGCCAAAGGCTGTCTGCAACAAATAACGTTACCTGGAAAAAATGTTTGCTCGGCATAGTTTACATCTAAAGTTCAATGTTAGACTGTTTCAAACAGTAATTGTCTTTTTTACCTTCCAAAACGGTTTTCCTTTATGAAGTGATGACTTGGCCATGTTTCTTGGTATGAAAATCAGGACTGGAAATTTAAGTGTACATGTGAAACGCAAGCAGTTTCATATATTAATACTGGCCTGTAACTTGGTCCTGATTTTGGTAAATAAACATTTCATTGTTTTAATAGAAGTCTGTACAGAAGACAATTACCAAATTTTCTCTTTTTTTTCTTAACTGTTTTCTATGTGTTGAATTGTGTCTCCTAGAAAAGACATGTTGGAGTCGTTATCCTCAGGACTTAGAAAGGGACTTTATTGGGAGGTGGAGCCTTTGCAGGGGTGATCAAGTTAAAATGAGGTCATTAAAAAAGATCCTTATCCAAATGACTGGTGTCGGTGTAAACAGGGAAAATGTGGACACAGAGACAGACATGCACACAAGGAGAGCACCATGTGAAGACGAAGGCAGAGGCTGGAGATGCATTGGTGCACCTGGGAACACCAAAGATTGCCAGAAAACCACCAGATGCAGGAAGGAGGCCTGGAGCCAGCACTCCCTCACAGCCTCAGCAGGAGCCCACCCTGCAGACACCTCGATCTCTGACTTCTGGCCTCCAGAACCGTGAGACAATACATTTTCATTGTTGAAGACGCCCAGTCTGTAGCACTTTGTTACGACAGCCCTAGCAAAGTAATATACTACTCAATTTTTTTTTTTTTATGGAGTCTCACTCTGTCTCCCGGGCTGGAGTGCAGTGGCACGATCTTGGCTCACTGCAACCTCTGCCTCCTGGATTCAAGCAATTCTCCTGCCTCAGCCTCCTGAGTAGCTGGGACTACAGGTGCCTGCCACCACGCCTGGCTAACTTTTTGTATTTTTTTCTTTTTTTAGTAGAGACGGGGTTTCACTGTGTTAGCCAGGATGGTCTCGATCTCCTGACCCTGTGATCTGCCTGCCTCGGCCTCCCAAAGTGCTGGGATTACAGGCATGAGCCACGGTGCCCAGCCATGCTACTCAAATTCTAACTCATTAGGCATTGAGCCAGGAGACACCAACCCACAATTGTGCTTCCATTCCCCTACTGGCCCCCACTGTCTCTCTCTGTCTCCCCTCTGTCTTCTCTCCTTCTCTGTCTCCCCACCCTCTCTCTCTCTGTCTTCTCTCCCTCTCTGTCTCTGTGTCTCTCTCTCACTGTACTCAAATCACACCAGCTTTCAGGGCCTGCAACAGGTCCAATTTTCCTGCCCTGAGGTTTTTTTGTAGTTCTTCCCTCTGCCTCAAAATACTAAGAAGTCCTTGACTTCTTCTTCTGGACTTCTAGAATTTAATGATACTGAGACAGTTTATTATATAACCACCTGGGTGACATCAGCCAATTATTAGCTAATAACTTGGAGAATACTTTATACTTTTCTACCTCATATTTTAAAATTTCCTAAAATAAAACAAATGGACCAATACAATAATTCCTTTCAGAAGTCAGAAGAAATGGATTTTATCTCAAATAGAGCAAGGCGCTATTATTATCCCAAAGGTGTTCAGATTCGCCTCATTTGTCAAGCTAAGATTCAGACTGGCATTTAAGGGCTCATTATTCTTATAAAGCAGCACATTCTTCAGTGTTGACGCCATTTCTTCAATGCTCCTCTCCTCTGGTAATTCCATTCCCATCTCCAGATACCCGAGTCCTCCCTCCTACTTAAACTACAAAGTACTCTGAGGCCTCCTGCTTTGAGGACCTGCTCCATGTCAACTTTTTTTTTTGGAAGTTTCTGCCACAAAATCCCATCTTTCTCTTGCTATCCATTGTCTTAACACCTTAATATACAGAGGACATAAAGACTTGTGGAAATCCTTTCACGTTTTCTCAAAATTGTGCTCTAATGTCTTTACAATGTCTGTACAATGTCTATACACTGCCCGTGTTCCCGCGTCAGCGGAATGTGAATTCCTGGCACTTGCGAGTCGTGCCTCTCCTTCTCCATCCCTCAGAGCCCCCAAATACACACTCATCCAGCAGCAGACAGTCACTGCATTTTGCAATGAAAGCATGAAGGAAAAAATAGGGCAGTTTTACTTCAATAGTTTTTGTAATTTGGGTCAAATGCCCTTTTCTTTTTCATGACTGAAATGAATACCTAATCCTGGAAAAAGTTAAGTACTGCACTGTTCTAAAAGTGAGATGAGGGTTTTATGTACAAAGAAAAATGCACCAAAGTGCAAATCCTACTGAATGTCAGAACCTGTGAGGCATAACCTTTCTTTTTTTGAGATGGCGTCTCGCTCTGTCACCCAGGCAGGAGTGTAGCGGCACATCTTGGCTCACTGTAACCTCTGCCTCCTGGGTTCAAGCGATTCTCCTGCCTCAGCCTCCTGAGTAGCTGGGATTATAGGTGCCTGCCACCATGCCTGGCTAATTTTTTTGTATTTTTAGTAGAAACAGGGTTTCACCATGTTGGCCAGGCTGGTCTCAAACTCCTGACCTTGTGATCTGCCCGCCTCAGCCTCCTAAAGTACTGGGATTACAGGCGTGAGCCACTGCACCCAGCCATGCTACTCAAATTCTAACTCATTAGGCATCCTGTTGAAGAACAGTGAGGCACAGCCTCCTTTGCAAATAAAGGCCATTCCTGCCTCCGCCTAGCTTACTTTTCCCTCTGCTGAATGAACCAAGAAGGCAAGGGCTTTTCTACTTGGCAAATGAATGGAATTGTTATTTCCCACCTCCTCGACAATGGTATGTGAAATGCCTCCTAATAGAGAGTTTTTAACTCAGCTCACAGTGGAGAAAGGAAACCTGGAGCCAGCATCAGTGTGAAGACTCACATTGATGCAAATCTTACCCAGTTTATAATCCTAGGATGGGCGGTCTTTCATCCATGGTCTAACTCACTGGCTTGAGAGATGGCAAAATGGAAGCCCAAGAGTTCATAACCTTCTCAAGGTCAGAGTAGAAGGCAGCAAGGCAGGAACACGGGCATGCATTTCCCTGGCGTTGAGTCCAGGACTCTTTCTCTAAAGCACAGTTGGGTTTGGGAGTCCCAGAAAGGAAGCATAAGGGGAAGAAAGGGTAAGGCTGAGTGCAGAAAAGGAGGAAGCTGGCAGGAGACAAGGGCAGGAAGATGGCAACGGAGAAGGGGAAGATGGAGAGGACGTGTCAGGCAGGAAAGGAAAGCAAAGCAGCCAGTGTGAGCACAGACACAGGCGTTCAACAGCCTTCATCCACATGAGCTTTAGTAACACCCCACATGGCAGGGCAATTTTAAAATCCATCACCATTGAATGAAAATCTTAACGTCAATGCCAAAAAAAAAATCAATGATACAATTGGGGTTTAAAAAACCCACAAAGGCCATCAGAATACAAATGCCCTTATACACACACCCTGGCCCCTGGCCTGGGTCTGGGAGCCAGGTCAGAACAATCCGCCCGGCATTGTGTCTCTGTTCATGCTGCCTCTCTAGAGACAGGGAAGTCCTGACATCCAGGCAGGATCTGGGTCTGGTCTAGGTCAGATCTAGAATTCTGTTTGAAAGCCACAGAAGCCATTCCATCCAAATGCATTAGTCCGAAACTTGTCCTTGATCGTTTACTGTAAGTTCAACGTTGTGGTAGGTGGTGTGTGCCAAGGGCGGAGGGAAAGCAAGATAAGGCATTGTGTTCCTTTAGGATACTTAAAGGTGGGAATCAGGTATGTATACTAAGAAGTTAAATAAAAACATAAGAGTGGATATGATTAGATGGCAAACAATCAGAGAGGCAAGGAACATCCTAGGAATTCAATAATCCAAATGGTATCTGGCTGTAGATAACCTGGGGTGAGAAGGACAATTATTGCTATCTAAGGGGAATTTAACTAATTTCCTTTTATTCATCATTGATTCATTGATTCATTCATTGTTTATTTAGCTTGCACAATGGGGCAAGAAACTGAGGATACAGTAATGAGTAAGACACATTCCCTACCTTCAAGGAGCTTGAGTCTAACAAGGAATATAGACCCCTAAACCCCTACACCCGTGAGCTGTCGGGCAGTTTTGGAAATAGCATTAATACGTGGGCAAAATAAGAATGGTTGACTTCTGGTGGTGTGTTTTTACAACATGAAAGTTTCCATCCATAATCCACTTAGCTGCCATTTCTAATAATGCAAGATTAGAAGATCCTCCATGAGGGGCATCTAGACCAGAGGACCCATAAGAATGACCGGACTGCTAGAGTGATCCTTTAAAGAACAACCAAAATCAATTGCCTTGGAAGGTCACACTTTCTACAACCACTCCCCAGGTGCCTGAATATATGGCACATTTTCTTTGAGAGCTCCTCATGGTTCTTCTGCCTATATGTAGGCCGTTCTCAGAGCACAGATTACTCACATCATAGAATTAGGATGTTATTAACTATTAAATTGCTCTCAAAAGCTTTATGGTGACAATCTATAATTGCAGTACAAGATCTAGCTGTGAAAATGCCATCCAGTTCACTAGCTTGATCATTTGTGAGTATGACTTGGGTCTCTGACTGAACAGCAGCAGGTTTACTCTCTTTCTGTTTGAGCTCCCCCGAGTGCCTAGAACAGAGCCATGCGTGTGGAAAGGGCTCAGGTTCTTGGAGACTGACACCTCAGGTGCAGCCAGGAGCTCCCCCTGCTCCAGAGCTGGCAGAAGGACTGGGGCTCCGGGGCTGCAGCCCGTTCTTCTGAGTACGTGATGCATTTTTTCATCCTATGTAGATACACATTGGTGGCAACCAGGTCAAAGAGAGGATTTTTTCTTTTAATGTGCATGTCCTAAGATTCTGAATAAAGAGCTTGCCAGAGTTGATAATCAATAGTCCAACATCCAAGTGAGGCCAATTCATAATTTGAACAGCACAGTGTAAGAGTGCAATCTAACTCTTAAGGTAAAATCCCATCTGTTTGGTTTTTCAAAGATTCGTAGAAAAGAAAGTAAGCTCTCTGTGATCCTAGGAAGGTAGCTTTCCTGCTCTCAGAATTATTAACCATGCAAAATGCACGATTATTCAGTCAAGATGTGTGCTGTTCTGCCTCCTCCTACCAAGGAAATCAGAATCTAGCTGGACCGGAGCTATTAATCCCCAGTTCTCACAGAGTGCGGTAAACTGCATTTATGCCTGATGTAAATACGGTCGTTGGTAGGGCAATGCTGATGAATGTGATGAACACCTGTTAGGTGCCCTCACAGGGCATCCTACCCTGCTGTGATGATATTACACAATTAACGTGGGGCCTGGGAAGCTGATGGCCTGTGTTCCTTCCCATCCCAGCTCCATTCCAGCCTCCTGCTTGTCCCATGACAGCTCCGGCCCGCAGCCTGGGTGACGCCTGCAAGGATTACCAGGTGTTTCTGCTGTTTCTTCAACAGCCTTCAGCCAGCCTGCCAAATGGGGTATTAGTTGTGTTCCCCCTCCTCTGTTGCTCAGTTTGCGAGGCTGTATTGAGGGTGGTTTGGTAACAGAGGAAGCAAGATCAGCTGGGGAAAAAGTGGCTGTGAGCCTGCCCCTGTGTGTAGTTTTCCCGGATGACATGTTCAAACATCACTCCGTTTGCTCATCCTGGACATCATGCACTGTAGCCACGCTGGCCTGCTCCCTGTCCCTCCACCCTGAGACCCCTCCTCGGATCACAGGACCTTGTCCTGCGTCTGCTGGGCCACTGCTTCCATGCCGTCCCTGCCGTCCCTGCCGTCCTCCCCCAGACACTCCCCTTTGCTCCCTGTCCTTTACCTTACGTCACTTTCCTGTGGAGCACGTGTCCTGCCTGACACATGATAAACACATCTATTTATGCACGGTCTTTCCAGCAGGATGTAAGATCCACGAGCGCAGGGGCTTCCCCGGCTCTGTCCACCACAGTATTCCCTGTGCCTGCGAGAGCGCCTGGTGCATGTTCAGGGCTGAGTAAGTCAGCACTGGATAAACGGATGCGTATTGGCAGGAGGGAATCAAAAGGCTGACATTTCATGTGTTCATGGCATTAGTTTGGTAATATGTTTTAAATGCATCTTCTTTCTTCTTCTTCTTCCATTTCCTTCTCTCCCTGAGTCAAGATAAGCAGTGTCTTAAGCCAGAAAGGACATGTGGACCAGTCAAGCCTTACTCTGGCCCACATCTGCTGGCTAGCTGGGGCACCGATGATGGCGCCGTTGATCCAGAGGTGGGATAACAGCAGATCCTGTCATCAGATCTCAAAGTCCATCTGTAGCTGGGACTGAGGGGCCACTGGAGCTGGGTGCCTGCGAAAGCAAAGGGAGCCTGGCCCCTGCCCATCCCCACTAGATTCCCGTCTTCCTACGCAGGTGGCACCACTGCAGTAGCCGCCCCTGTTCTACCATCTCACCAGGCCCTTGTCTGTACCAGCAGAGAGCACAGGCCCTGGAGGCAGGGCACCCATGTCCTCATCCTGCTCCCTTCAGACTCGCTCTGTGACCCTGAACACAGACGCACAGTCTAGCATTCCTTGAACCTCAAATTCTATTCGCAGGCTCATGCCTTTTGGAACCTGTCCATGGTGGGATGGCCTTTTCCCCTAAAGAAACCCAGCCAGGGCCTGCAGCTGGCGATGCATTTGGCAGCTGTGGTCTCCTCTGCTGGATCAGGGCCTGAGGCTGTTTATATTTAGACAGTGGAAATGCTGCTGAAACAGCATAGCTCTTAATCTTGATAGTTTCACTCCCAGCATGCAGCTGGGCGGGACCCATGGATCTGAGGAACTGCACGCCCCCTGTTCCTGTCTCCTTCCAGACTTTAATTATCTCACTCTCTACCCAAAGAAAAGCCACTGAGAAATAATGACAGTAAGTCCTCCTGGGATCATGATCATTATCACTACCATAATTATCCCTGGCATCAGCACCATAATTAGCAGGTTTTCATCATCGTCCTTGTTACTGCTGTTTTCTTCTTCATCATCCTCATCCTCCTCATGACCACCAGCACTGTCACAACTCTCATCCTCACCATCAGTTACTCATCATTAGGGCTAGACCCATGATTTGACTCCGTCTTAAATCTCTAGCAAGAGCTCATTTCCTGTACCAAAAGCCTGCAATTGAAGAACTCACCATGGGCATATGTTGTGGGTGAATTAAAGAATCAGAGGGGGAAACGTGTGGCTGTCCTTCCAGATTCTAGCCATTGGGCTCTCCTCCCTCTTCTCCAGTGGCCCTTGTGGCCTCGTCTTTGCACCACCGGTCTATAACCTCAATGCCAACAACAAATGCCAAGATGCTTAAAGGAAGGCACAACTCATCACAGGTTGATTTTGCTCCCTAGTCTAAGCTTGCTTCCCTCACTACTGTAACCCAGCACAGTGCCATGTCCACACTTCTTGGTTCACCACGCCCATCACTGTGGTCCAGTGGGTGACACTGACTGTGGCCATCTCATTCCTTGTCGAGGCCATCATTATGGGCTGAGATACAGTGGATCACTTACTCGCAGAATATATTTTTTGGTTTGAGTAAAAAATAGTATCGGCTGGGCGTGGTGGCTCATGCCTGTAATTTCAGCACTTTGGGAGGCCAAGGTGAGCGGATCACCTGAGGTCGGGAGTTCGAGACCAGCCTGACCAACATGGAGAAACCCCGTCTCTACTAAACATACAAAATTAGCCGGGTGTGGTGGCACATGCCTGTAATCCCAGCTACTCGAGAGGCTGAGGCAGGAGAATTGTTTGAACCTGGGAGGTGGAGGTTTCAGTGAGCCACGATTGAGCCATTGCACTCCAGCCTGGGCAACAAGAGTTAAACTCCATATCAAACAACAGCAACAAAAAAATAGTATCTACCTTATTAGTAAACAAAGGCATATTTTTTAGCTTAGCTCTTCTACTTCAAATGCAAACATAACACGGACCTACCCGCTGCTGAGAACGCATTAAATGTTACAATACTGAGAGGTTCTAAAAAGACACTAGAAATTATGTGTAAGGCTGTAGGAGATGTAAAAGCATAAAAAAATAAGTTTCAGAAGACCAGGTTGTAATTTTTGAATAATAAAAAATAGATTTCGATGTACAGGTTGGTTTTGCATCATCTCTACCCCAAGGTGCTTTCTTGGGATTGAAACGGCTAGAGATGCTCCCCTGGGCCATTCTGCCAAACAAGTGACCATCCCTGCTATCACTGCAGGGTCATCTGCCTTGCTTTGTACATCTTATTATAATAAACTAGTGGTACCCGAGAGCAAATCGGTTTGTGTTTTTCCCAACTGGGAAACAGGTGGGGATGTGGTTATTAAAGAAAATACGACCTTGCTTGGTCCTATCCTCTGCATCCCCTCTTCCCATCCACAGTCATAAAACCAAAAACCTCAGCTTATAAAGAAGACAAGAGGATTAGCTAGGATGAGGTTTATGTGAAGAATTAAAATCACATATTCATTCACTAATTTACTCAATCGATTACTTCCGTCATTACTTCAGATATCTAATGAGGTGAATGAAGGGTGACCATGCTGTTACGAAGTCCGGAGACAGAAAGGAGTCCAGAGGCATGATCTGAAACACTTGTTCGGCTGGGCCAAAGAAGGCTAAAGATGTGGATAGGAGAGCTGTCTGCAAATATCTGAAGGTCGTTAAATATTCAGCATTGCTTTAGAACTGTACTGCCCAATAGGGTAGCCACTAGCTACATATGGCCTATGTAATTTTAAGTTGATTACAATTAAAGAAAACTACAAATTGAGTTCCTTTGTCAGACCAGCCACATTCCCCATGCTCAAGAGCCACGTGTGGGTAATGCCACCATCTTGGCCAGTGCAACTGTAGACCATTTCCGTCACTGCAGAAAGCGCAGTGGACACTGCCGCATAAAAGGTGGAATGAGATTCAGCAGATGGGAAGTTTTAAAAAGCAGACTTAAATTAGCTGATGAAGAACTTTGCAAAAGCCAGAACTGCCCAGCCTGGGAAGAAAGTAAGTGGTCTACAAGGATGAATTCTGTGTCACCAGGACAAAGTCACGAGAGCAAGGAACACTTGCTCCTGAGATGGAGTGATAGATGGTGACTAGGTACATGTCAATATCCCTTCAATCCCTGAATTTTTTCAAACAAAATTCTCTGTTACTGTGAACCAAAGATTATGTTAAAATCAGCACATGAAAAAGCGTACATTCATGCTGAGAAAGGTTGAGGAGGGCAGCGTTAGGAGGCACCTGCTCAAATGGTATTGAATTAGTATGCCTCACAAGCATACTTGTGCAGGGTGTGATCAGGTTTCCAAATGATATTTCAAACAGGAACAGAAGCTGTAAGTACACCCACTCAACTACACCTCTCAATGAAATCACAAGATAAAAATTAAGCAAATGCAGCCAACAAACCTAGGAACAAATACTCAGGTGATGGCTCAGGGAAAGATGGGGGTAAATTAATTCACATGGGCACAGTTTTTAGCATCCAGATTCTGTTTTTTCACTGATCAATGGCCTTGAAAGAATAGTCTAAACTGTCACAGTTTAATAAGCCTCCTGCTCATTAATAGAGAAAATGTTTACCCACTAAGCTAGCAGGTAACTGCATATCAGAATTCACAGGACAATAAGAGTGATTACAAGCTTCAGACACATGGAGAAAGACCACAAGATTATTTTAAAATTACAATGAAATTTTGACTTAATTAATAAAACCTTTTTTTAGAAATAAATAAATTATTAATTCAGTGAGGCCCATAGGTATTTGGTTTCCAGGGAGAATCTACTTCTTTTATTTAGCTGAACATTTTTAAAACTTCCAGAGACTGAGGTAGACAGTTAAGTATAACCTGTTGGAGGAAGTCCTAGAATAAATCATAAGCTAACAAAAAAGGCAAGAAAAGTCTCAGTAACGAGGAATCCAGGATAAGAATTACTTGTCACTGTATGAGCCAGGAAAATAATGTAATTGGAGGCTCCTGGAGACCTCAAGTGTATATGATATTCTGAAGAAGACACAGTCGGCCAACATCACATTGTCACTCAGAGGAATCATGAGGGAATCCAGGAGAGCCAGTCTCCTTCCCATGATTATCAGTTCAGTATTCACGAGGGTCCATTGCTGCATCTCTGAGAACAGGCCATTTGAACCAGTGGAGGGTCCCTCCCTCCCTCCTCTGGGACACTCTGCGGGCACCCAGTGACCAGGGATAGGATGGGGAAGGCAGTATTTCTTGGGCCTGATGACAGCGTGTCTCTCTCCACCAGTGTTGAAGGAACAAGCCTGTGCTGGCAGCAGAGGCTGCAAGGCTCACTCGGTTGCTCTCTGGCCCGAAATCTGCCTGTAGCTGCTGTGCATTATCCCCGGGGTGAGCAGATGCGATGCCTCACACCTGCCACACTCGTATGACAATGGACAGTGCTGCCTGAGGGCTGCAGGTGCATGGCTGCGAAGCCTGGTGCCATTGGCAGTCCTGCCTCCTGGGACTCTCCTGCAATCCTCCAGCCAGGGTCTCCATGGAATATCTGAAACAGGTCCCCCTTGTACATGGCAAGCTGGCAATGCTGTGCTGTATCCATTGACTGCCGAGACATAGTCACGCAGGCAGTGAAGAGGAAGAGACATGGTGATGTAATGAAGAAAACAGCCCTGGTGACAAGCTGGGCTACAGGCTTGACTTACTGCTAATGAGTCACATGATTTTGAATGAGGCAATGTCAACTTCCTGGACTTCACTTTCTTCATCTGTAAAGTGGGAGATGGGCAGAATCATTTTAGAAAGCTCAATTCCATTTCTATGGTCCCAGGATGCTATTTTGGGGCATGGGAAGTTGGGGATCGAGAAACAAAAATCAATGGGCAATGTTCACATTGGGTCTTCAAGCAGAGGTACAATATTTTGCATGAAGCTGTGTCTTGCTCAGAACCATGCTTAGCTGCAGGCTGTGTGGGATGCACAGGAGGGAAGGACAGGTGGAAAGCGGCAGCATTGGTCCTGGCAAGAGGAGAGAAGAGTCCAGATCAAGGCAAAGGCAGTGGGAATGGTTGGGGGGAGGAATAAGGTTCTAAGTCTCCAGGCAGATCACCCAATTTAGCTCAAGTCAGGATGAGAGCAGCCACCCAAGGCATTGGTCAGACAAAAGGAGTGAGCTGATAGCCTTTGACCTCTGGTGAGAGTCCACCGAAGTGCAGCAGGACTGAGTGCAGAGCTGACATGCGTTCACTGACCCTGCAGGGATTAATAGCGAAGCTTTGATAAATACAACAAGAAGCACCTCTCTGCTTGTCAGACTCAAGATCCTCAACTCTCTTGCGCATCCTTTTGTGAAGGAAGAAAGCCTGTGACTTAGCAAGAATTGATGAAATCATTTCCCATTTTTCCCTTGCTTGTTTCTATGGAATTCATTTGTTCTTTCATTTATCCAACGAATATTTGCTGATCATTTATGACCTTCCAGGTGCAAAGAGAAGTAAGGAGCAGTTCCTGCTCATGAGGGGCTCACAGCTCCTTGATGAGGGACACAGCCCTGTAAGCAATGATTGTGTTTGATGCCTGGGGTATCTGGGGAGGTGCTCACTCAGACTGAAGTTAAATTTCTGGATGGAAGAGATCACCAGCTGGACAAGGTAGAGAAGGAGATCCAGGTGGAGGAAACAGCACGAGCAAAGCCACTCAGGACTCGTTTAGTGGCAAGTAAGGGAAAACCCGATGGGCAGACGCTTAGACAAATCAGGCTAATTTTTCTGGCTTAGCTAATCTAGAGAACAGGGATCGAGAGCAACACATGGATGGTGCCATCAGGGGCTGGGCTCCGTGTCCCACCGTGACAGCCTGGGCAGCACAGCTTCATGAAGGCAAGGACAGTGGGGAAGAGAAAGGCCAACTCTGTATTCCTCTTGCAAGAGAGCCAAAGACTCCCACAGGCCCTCCAGCAAATTTCTCCCTCATCTATGGGGCCAAAACCATAACCCGTGGCTCCTTAACCATGAGATTGGACAAGCGCGTTTAGTGGGCATAAGGGCAGGCGATGGGAGCTGAGGCCGGCAGGTAGGAAATGGCCATCCTGGGAAAGCTCCTCTGTCTCAAGGCAATAAGTTCAACAGAACAATTTTTTTTAAGGTCAAATAATCCTCCTGCCTCAGCCTCCTAAAGTGCTGAGATTATGGGCATGAATCACTGTGCCCGGTCTCAACAAGACACCTCACCTGGTCACGTGGCATCAGCCTCTACTCTGGAACCATTCAGCTCCCTCCAAGACGGTGGCAACGAGGGTCAACTCCAGACACTCAGCCCCACCTTGGCCTGCCTGCTTGCCCCTCCACTGCATATACTGTGCTCCAGGTGGACCATCTATCATCCCTCTCCTGCCCTCACTGTGCCATCCCACCTCAAGCCTGCACTTAGGGGGTTCTTTCATCTGGAGTGCCTTCCCCTGCCTTCCTCTCCTTTCTCCCATGCTCATGACTGACTTTTTCACTTTCAAGTCCCCAGTGCCCTGCCTCCAGCTTCCTGTAGGCTCCCGCCCCAAAGCCCCCTCCTTCAGAATTACAGTCGGCCCTGAGTATTGTGAGATCTGTATCCACAAATTCAACCACCAAGGATCAAAAAGATTCGGGAAGAAAGAAAAGGATGGGTGCATCTGTACTGAACATGTGCAGATTTTTTCTTGTCATTATTTCCTAAGCAATACAGTAGAACAACTTTTTACATAGCATTTACATTGTATTTGATTCTACAAGTAACCTAGAGATGATTTCAAGTACACGGAAGGATGTGTGTAGGTTATAGGGAAATACTACACTATTTTACCTAAGGCGCTTGAGCTTCTGTGGAGTTTGGTACCCACGGGGGTTCTGGTAACCACTCCCCAGGGGTGCTGAGGGACAACCGCAGTGCTCAGAGGCTTCAGGCCAGGACACTGCTCACTCAGCCTGTCTTTCTTGATCCTCGCAAGTCATTCTTCTCTGTCTCATCAGACTTTCTAAGGGTGGGCACTTTGATCCTGTACAGAGGGGATGCAGTAATGAAAGTCTGTTGGGTTTTTGACATTGAGGGTAAGAACTCAGTAAGCACATCTTCCATAGTCTATCCTAGTATTACATATTTCACCAAAACAGCAAAAACGTTTTTAGAGCAAAATTACCCTAAAGATGAAGACTATGCGGGCATTAAAATGCCTTAGAGGCCTAAAGTTTTCTCCACTTTGAAGCTAGTCTTTATATACTGCTTGATGCCATTTATATGACCTTCTAGAAAAGGCTAAACTACAAGACTGTAGACAGGTCTGTGGCTGCCAGGGACTAGGGGTGGAGGGAGGGCTTGCCCTGAAGGAAGCAGAGCAGGGGGAGTTTTTTGGGGTGATGGGGCTGTTCCATATCCCAATTTGTGGTGATGGTTACAAAAGTCTATCCAGGTCTTAAAGCTCATAGAATTGCACAACAAAAACTAGCTATACATATTTTTAAAAAGAAAAAGTTAAATTGTATATGTTATATAAAGATACGCTTTTAAATTGAAATCAGGAAGACATTTAAAATGAGAGGCCGATGAATAGCACAGGATCGTCCACTAGAGGCAGGCTTTGTGCATGCTTTCTGAGCTGAGTAATCGTAGCGACTGGCTGCAAAGCAGGTTTAAATATTTATAACAATAAAGCCCTCCTTAGTATGAAAGTCTCTGGGAAATATTTCAACAGAACAGACCTCTTACATGCACAGCTTAACAGAAGTGCATTTAAGAAGGTAAAATCCTGGAAGCTGCAGCTGCTCATTGCCAGGATGGGCGTCCCGAGCGACGTGGCAAACACTCCTTTCACATAAACACTCACAGCCTGGGAGCGGCCCTGAAACCGCATGGGGGTGGGGGACGGTCCATTTTGCAATGGGTCGGATATTTCTCGAGGCTCTATTGTGGATCAGCCATGTCCCAAGCCACCTTTAAGCATCTCAAAGTCCCTTGGAGTGCGGGGACTCATAGGCAGGAAATCGGAAAACCGTCAGCAGTGCTGTGGTCCCCGTGGGTGTGCACGGGTATGGGAGCCCACTCCTGTGGAGTCCAAGGCCTGCTGCTGAAGAGGCTGGAAGGGCGTGGGAGAACTGTGAGGTCAGTGGAGGAGGCAGGTGCTCCCAGCAGAGGGAACAGCGCCTGCAAAGGCCCAGAGGTGAGAGGGAAGGAGCAGGTGGGACAGCAAGGGGGTTAGGGAAGAGGTGCAGATTGGGAATGAGTTACCTGATTGGCACTGAGAAAGGTCACCCTGAAGGCAGCGTGGCCAGCACAGATTGAAGAAGTGTGGGGCGGGGAGGCTGAGGCAAAGAGGCCCTGGAGGCAGAGGTGGTTTTTTAGATAACAGGTAAGGTGGGCTGAACTGGGCAGTGGCAATGGGGAAGTGGAAGGGACATATCCCAAAGGCAGGGGGATGGCGATGCTGCCTGGGCCAGGGAGACAGAAGGTCTCTAGCCAGGGTCCTGGTAAGGAGGGGACAATGGTGTTTTTCCTAAAGTGCTGATGTTGCAGGCAGGACGTGGGGCCAACGTGGGATTAAACGGATGAGATCAGTTGCACACACTGTGTCTGAGGGCCCTCTACGTTCCCCGGAGACAGCAGCACACAGGTCTGACACCCGAGTCAGAGGTCCAGAACAGAGATGTGATGCGGGAGCCTTGTTGTTGAGGTTCATGTGTCTCAGCAGTGTGCGCACGAATCATATGCAGATCTCCTCCACGCGAGGCTTCTGACTGATCAGGGTGTGGGCTGGGTCCCGAGTCAGTGTTTCTAACAGGCTTCCTGGGGAGGCTTCTGCCACCACTCAGTGTATCGCGTTTTGGGTGGCAGCAGCCGATGCAGTAGTTGCCGTAGTAGGTTAAGTTGCCCAGGGTGAGTGCGCAAGAGAAGAGAAGATGACCTTGGGTGGGACTGGGAAATCCAATCAAGTCTGAGCACCTGAGGACCTCCTAAGTGGCCAGGAGGCAGCCAGAGGGCAGCCAGGGCCTGTGGAACCAAGGACTGAGGAAGAGGGAGGGGTGAGCGGCCTCAAATTCTGCCACAGGAGGCCTGAGGAGATTGGCACATAGACCGAATGTTTGTGTCCACCCAAAATTACACAAGAGGTGAGCCGTCACCAGAAACCGACCTGCTGGCACCTTGACCTTGTACTTCCAGCCTCCAGAACTCTGAGATACACACGTCTGTTGTTTAAGCTGCCCAGTCTGTGGTATTTTGCCATGGCAGCCCAGGCAGCCTAAAACAGGCACCAGTGAATTCCAGGGCGAGAAGACTGCTGGTAAGATGGGTGAGAGTTTTGCTGTGTGGTGGGGGCCAAGTACAGTTACCAGTGGGCTCAGGGGCAGCAGAGCCCCCATCAAGAGCAGGTGTTTGCAGAGAGGAATACCTGGAACCACAGCCCTCCATCCCTGGCACTGCAGAAACCTTGCAATCTCCCAAAGCCCGTCTCCTAATGGATAACATGGGGAAGACACTCATACCTTCCCCCGGGGGTATAACATGGGGAAGACACTCATACTGTTCCCCAGGGGCTGGGTGGCTGAGCCCTGAGCACTCATTCCACTCTGTGGGAGACACACGGAAGAGTGAGTGGGGAGGGGACAGAGAGGTGAGTGCAGCTGCTTCTTTCTTTAGTCATTTGACTGTGAAGGGAAGAACCAGAGGAGGACATGGGTATGGGTTGAGAGAGAGAGAACTTTTTTGTCTTTGCTTTATTTTGCGGTGGGAGAGATCTGAGCAACCTGAAATGCTTATGGTCCAGTGGCAGCTAAGATGAGAAGGTGAAGTGGCAGAAGCCAGGAAACCTTGACATCTGAAGCCCAGCTGAGAAGCTTAGGAAACAGGAGGAGGAGGAAGGGACCCTGTGGGAAGCAGGCGAGGTGAGGGGCTTCCTCCCTCCTCTGTCCACTCAGCTCGGCCATCTCAGCTTCCCGTTCTCTAGTTCCACTGTCCAAGGAGGAGAACCAAAGCAGCATTCTGTCCTCTTCTACAAACCCAATGGGTCAGATAAATGGAGCCCATCACAAGATTCTTGGAAACTAACTTATTTCTGTCCCTATATGTTCTTTGTTCACAGAAATGTTGTAAACAAATAATTATCCTCAGGACATGCCCGTGGCTAACCAGCACAATTCCTCATCTCCAGAAACACCCCTTCAGCTGACTTTCTGTTTCCAGGGTTTTGCCAGGATCACTACATCTGCACTCAATGAAACCTTTGATTACCAAAGCAAGCACTCAGACTGTTTCCACCAGGACGAGGAGTGCAGGTGGTGGCTGGTCCCTTTGGGAAGTAGCAGAATATGTCTTTAAATATGTATTTGCTCACAGTGAGCAGGGCACCGAGAGGGCAGCTGCCCTTGAGGAAAAGGAGGCTGTGGTAGGCACCCGGGTCTACTCCAGTTATGCCAAGGGTGGCCCAGGACAGGGGGCCTAAGGCTGCCTCTGGGTGACATGTGGGGATGCAGGGACAATAGTCAAAAATCCTGGTTTCTAGCAGCAGGAGAAGGCAGGTGGAAGGAGAATGGGGCCTTTTCGGTAACCCCGGGACATTCCGGGGATATGAGAGAGTCTGAAATGAGATGCTGCTGATGGCCGCGCACAATACACAAGCCAACCTTCCCACTCCAGGAGCGATTATTCTGCTGTCTCAGGCCAGAAGTCCCTGCACCTGCAGGGGACACTGTTGTTTTCTTTGCTGCATTAGACATGACTGCAGAGAAGATCTGCCTGTTTCAAAAGGGCCTGAAAGGCTCCAGAAGTTCTTTGTTGTCAACTCAAGTTGGATCTAATAAGCTCTCATCCCCCAGGTCAGATCATGTGGACAGGGTTGAGAATCACAGGGCACCCCAGCTCCCTGGGTCCTCCTTGCTTCTCCTCCTGTGAAACCCGTGTTCTCCTCCTTTCCCTGTTCTGAAGCTGCTGAGGTGCCAGGGCAGTCACAGTTGCATCAGGGTGTGTGGGAGGAAGTGGGGGAGGACCATGGCAGGCAGGGTTCCCTGGCCCTTCCAGGCTCTTTACTCTTCTGTCCCCTTCTTCCTGTCCCCTCTGTCTCCTTTTCCCCACACAAATCTCCTCTGCCAGTCCGTTCCATCTCTTCACGGCCCCTTCTCCCTCCACCTTCCCCAAGTGCACGATCAAACAACTAACCTCTGCCTTCTTAGCTCTTTCTCCTGCTACCCTCGCTTGTATCCGCGGCTCTTTGTCATGCTCTTTTCTGCAGAGTCCCTTATTCCTGCTCTGCAATTCAGCGGACACAGGTTTCCAGTTCCTTTGCTTCCCTAACCCCTGCCCTGGCCAACCTGGGCTCTTATATACTTAAAAAACTTCCAAGAAATGAATGCAGGGCAAGCAGAAAAAACAGTCTGGGAGCGGAGGGAACAGAGGCTGTTTCTAAATTTGGATCTGAGGTCACATTAGGAAGGTGGCCGCAATAGGCACTGGGAAGGCTTCTGTCAGCAGAAGGGACCCGTGTTAAATTTTTATGTTGACTTTTCTCTCCTTTTTGCTGCTCTTTCTTCTGCCTTCTTTTGATACCTGAGCACTTTCAGCTCCTCGCTGATGCTCGCTGCAGGTGTTTCCCATGGCGGCCTCTGTTCCTCTGCAGTGATCGCACCGGGAAGGTTCTCCCCATTCCTCTCTTCTTCACCCCGGATCCTCCTCTCCTTCCAGGCTTTCTTCTCCGTCGGCCTTCCCTGACTCAAGCCTCTTGTCCTCTCACGTCTTTGGACAACTACAGCTCACACACATTTTTGGGACCATGGGCCTCAGCTCGTGTTGAATGTCAGTTTCTGACCCTGACATCATCTACACCACATGAAGACTCACGGGGGCAGACTGACTCCCTTGGACCCCTCAGGCTCTAACGGCAGCGCTGGAGGGAGGAAAGCAGGCTGCAAGAAGCCATTATAGAGCAGGTGAGGGGCAGTCTCAGGCCACGTCTTTGTCTGTTGGAATTACTAACAAGTGAGCAACGTTCCATTCATCATTCACAAAGACGTGGATGTATCACAAGGAAGGGAGTTATGCCCGAGTGCACTGCCTCAAGACTTCTTAAGAGAGAAAAATTTGTCAATGGTCAAAGTTAAGGAGGTAGGGAGGAAATATACTAAGAGCAATGAATGTGTGTGTGTGTTAATGTGTGTGTGCATGTGTGTGTGTATAAGGGGGAGGGAGAGTATGTGTGTGTGTGTAAGGGGGAGGGAGAGTATGTGTGCATGTGTGTGTGTGTGTGTGTGTGTGTAAGGGGGAGAGAGAGGCAGATCGTCAGACATACCCACTTGATTTTGGAGTCTTACTGTTATTCACCGCTACATCCTATCCCCTCCGACGCGCGGGAAACTCAGCCTGCCCAGAAACCAAGGGTGCTGCTAATTTGGGAGATGTGGTGTCTGATTATGGGGCTCATTCCGGGCAAAGTGCTCTCTCTCTCTCTTCTGTGCTCTCTCTTTTAAAGATTTTGTTCCAGGGTGTGCACGGAGGTTAGCCTACTTTTGCCCCAAGTATCCCTAAGGTCACATGGATAACTTGCCCTCCTTACCGTGTCTCTGCCTGGCTCTTCTCCCATCAATGCACATGGGGGAGTTCCCACAGTTCAGAAACCATCCAGAGGGAATGACACGTAATTACCTGTGAGGACACAGGTACCTGCCAGTCCATCTCCCTGCTGCCCATCTGCCTCTGTTCCTCTCTGTCACTCCTGCACTTTGGGCCCCCCCATGGGGGGCAGAAGAGGACATGGCTGGCATTTGACTCATGACAACTCTAACCCTAACTCAAGGTGCAAGCTTGCCAATGGCAGGCCCTTACCTGGCTCTAAGAAAAACAATTAGTTCATTCAGGGCAGGGGGTGAGGTTAAAACTGATCATTGTAATATTTTGTAACTTAAAAAGTGGTTGATTTCACTAATTCTTATTTCTAATAAATCATTTAATCAGAGCTAGATACCTACCGAATCTCCTCATGAATTTTCGTACTTGCATATTTCTTCATTCCAAGAGTAAGAAAACATAAGATTTTTCTTTTTCTTTTCTTTTTTATTTTGAGACGGAGTTTTGCTCTTGTTGCCCAGGCGGTAGTGCAGTGGCACAATCTCAGCTCACTGCCACCTCTGCCTCCCGGGTTCAAGCGATTCTCCTGTCTCGGTCTCCTGAGTAGCTGTGATTATAGGCGCCCACCACCATGCCTGGCTAATTTTTGTATTTTTAGTAGAGATGGGGTTTCGCCATGTTGGCCAGGCTGGTCTCGAACTCCTGACCTCAGGTGATCTGCCCACCTTGGCCTCCCAAAGTGCTGGGATTACAGGCATGAGCCACTGCACCTGGCAGATTTTTCTTCTTTGTATAATTGGTTATCTCTGGCAGCCAGAAAGAATTCAGAGCCTCTTGAAGCTCTGCACGTGTTGCTCAGGTGGAGAGCTAGATTATGGAGTGATGCCTAGCCACTGTTACGCTCCTTCTACTTAAAAGAATGGCTATTTTTCCAGTTTATGATTTCTGAATTATACAGCAGATTGCAGTGCCATTGGAAGAATAACCCTGCATGTTCCTCCTCCCCTTCATCTCCCACTTTTAGTGAGAAAGTACTTACTACTTACTCCCTTTGTGCACACATATGCACACCTACCCTCACGGACAGGCACACACACTCAAGAGAAATCATACAAACCCAGACACTCTGGTGTCTGTTAAATTGGCACCACCGTCCACTAGAGRCAAGTCACTGAGAGACCCAAGGCGGCACCCAATTTGGGAACTGTTCAAGCAACTCACCACTTGSRCTCATTAATTTCTACAGATTCCAAAACTGTGGTTATGGACTTGGCCCAAAGCACAGTCACAGCTGATGCCTCACCAAAGCCTGCCAAGCCCGAATAGCCCCTGCCAAGCCCGAATAGCCCCTGCTTACTCTTGCACGCAGCCTGCCAGGACGGTACCCAAGGTTCTCTCAATGCTCAAACTTCCATCTATCATAAACTCTCAAGACTAAAGCAACCTGATACAGTGGGAAAAAGAACATTAGAAAATGAAAACCTATTGTTTGTGAAAACTACAAAATTCCCAGGCACTTGCTATGCTGTGCATGGAGAGCGTCGCCAGGCTCGGCAATGATGAGTTGCCTTACTGTGAAAAACACCAAGAGAGAAGCGGGAACACCATAAACTTTTGACAATGACATTCTGGAAAGTCTATTTGGCATCATAAAAACAATAATTTTAGTTGAGCAGAAGACAAGCAAAAGCATGTCCTAACCTGTTTCAAGAAATGGTTTTCTAATTTTAACCCTGTGCTAAAAGGGCAATGCGTGTGATATTACTGGTAATGCTATGGCTGGCATCTTAAGTTAACATGTTGTGAAATTATCTTCTCCACAGCAGTTGGAGCCCTAAATCACAAATGGAATTGGTCGTAACACACAACAATGATTAATCTGTACAGTTTGTCGTAGTTTAAAAATGCTGTAACCATCAAGTAGAGATAATGATCCACACTAAAACTCTCTATGCCTTAATTGTTGTTCAGAAGGCCTGAGTAACTGGGTCTATATTAATTGCTTTTGAGTCTCTGAAAGTAATTGCCACTAATGAGCTACGATAATGGCCAGCTACGTCGGAATTGAAGAACCAGTCCTTCCAGAAGTACTTGAGTCATTCTCCCCTCACTACATTACAATGATGGCCATTCCTAATGAAAGCAATCGAGTGTTCTCTATCTCACATCTCACTCAGCAAACCCACTCTCTCTTCATTTACATTTCTTCACTTCTTTTCTTACCAATTACAGGCATGTCACTGGTTCATGGAGAAGAGTCAGATCCCCTTGGCAAGCTGGTGGGTGGTCTTCAGAACTTATTATTACTACATTATCACTGCAGGAGGCCAAGCAACAGTGCTCTTCACAGACACCCCACACGGCTTTGGAGGACCTAATCCTTGACCTGCCCCTGGCTGTCTAAACTTCCACGGTGTTCCCTGAAACATCTGCCCTTTGATCAGCCAGCTGCTCCTGCACCAGCAGTCTCTCCTGGAGTTTGTCCCCTTCCAGCTCCCACCTGCACAGGCCTGGCTCTCAGGGGTCTCGGCTTCCTCTCTTCCATGCAGGCTCTTTCTAATCCCACCCTCCCATGTTCTAAACGCTGCAAGATGGACAGGGGGGTCCTTCCCCACGACCCTCCCCGAATCTTTCCTCCTCCTCCTCCTGTGAGTCCCTGGGATCTCTGAGGCTCTCTGTCCCCCTCCTAAAGCACCACTGAGTGTCTTCCAGGTCATCCTCCCCCAAACTACGCCTTGTTCAAACCTGTCAGCCCTTGACCCGTCCTTCATATTTTCACTTCTCCTATGAATCCCATCATCACAGGAACCTAGCTGCACTTACCTTCTGATATCCCCACTCTACCCTTCCACTGCCTTTGCACAACCACCACCTTGGACTTCTGACCCAACTCAACACTGCTAATCCATCAACACCACCATTTTCTACCTCTGGCTCCTCTTGGCTTCACTCTTCCCAGACCCGGTGTTTCTGAGGCCTGTGGCAATCACCACTCCTCTGAAAATACCTGATCTCTCTTACTTGCCAAATTCCTAGCCCCAGGGGACACCTACCAGGGTCTCCGTGCAGGTCGTGGGTGCTGAATACTCAGGGGAGATAGTGAGCAGCCTCCTCCCCCAAGAGCCTGGTATTTCCCGCGCATCCATCCACAGGGGCTGTGCCCGGCCTGCTGAGACCGCTCTTGCATTCTGTCTCCAGATCACACTCCCTCAAACTGGCCCACTCCTCCACCATCACTCTCAACAAGTGACCGTATCTCAAAATTTGGGGGGAATAATAAAATAATGCATTGAAAGGAACTCAGTGATTCTTTCACTAGGCCTAGAAACAAAGCTACCTACATTTTCAGCTATTTCCTCCCTTTCTACTACAAAAGGCATGTGTGTTTCCCTATAGGTCTGAATGTTCTAGGGGGAGAAGGCACCATGAGTTCAAAGGCCCTGAATTTGGAAGGGACTCAGGAGCACTGAGTTACACAGAAAGGTCATCGTGGTTGGGCAGAGTGTGGAGTGTGGAGTGTGGGGTCAGGTCTCGTGGCCTCGGGCCTCTGCAGGGAGTGAGCGTCCATCACTATTATGCAGCGGTGGACGCAGACGGAGATGCGCCCTGATTTACCCGTCAAAAGATCACTGTGGCCACGCTGTGCAGACCAGCGGGATGGGGGCACGGGGAAGTAGAGAGACCAATTAGAAGGTGACTCACAGCGGTGTCCCTGTGTGGGGTGATGGTAGGGGAGGTGTTTTCTGTGCTCCTCAAATCATGGACACAAACTGCCACTTATGACAACCCCTCCACTGCGGGCCGGCCTGGAATGCATGGTCTCATTAGGACTTCCCCCTGTCTGGGGATGTGTGCAAAAGCCTCTTTTTGTAGCCCTGCATGAGACAAATAAATATTTCACATGCTCTGCAAAAGCTATACACGAAAGAATCGATCCTGAAACCTCAAAACCTGTAGATCCGCTGGAATGCTGCAGGTAAGTAAAATCCTCCAATTCCCCCACTAGCCAGAACAACACACACACACACTACACACACAAACACACAGATACACACACCACACATACATACACACACCACACATACATACACACCACACACACATACACATACCACATACACACAACACACCACATACACAAACACCACATACACACACCACACACACCACACACATACACACACACCACACAAAAACACACCACACACACCACACACACACCACACACACATACACACACCACACACATACACCCGCTCACACATACACATATACCACACACAAATAAACACACCACACACACCACATACACTACGCACATACACACACCACACACACACCACACAAACACACACCACACACACACCACACACATACACCCGCYCACACACATACACACACCACACACATACACACCACACACACATACACAAACACCACACACACACTACACACACATCACACACATACACACACATCACACACACACCACACACACATACACACACCACACACACATACACACACCACACACATACACCCCCCACACACATACACACCACATACATACACATACCACATACACACCACACACACCACACAAACACCACACACACACCACACCACACACACACCACAGACACCACACACACCACACACATATACCCCCCCACACACATACACACAGACCACACACACATACACATACCACACACACACCACACACACACAAACAGCATACACACCACACGCACATCACACACATACACACAACACACCAAACACACCACACACACCACACCACACACACCACACACATACACCACCCACAAACACACACACCCCACACATATACACACACAGCACACCACACACCACACAAAAACACACATCACACACACACAACACACATACACCAAACACATACACACACGCACACCACACATATACACACACCACACACACACAACACACAAACACACACACCACACACATCACACACGTACACCCCACACACCACACAAACACATCACACACACAAACACACACCACACACACACACATATGCACCACACACATATACACACACAACACACATACACACACCACACACGTACACCCCACACACACATACACACACACCACACACATATACATATACCACACACACCACACACATACACAAACACTACACCACACACACCACACACACACACCACACACATACACCCCAAACTCACATACACTCCCACACACATACACACACACCACACACTTATACACATACCACACACACACCACACCATACACACCACACATATACACCACACCACACATACACACACCACATACACATACACACACCACACACATATACACGTACCACACACACACCACACACATACACACACACCACACATATACACACCACACATACACACACCACACACATACACACACCACATACACACACATACACAACACACACATATACACATACCACACACAAACCACACACACATACACAGCACACCACACACATACACACACATACGCCACACACACAGACCCCACACACATACACACACACCACACATACACACCACACCACACACACGCCACACACACAGACCCCACACACATACACACACACACACGCACAGCATTACCTTAACAAAGTTTGCATTTTGTTGAGAAAAGAACCATTGTTTGGGCTACATTTTTTCTATGCCTAAGCTTGTGCTTTTACATTTAGCTCCAAAACCTGAGTAAAAATAAAAATAAAAAACAAACAAGAAAATAATTGTTAGTTTTGAGCCAGTTCTGTGTCAAAACAATACAACAAAACACCCTAAAAATCTATAATTTCAAAAACAGATGGAAACCAACAGCAGCCAGTGGCCTTCCACAACAGAAACAATCTCTTTCCTCTGAGGCTGCTGGTCAGATTCACAACAGGAGGCAGCAGTCTACAAGGGACAGGAGCCCACATCAGCATTATCTTACACTGCTTACACAGGCTTAGCCTTTAAACAGTTTCCCAAGAACGTGGATATATGATTTGATTTTCACAGTATTATGAAACTGCACGCATTGTGCTAAGAGCTATGTGAAAACACACATTTCAAAAATCAGTGATGACCATTTTTGATAATCTCATGTAGTAAGAGTCACAGAGAAGTTGGCCTTATATCGGCTAAGAGTAACATGTCAGGCAAGATGCTGACAAAACAATCTGGACCATTATTTATAAATTCGGTCGCAAAGGAAAGATGGTTGGGATTGAGACACGGGAATTCATCCCGGGATAAAAGGGCTTGGAGTGATGCTGATGGGTGCAGGATGCACTTCCAGGCAGTGAAGGGGCAGCTTCTGGTCTCAGTGGGTGGTGGACAGGCTGTTCATCCACTGCCTTCTCAGAAGGAGAACGTGCTGAAGGTGAGACTCGCCTCCTGCTGCTGCAGCAGCTACTGGGCTGATGCAGAAAGGGCGGCAGGTGTGGTAGAAATGGCACACGCAGGCCCTGCTCTTCAGTTTGCCCTCTGAGGCCACTGCAGAGGGAGACAGAGAGCTCCCTGCAATTCTGATAGCAGCCCCCACACATGAGAATGTGCAAGGCCTTCGTCCAGCAGAAAACGCTTGGATCAACTGGTTCCCAGAGGTGGGCCCAGGAAAGGCTCTGTAGACAGTGCAGAAAGAACCAGTCCAAGAGCACGAGAATCAAGAAACACAATTCCCTTAGCCACTCCTGGACGAAGATTTCATCCCTTCTTGTAATGAAGAAGGGATGGCAGTAAACATCAGAACCATATTATAACAATAGCTATATTTCTTGCAACAAAGAAACTCATATACTCAGAATTGGCCAGGTGTGGTGGCTCACCCCTGTAACCCCAGCATTTTGGGAGGCCGAGGCGGGTGGATCAAATGAGGTAAGGAGTTTGAGACCAGCCTAACCAACATGGTGAAACCCTGTCTATACCAAAAATACAAAAATTAGCCAGGTGTGGTGGTGCGTGCCCATAATCCCAGCTACTTGGGAGGCTGAGGGAGGCGAATCACTTGAACCTGGGAGGTGGAGGTTGCAGTGAGCTGAGATCGTGCCACTGCACTCCAGCCTAGGTGACAGAGTGAGACTCTGTCTCAAAAAAAAAAAAAATTAGCCATGTGTGGTGGCGGGTGCCTGTAATGCTAGCTACTCAGAAGGCTGAGGTAGGAGAATCTCTTGAACCTGGGATGGGGAGGTTGCAGTGAGTCGAGATCACGCCACTGCACTCCAGCCTGGGCAACAGAGTGAGACACCACCAAAAAAAAAAAAAAAAAAAAAAAAAAGAAAAGAAAAAAAAAGAAACTCATATACTCAGAATTACCTGAATTGATTTCCAGCAGTTATAATTTAGTCCACAATATGGGTTCAATAATTTATAGCCCAATCCCTTATATTACATTTATAAAGCCTCAAGTTATTTTTTAAAATTAATTAAGATATAGATAAATAGGTAACTCGACCAGATGGGTGCATAGAAGATTCTGGGATATAGTTGGGGTTCACCTCACCAAGCAGGTTTGATCAGGATTATCCACATCAGGGTGTTCTTCAAGCTTTATATGAATTATAAATTTCACAGTCCCTTAGAGAGCAAAATGGGCTCTATCAACTCACCACGATGGCAGGAAAATAGTAGAAATTTATCAAATATGAAAACTGCTTCCAATTCCTGCCATGAAAAGCTCAGCAGCAAACCATCTTCTCTCAGGACTGAGCAGAACCCATCTCTAAGGATGGCATTTGGGCCCTGTCAACACCCATGCCCTGAGCTTGGAAGCAGACTCCTCCCCAGGTGAGCTCTCAGATGCAACTGCAGCCCGGATGTCACCTTGACCACAGTCTTCTTTATAGAAGACCCTGAGTGCAAGGATCCTGCTAACTTGAGCCCAGATTTCCGACCAGCAGAAACTGGGATGATACATGTTGTTTGTCTTAAGCTGCTATGTTTGGGGATAATTTGCTATGCAGTGGCAAGTAACTAAAACGGATTGGTTTATGTGTTTCAGTTATATGAACAGTTTATAAACAGATCAGTGTATCAACCCATTTTACTGACTGAATGACTGTGTGATTGGGATTTTAGGAAAAAAATCTTAAAATCTGACCAGATTTTGGACAGAATTTCATTTGGACCAGAATGATGTTCCACTGGCAATGATCTGACTAAGAACAATCATTTCAACTAACTCCTTTAAATATTGCAATGAAATTCCTCACAAATCTTCAGTGACTCTTTCAGAAATGATTCTTCAAGGAAGAATATTTTTCTCTTAGGTCTTTGAAATTAATATTTTTAAATGATCTAAGATATTAATACTAGGCTACTTTTTAGGCTCTCAATAATACATAGGGTTGGCATAGTTAAGATGAGCTAATTTGTGTATGTTCAAGGATGCTAGCCAAGCTATACATTTAGTAATATTAAAATAGTTTAGTAGGAAAAAGTATTAATATTTTTAAATGATCTTAGATAATGCATTTTACATTCTTTTTCCCTCTCCCCAAAGAGATTTGGAAATGTTTCATATTTGTCAAATATATCTCAATATAAAAAAGCATGGCTGCTCTAATTAGATACATTTGTTTTAAGGCAATTTTTCTTTATTAGTATAGTTAATACAGTTTTCAAATTAAAAATAAAAAATTGCTATTTCTCCAATGTCTAACTTAATTTCAAGAGAATATTCAGGAAGTGTACACTGAGAAATGTTATGAAATTTTATGTATAAAATAAAATAAAACTCATTTAGCACATGTTGTCTCTTTGGAGCAGGAATGATCTTTTGAGATAAAATAAGGTGGTGTAAATAAGCACACATTGCAAACTATAATGCTGGTGCCACATAAATACAAACACAATACTGTTTATTATTTTCAACATTCCAGATGCACTACTTATAACCTATAGGTGTCTGAGGCTTGAAAAAGTGGAAAATTGGGTTTGCTGTTTCTCAAATTTACTTGATAATTGATATTTCAAACACCTTTTTAAAGGCTACTTTTAAAGCTCTCAAAAAAACATAGGGTTGGCATAGTTAAGATGAGCTAACTTGTGTATGTTCAAGGATGCTAGCCAAGCTATACATTTAGTAATATTAGAAGAGTTTAGTAGGAAAAAGCATGCTAATTAGCATGATCCCACATTTCTAGAATAAACATGGAACGTTATTAGGATATTTCACAACTGAGGTATTTTCCTTTTATTACATATTTTGTGGATTTGATAGAATTTCAAGAACTTGGATTGTATCTTGGTATAGCGCTAAGGGGTTCGGAGAGAATATACACACACCACAAATATATTTGCTCAGTACTAAATGTACGCAGATCACCCTGTGCTGGGTCCTCTGAGGTGGGGACAGATAGGAGATAAAAAGACCTGTCCCTGTCTTTGAGTATCTGACAATATAAAAATGGACAAATTAAATTAGTCTATGCCAAACAACTGGGAAATGATATAACATTGCAATTAGTCTGAATAAATGAGAAGAAGAGATACCCAATGCATATTCTAAAAATTAAACTTAAACATCTTTCCTTCAACTCTTATTCTCAGGATGTTGCTGTACTATTTGTGTCTAAACTCCTTAATGATCTGTTTCCTCATTTCTCTTACCACCCATGCTGTGCTGGAAAGCTCTTACTCACTTCTACTTGAGCCACTGCCAAGACAGCTGATTTCATGTAGGCATCCATCAACTCCATTCCAATGAAATTGGATAGAGCCTTAAATCTGGCCCTGGGTATACATACGGAACTACTCTGTGCTCAAACACATATACCCTGGAAGTGTAGGAGAGCTGACATTCATTGGGTCGCCCTTCACCACTGAGAAACAGAAGCCCAGGGTCACCCAGGAAGATGGCTCCAAGATGCAGTGCATAAGGTTTAGTGGGTTACTCAAGCAAACATAGCTGGTGAGCATCGGAATGAGCCCTTGAACCTATGATTATTTGACTTCCAAGTCCAGTATCTTTGGGCAGGCAACAAAGAGAAGCAGAGATTGAAGAGATTATAATTATCCTGACGAAATGTGGGATAGTAGGATTTTTTTTTTTTTTTAGTGCAGTGGTAACCCAATATACCAAAATTTTATTGCAAATGAAACATATACTGAAATAAATGACAGATATCTAGTAATTGGACAGTTGGTTTACACTAAAACAATTTTATGATAGTCTTTTTAATGAAAAGTTGAGTTGGTTCATATAAACAAGTTACACTAGCTGCCTTTGAGATACACACATAAGAATATGTTGAGCATGAATCCAAATAACAAATTCTAGTTTCATTATAATTAGATTGGAATCACATGTTGTAATACCCACTTGGGAAGTACTATGTAACCAACATGAGAATATCAGGAACTTCAAGAAACTTATCTGTTTAACTAGAGTTCTCAAATGTATTTGAATATGGAACCTTTAATTGTTTTTAAAGAATACCAATGGATAATATTTTTAATTGATTATACTATTAATACAATACTAGCAATAACAATTACTGATACTAAATACTGATTAGGAAGTCCTGGTCTATTCCACTTATTCCAGAATCACAGACCTAGACTCTTCCTTTGAAATTTACCCCTCCCTTTTCTAAAATTACTTACATTTTAGTTTATCTAGTTAGGAAGATCTTCCTAATATCTAACTCCAAATTCTCATGCAGAATCCCATATGTAATCCTTTTATTACATATTTTGTGGATTTGATAGAATTTCAAGAACTTGGATTGTATCTTGGTATAGCGCTAAGGAGTTCAGAGAGAAGACACACTACTCATAACCTATAGGTTATAATTTCCCTTATAATTTTTCCTCCAGAAGAACAGAGAATACTTGCTTGAATAGTCATGTATACAGTAACTGCTCAGTGCTGAAAACTATTAAGGATTACTTATTTTATTCAACTTAAAATATCTGTTTCTATAGACTTTTTACATTTTCAATTTTATCATTTTTATAGTTCTGTAAATACACTTCAAACTTCCTAGGTTTTCCTTCAGTTGAGAAGACAAACTGAAGAGTCTTACTCCAAACACCGACAGATGCTGCCCAGTGAGAAAGGGTTATTTCAAGGTTCCTGTTTACAGCCAGTGCTCCACATGGTGAAGACTCATCTTTAGCAAAATGATCTTTATCAAAATGGTTTCTGGTTCAATGGGATCCCAGGGCACTCTTCCAAACAGAGCGCTGGGAAGCCGAAGAAAGTGGTGGAGAATTGTATCATGCACAGAACCACAGCACCACTGACTAGAGCACGCCTCTTCCGATCACACGGCTGCGGGAACCCCTCTGTCACATTCCGGAGAACAATACCTCACTTTGTTTTGAGGCTTCTGGGAACGGAATGCTCATTACCTCCATCCCACTGTCGGGGTGCTCCGATGATTAAAGATTCTCTAGGAGGATAACCTGAAATCAATTTGTCTTTCTAGGCTTTTCTCACTCAGGTGTTAGCTGTGCCTCCTGGGGCAAACCAGAACACATCCATGTAAGGCTTTCAAATATCTGCTAACATTTTTCTTTTATACAGGTGTGGAGATTGTATTTCTGGTGGTTTTCAAGGGTGATGAAGGAAGCTGAAATGGTCTATGACCCGTGAACATCACATCCAGGTGCCTGAGGCTGAAAGAGGCAAGTTTAAGGCTGTGTCTAGGTAATGCAGAGTCCCAAGCCTTTTAGAATGTCAAGTTCACCAACTGATCCCAATCAAAGAGACAAAGATGCCCCATTGTTTCAAAGAATTTGGATGGAAAAAATGAAAACCTTTATAGAATGGACATTTAAAAATAGAAAAATGGAAGACTGAAACAGAGTCCAAAAAAATCTACAGTTGGAAGAATAAAGTTGAAATCTCCAGTAATCCAGTTGTCCAATCAACTTCTAAAAGAAAGTTTAAGAATTCAGAATTGAACTTGCATCTTCATACAAACCAATACCCCAGCTTTCCCAGTGGATATAAACCAAAAAGCTTGACTGTCTCATGCCAGAAAAGATTCTCTCAAACTCACCACAGAGCCATTCTGACCTGAATTAAAATGCAGGAGTCATTACACCTCACAGAAGCACCAGGAAACTCTATTTCAAATGGTCTCAGAAATGCCAGGGAGGCAGTAGTAGACTCTATATCTTATTTGCCAGAGAGGAAAGTTCTTAAAACATACATTTCTAAAGTTGCTTATCTCTTGTAAACTGAACATCCTCTCCACTTATACAAATAAACTTCACCTTCCAACTATTTAAAATTAAAGAGCCAAAATGAAATTTGAAATACGAGCATGTCAAATGAAAAAACAAGAAGAAGAAGGAAGATCCTGGCCTAGGAAGTTTTACACTGCTACTAATACACAGTGAGATTTTACAGAAAATTCTGGTGAAATTTTATGGGAGGCTCATATATACAGGAAGTGCTAAAAATAGGCATTTAAATAGTGGAAGTGATAGCTTCAGCTCTTCACTAGAACACTACAATGACCAGGAGATAATTAACATATTATTTCAGTTTAAGGAGAACCTGGCAGTTGCTTTTTGTTCTTAGGATAAAATCTATTATTTCACTGAGAAAACAGCCAGAAAAATAATTGCACAAAAGGGCAAGATTTGTGTCTATGAAGAGACAAGTTCTTACCATCCTCCTAAGAAAAGTCTATGAAAGAGCCTCTAAAGTATGTGACTTTTTTCCCCTGCCAAGCAGATATTTATACCTTTCCTCTCTCCTAGGTGGCAGTATGATATGCAAAAGAGACTTCCAGGATGTACAAAGTATTTCTGGATTCAAAGATCACTAAGTATAGAAGAGTCAAGGAAATATACTTAATGAGATATTAGAATAAAGAAACAATTATTTTGTAGGCAGTAAAGGATAATACTCACGGGTTCCACATTGTATGAAAAAAGTGCATACTCTCTATCTGGAGATATTTCATATCTGATGGCTCTTAATGATTCCTAAAAGAAAAAATAGACAAAGAATTTTAAAGCATTACATACAACAAGTCAGAATCTTATAATAAAATTGTATCTGCTGGTGCCATTTTCAAAATTAATTAGCTATTAAAATGGCTATATCCTTTCTTTGTTAGCTGAATAATATTTAGCTAATTGATGTTTTTTCATATTTTATTTGTATTTTTTTTCAAATTTCAACAAAACATACTTATTGGACTTACTGAGACAAGCCAATATAAATAAGCATTAAAGGCTGGGTGCACTGGCTCACACCTGTAATCCCAGCACTTTGGGAGGCCGAGGTGGGTGGATCACCTGAGGTCAGGAGTTCAAGACCAGCCTGGCCAACATGGTGAAACCCCATCCCTACTAAAAAAGAAAAAAAATACAAAATTAGCTAGGTGTGGTAGTGCATGCCTGTAGACCCAGATACTTGGGAGGCTGAGGCATGAAAATCACTTGAACCTGGGAGGCAGAGGTTGCAGTTAGCCAAGATTGGGCCATTGCACTCCAGCCTGGGCAACAAGAGTGAAATTCCATCTCAGAAAAAAAAATAGAGAGAGCAAGAAAAGAAAAAGAAATAAGCGTTAAAAAGCAAACTTTTCTACAAAACTCTCAACCTCTTGATATGTTTAGAAACCTTTTTCTCACTAATTCTAAGACACATATAATAAGCAGAGTTGTTACTAGAATAGAATCACATTGCACACATTATTTTGCAACTTGCTCTTTTTCCAACATGGTCATCCCTACAAGTCAGTACATAGAAGACTAACTGTGACTTTTTCCTTCAAATTTCTTCATAGTACAAACATCATCCGACATAAATGATACCATCAACTGTGCTGTTTTCTTTTAATTGCCCCTGCCCTCTGCACTGCAAGCACATTGCTCCACAGATACCCACACCCACCCCCAGAGCCCACATTGCTGACTTGGTGGACATCACTCTATGCATGCTCAGGCAACCACATGAAATCAGAGAGAGATGACAAAGGTTAGAAATGACATCACATTGGCTGGGCGCAGTGGCTCACGCCTGTAATCCCAGCACTTTGGGAGGCCGAGGCGGGTGGATCACCTGAGGTCAGGAGTTCGAGACCAGCCTGACCAATATGGAGAAACTCCGTCTCCACTAAAATTACAAAATTAGCTGGGTATGGTGGTGCATGCCTGTAATCCCAGCTACTTAGGAGGCTGAGGCAGGAGAATCACTTGAACCTGGACGGCAGAGGTTGTGGCGGACCGAGATCGCGCCATTGCACTCCAGCCTGGGCGACAAGAGCGACACTCCATCTCCAAAAGAAAAAAAAAGTGACATCATATTATGGTCCTCTGCACCTTAGTTTTCTCATGCAACAGTACCTTAAGGAAATGACTCCAAGGACTTGGGTTCCTTTGATTGAGTAGTGATCTTTAAAGGGCTCGTAATATCACATGGTGCACACCTTGGGATATACTTTAATTTACTCACACAATTCTCAACAAAGGGAGACAATTCATTCCTGTTATTTATGGTTGCTTTGTTCTATAAAGTCATCATGAACACTAGTTCATGTGCAACTAGTGGATACTGAACCATTGCTTCTAGGAGAGACTCAACGTTAGCTTCCTTTGAACCTCTAGTCTAAACATTTTAGTCAAATGATCAATAGATAACCTTGTTTTATGTGTCTTTCTTTTTAAGGACACCTTATTGAATATATATTGTTGATTCATAAACATTGGACTCATGGCCAACAACCCATGAGTTGTGCCTAAGCAAAGCTTATCTCAAAGATGCATTTTCTCCATAAGGCGTTCACAGCCTTCTTGCCCTTAGTGATACTATACAGTACTTCAGCACTATGCCTGGGACCCACTTTCAACAGTGAGATCACCAGTGTAAGTTACAAACATGCAAAAAAATGGAGCACCAAATAGAACAACAGAAAAGGACAGTTGTTCACAGCATGAAAGTTGAAATGAGAAAGCAGAATAGTGCTTTGTTCTGCTGCAGTTGGGAATGCCAACATTGGACAACTCGAATCTTCTGCCACTATGCCTGAGAACGATGGCAAAAGTGCTGTGATTATCACCTTGGGGCTCACAGGTACACTTTATCACATGGTTGAATTTGGAAATATAGAAGCTGTGAATAATGAGGATAGATTATAAGCATTTCTAGTGAGCTCTTTCTATAAACAATGTTGTAATGAAGATCCCAATCTATGTCTTTGTTGATATATGTGTGGTTTTCACATTTTTGTATAGAATAGATATCCACGGGTGAAGTGAACAGTTTACAAATTTTAAAATTAAATAGGTATTGCCAAATTCTTTTTCAAAAATGTTTTTGGAATGTGCACTCCCACTACAGATGTATGAATGCATGTTTTCTTCCCTTCTCTGGAAGCATAAGGTGTTTTTTCTCCAATTTTGACCCTCCTGTAGATGTAAACATGCCTCATTAGTTTTTGTTTCCCTGCTTATGGATACATTTGATCCTTACTATCCACGTTTTAGACAATGTTGATTTTATCTTTAGAAAACTGTCTGTCTACTTCCCCTTGAAAATATTCTCCATGCTTCCATTTTTCTCCTCCTATTCATTCTTAAACTCCTGCCTGTCATGCTCTCACCCCCACCACTCAACCACAATTACTCTTCTCAAGGTTATCAGAGACTCACTTTGCTAAATGTCATAATTTCTCAGCTGTCCTCTTACTTGACACAGATGACCAGTCTCTCTACTCCTCGAAGCCCTGACTGTACCTGGCTTCCCGGACACTCATCACCTGCTTTTCTCCTACCTCCCTCGCTGGTTCTTTTCATGCTATTTTGTGCTTCTCCTTGTTTTCTTGAGCTCTGAATGTTGGAGTGCTCAAGGATTGATATTTGGATCTCCTCACTTCCTAGGTGGTGTTATCCAGTCTCATGGTTCTAAAAACCATGCGCAGTCTGGCTGAGGATTCCAACATTCATGTCTCCAGCCCAGACCACCTGAACCCGCACTGGACCTGACCTTGAACTTCAGGCTTGTCTGGCCAACTGCCTCCCTGACATCTGTACTTGAGTGTCAAATGGATACCTCAAGTCAATGGGAATAAGCTGAGACCCTTCTACTCCACTCCCACACCTCCAGCTCCTGTAACCTTTTTCCTCTTCTCAGATAGTGGCAACCCCATTAGCTTGGTTGTTAGGTCAAACTCTTGGCTATCTTTTCTCTTTCCCTCTGTTTTACACACCCTACATCTAGGTGGTCAGAAAATACCATTGGTTTACCTTCAAAATAGGTTTGGAACCATTTCTTCTCTTTCCCACCACCATTACCCTTGTCTAAGGTATGTGCATTCTTTCCTGAGGTACTGCAGTGGCCTTCTACCTGCTTTCCCAGGCGGCCAGGGCCATCTCTCAAATATGTAAATCACATCGCTCCCCTGGGAAACCCTCCCACAGCTTCCCATCTCACCTGTGGGAAAAGCCAAAGTCCTGACTGACCAGGCAGCCCTGCTGGACCTAGTTCCCTCTTAGCTCTCTGCATCCATCTCCCAGTATTCTCCCCTCAGTCCCATCTGCTTCACTGCAGCCACGCCAGTCTCTGTCCATCCTAAAGCAAGCCAGGCACATGCCATTCTCAAGGCCTTTGCAACTCCTCTTTCTTCTGCCTGAAATGCTCTCAACCTTTCATTTCTTTGGCTTTTATCTCAAGTCACCTTCTAAGTGAGGCCTTCCATGTCCTTCAATAGCTAATATATCTAGATATTAACTGCCTTGCCTCCGACTTTTTATACCCCTTTCTCTGATTTGTTTCTCTAGGTCTAATCATATTAATACATATTTTATATTTTTTAACCTATTTATCTTAAATATTGCCTGCTTTCTTCATTAGAGTGTAAACACCTTGAAAGGAAGATGGTTTTAATCTTTAATTTCTCTCAGCAATGTTTTGCAGTTTTCAGAATACAGATTTTGCCCATATTTTGTAAATTTATTCCCAAGGATGTACTATAATTGATGCTTTGTACATATAAAAGTACATGTATATTTTAATTTAAATATTTAATTGATTATTGCTAATATGCAAAATTCATTTGGGTATCCTGACCTTATTTTCTGTAGCATTGATACATGTAATTATTTGTTCTGGTAGATATTTTCTGTATATTTCTTAGAATTTTCTACAAAATCATATTTCCTGTGTATATAGGTATTTCCTTTCTTTTCTATCTAGACACTTTTTATTGCTTTTGGTTGCCTTATTGCACTCTAGAGAACTGCTAGTATAATGCTGAGTAGAAGTAGTGAGAGTGAACAGCCTTGCTTTTTTCCCTAATCTTGAGGAGAAAGCCTTCATTCTTCTCCATTAAGTATGATATTTATGGTATTTTTAATAGATATCTTTTATCAGGTTGAAGATATTCCTGTCTATTTCTAGTTTGCTCAGAGTTTTTATAATGAATGTATGTTTAATTTTCTCAAATGCTTTTTCTGCATTTATTGAGATGATTATGTTATTTTGCTTTTTTAGTCTTAATCTGTCAATATGGTAAATTACATTGTTTGATTTCTAATGTTAAACCAACCTTGCATGCTGGGATAAGCTATTCGACCGTGATGTATTACCCCTTTTTATATATTGTTGGACTCAATTTGCTAATATTTTGTTGAGGATTTTTGCATCTGTGTTCATGAGGGAATGTCATCTGTGGTTTTATTTTCTTTTAACTTCTTTGTTTGGTTTTTATTTCAGGGTAATACTGCCCTAAGAAATGAATTTTGGAAATATATCTTCCTCCTCTTCTATTTGTCTAATAAGTTTGTGCAGAATTGGTACTATTTCTTACATAAATGTTTGGTAGAATTGATCAAGTGAATCAATTTGGGCCTTGAGTTTTAATATGTGGGGCTTTTAAACTACGAATTCAATTTATTACACCAATATCCAGGTATTCAGGTTACTTATTTCTTAACTGGTGAACTGTAATACTTTGTGTCTTTCAAGGACTTTTCTGTTTCATTTATATTGTCCAAATTATTAATATGTTTGCTTGGTGTCTGATTTTTTTTCCATTATCTTTGCTCTTGATTGATTTTATTGATCTTTTCCAAAAAACAGCTGGTCATTTTTTCTAACATTTTTCTGTTTTCTGTGTAGTTGATTTCTGCTCCTAACTATTCTTCTGTGTACTTGGGGTTTTAAATCTTTTTTCCTAGTTTATTGAAGTGAAAGCTGAGATCTAATATGAACAGTTAAAGATATAAATTCCCCTTTAAGTATTGCTTTGTTGCATACCGTAAATTTTGATATTATTGCTTTTATTTTCATTCACTTAAAATACATTCAGTTTCTTCTTTGGCTGATTTGTTATTTAGAAATATGTTGTTCAATTTCCAATTATCAAGATACATTCCAGATATTTTTTCTGGTATTGATTTCTAGTTTGTTTCTGTTAAAGAACATACTTTGTATAATTTCCATCCTTTGCAATATATTGAGACTTGTTTAATGGCCCAGCATATAGTCTACTCTGGTGAATGTTTCACGTGCACTCAGAGGAATGTGCATTTTTCTATTGATGAGTGATGTGATGCACACATGTCAATTCGGTTGACTTGGTTAATAGTGTTTTCAAGACTTCCGTATCCTTATTAAATGTTTTTACATAGTCTATCAATTACTCAGAGAGGATTGTTGGGATCTACAACTTAAATTATGGATTTGTCTATTTCTTCTTTTGGTTCAACCAATTATTGCTTCAAATATTGTAGCTCAATGCTAGCTGCATACATCTTTAGGATTCTTAAGTCTTCTTAATAAACTTACTCCTTTATCATTATGAAATATTTCTTCTTATTTCTGGTAATATTCCTTGTTGTCTATTTTATCTAATATTAATATAGCCATTCAAGATTTTCATTGACTAGGGTTTGGATGGTATATCTCTTAAAATCCATTTCATTTTTTTTTTTTTTTTTTAAGACGGAGTCTCACTCTGTCACCCAGGCTGGAGTGCAGTGGCATGATCTCAGTTCACGGCAACCTCTGCATCCTGGGTTCAAGCGATTGTCCTGCCTCAGCCTCCCGAGCTGCTGGGATAACAGGCGCCCACCATCATACCTGGTTAACTTTTATATTTTTAGCAGAGATGTGGTTTCACAATGTTGGCCAGGTTGGTCTCGAACTCTGACCTCAGGTAATCTGCCAGTCTCAGCCTTCCAAAGTGATGGGATTACAGGCATGAGCCACCATGCCCAGCTTTAAAATTCACTTAATTTTAATCTATGTCTTTATATTAAAATTAGATAACATAGATAGCTTATAATTGGATCTTTCCTTTTAAACAAAATATAAAATCCTCCAGGAGTATTAAGGGGAGCTTGTAGGCATAATGATATAGGAAATCTGTCCTTTAAACTGTCAGTTATAGTCCACCCTATATTAGATCAGATTTATTATTGCCACTATTGTCCAAGAAAGTTCTAACATGTTCCAAAGGTTTTATGTGTTTATATTTTCACTTTCCATGTCAGTGTTTAGAGCAGGACAAAGGTTCAGACAGAAGTCTTACATGAGATTACATTCAGAGGAGCTGGACATATTTTATTATATTTAAAGGACCCTTTGAGAAAAGGAAGGATATTTTAAAGAACTAGTTAACTAATTCTACAAAAATTTCCACCCAAAACCTGGCCATATGTTGACAACATTTATCATTCCTGGCACACCTCCTTCTGTCATGTAGATGTAACTTTTCATCTGGTGTAATTTTTCTTACTCCAAAGAACTTCCCTTAAGTTTCTCATAGTATAGGTTTATGGCCAATAAATACTGTCTGATTTTCTCTGAAAATATATATCTTTATATATATATGTTTATATATGTCTATATCTTTATATATATCTTATATATATCTATATCTTTATATATATATCTATATATATTATTTTTTTTAAGAGAAAAAGGTCTCATTCTGTTGCCCAGGCTGGGGTGCAGTGGTGTGATCATAGCTGACTGCAGCCATAAACTCCTAGGCTCAAGGGATCCTTCTGCCTCAGCCTCTTGAGTAGCTGGGCCTATACAAATTCTTAATGTTTATTTTTGAGAGATATTTCTGTGGTGTGTAGAACTGTAGACTGACAGTGTTTTATGCCTCCCAGCACTTTAAATGATCTCATTCCAATGTCCTCTGGCTCGCAGCACCTCTGTTGAAGAGTCAGCTGTTTTCTTAGGTTTGTTCTTCCAAACACGTCTCGCTCCTTTGGCTGCCATTAAGATGTTCTATTTGTCACTCATCTTAAGTAACTTGATTATCATATTCTTTGTTATTATTTTCTTTATGGAGTTTATTGAGTTCTTTACCAAATTTGGAAGAAATTCAGTCATTATTTCTTCAAAAGTTTGTTTTATCTTCTTTTCTCTCTTCACTTTCTGGAACTTTAATGACAGGTATATTAGTCTACTTTATACTGTCCAACAGCTTATTGACATGCTGTTCAGGCTTTTTTTTTTTTCAAGTTTCTCTTTGTTCTTGGTTTTAAATAGTTTTCTATTGCTACTGCTTACAATTTAGGGGTTTTTTTTTTTTCTTCTGTGGTATCTAACCTGGTGATCATCTAGAGAATTTTTTTTTTTTTTAATCTCTGGAAATTTTATCTGGGTGTCTTATAATCTTTAATTTCTCTTATCATCATGTTCATGGTTTTCCTTATAGCCTTGAGCATTTGGAATACATTTATCTTAGCAGTTTTCATGTGTTTTTCTGCTAATTCCCTTATCTTTGTTATCAGGAGTTCTGTTTCTATCAACTGATATTTCTCCTCATTAGGAGTCACATTTCCCTGCTCCTTTGCATATATCATGTTTTATTTTTAAATTAACACCAGATATTTTTAATTCTCTCTTGTTGAATTTAGGACTTTTTGTTTTCCTTCAAAGAATATTGGACTTTTTATGACAGGCAATTAATTATTTGTGGATTAACCTGACTTATTCAAGGTTTTTAAAAAAGATGTTTTAAGGGTTATTCCATAGTGGCCATTAGTCATGCATCACTTAACAATATATCTGATATGTTCTGAGAAATGTACCATTGGGCGATTCTGCCATTGTGCAAACATCACAGAAAGTACCTACACGAACCTAGATGGTACAGCCTACTCCACACCTAGGCCATATGGCATAGCCTATTGCTCCAAGGCTCCAAGCCTGTACAGCATGTTACTCTACTGAAAACTGTAGAGAGTTGTAACACAGCGGTAATTTTTGTATATCTAAAAATATCTAAACATAAAAAAGATACAATAAAAATATGATATTATAATCTTAGGGGACCAATGTCCTACATCCATTGTTGACTAAGATGCCATTATGTGACACATGACTATATTTGAGTGCTAATTGAACCTCATCCTAAGAAACTACTTTCCTGGGGTCTCTGTTTAATGTCTCATGGTTAGAATAAACTTAAATAATTCCTGACAATATATGAGCTCTGGGAATACTTCATCTAACAGAGTTCTGTAATTGTTATTTCCTTGGAGTTTTATTTTGTTCTGCCTTTTGGTGTTTCATTATTCACATATAAAGGTCAATAATTAACCGAGGTCTCAAAGGGAAATCTATGTATTAGGCTGGTGCAAAAGTAACTGCGGTTTTTCAAACACCACATGTTCTTACTCATAAGTGGGAGTTCAACATTGAGAACACATGGACACAGGGAGGGGAACATCATATACTGGGGCCTGTGGGGGGGTGGAGGGGTAAAGGGAGGGATAGCATTAGGAGAAATCCCTAATGTAGGTGATGGGTTGATGGGTGCAGCAAACCACTGTGGCACGTGTATACCTACGTAACAAACCTACACATTCTGCACATGTACCCCAGAACTTAAAGTATAATAATAATAATAAAGTAATTGTGGTTTTGCCATTAAAAGGAATTACTTAAATAGATTTTGTGAGTATTCTCTAGTTTCCTCCTTTTGGGTACTCCATCTCATAAACTGTAGCCATCTTCTTTTCTTGAACTCTGACTTCTGTCTTCTTAACTTGGCAAGACTGCAGGTCTTGAATTTTTCCCCTTCGTGCTGCAGTACAGCATTCACGCAGAAAGCCCACGGGATGGCATGGTTCATTCATTTGTTTTTCTTTTCTCGGGGATCACAGCTGTGCACTGCCTGCTGTCCAATACATGAAAACTGATTTTTCTCTCCACATTTTATCCCATTTTATAGTTGTTTATGTTAGGAGGGTAATTCCAATCCTCTTATAGTCTCATGGCCAGGACCAGATGCCAAGAAGCAAATTTTAGTTTGTTTTGCCACGGTTCTATTCCCAGTGCCTAACGGTGACTGGGTTATAATAGAGATGCTCCCTAGATGTTTGCTGAAGAAATGAATGATTACATCCTCAGCTGTTACAAGAGTGGCAACAGTGGGGCTGATACGCAATAACACCAAAAGAAACCAGCAAAGAATGCAACTTTTACACTTAGAAATTAGTCCGGGTCACATTCCTTGATGGAGGGTCAATTGCTAACGATGCTGCCGGAGACAGTGAGAATTTGTTTTCTCTTTGAGAAACTCACCACTGCCATGGTTAGGTGTGATTCCAGGCATTTCTGACCACCCCAGTCTCCATTTTGGACTTGGCTGCTTGTGACCATGCCAGGTTAGGTGGCTCCACTTATCTGGTGGATAAGCTTGGATGCCCCCGATGGGTGCTACAGATGAGTTCTCCCTGAAATCAACAAACTTCCCGTCTTGGTCGAAGTTGTGATTTTTTGAAGCTGGCTTTCTCCTTGGCTAGAAAATACAATGTCTTTCTCAGAACGAGTGGCCCTGTTACAAATTCAAGGGATCCTGTAGCAGTTGTACAAATTTTGAGCTGCAGGTCTACCTTCTCACCAAGTGCCAATAGTGAATGCAAAAAAACATCTAACACATTCCTGAACGTTTGCTCTATGTATCAATTTCCCAAACAAAGCAGGCCTTGGTTTCAGGCTTGATTGAGCTAATTCTAAAATATTTTTGTTCATTTTCTATTATTTATTTGTCTTTTTGTGCTCAATTTGGAAGAATTCCTTATCAGTTGTAGATATACTCCTTTTACTTGTTACCTGGATTGTAAATATTTTCCATTGTTTGTCTACTAATTTTGCCTTTCTTAAAATTAAAATTTAAAATCATATATGGCAAATTAAATATGGCTATCTTTTATAGCTTCAGGATTTCCTATTTTGATTAAAAATTTCTCTCTTTTTATGAAACCAAATTATAGACTTTTAAAAACATTTAAGGCTTTAATCCAATTGGAACGTAATTTTGTGTATTTGTACAATGAGACTTACATTACATCTTTGTAGATGAAGAGTTAGTTATGCCAGCACTGTGTTCTAAGTGTGTCACCCTATCCCTAGTGTTTCTCATGTCAAATACTTGTTTATATTGGAAGCTTCTTTCAAATTCTCCAGTTTTTCAGCACTCTCTTTGCTACTTCTATGCAAAATTTGATAGTTTTAAGCTTGGACTGTGGATTCAGACAGACTGTGATTCATATCCTGTTTATACCATTCACTATGAGAGATGCTGAAAATTTCTCAATTTTTTATGCCTCTGTAAAGTGTAGATAATATTTGTACCTACCTCATAATTGATACACAAATTTAATAAAGTAATTACAATACCTGGTACATAATAAGTATTCAAAGCGTTAGCTATTATTGTCATTGAGTTGAATATAACGTCGTTCTTGTGTGTTTTCACTGCAGGTAAAAGAGTATACATTACTATGCATTTTGAAATGCTTCATGGCTACACAAAGGTGTTTATTCTTATATATGACAATCAAGATCATTTTGCAAAATGTTTACACTAAAGCAGTTTCAGAGTTCTAATTAGGATTGTGTTAAAGTTTGATATCAACTTTCAAATAATTAACATTTTAAATATTGTTTTCTTATTTAATATTATACAATTTTTTTAATGTTTTCAAATTTCTAACAAGATCTTATAGTTTGCTTTGTTCAATCTTCTGGAGTTCATGTCAGATTTATTTGAAGTCTTTTTATATTTTTGTTCTTATTGTGAATGGAATATTTTCTCCATTTTCACTTCAAGGTATTTATATTGGTGAAGAGAAAAGCTATTGATTTCATAATATATTTCTTGTATTTAGCCATATTAAGATATGTTCTTATTAGTTTTTTTTGACATTTGGATTTTTTTAAATTTTATTTTATTATTATTATACTTTAAGTTTTAGGGTACATGTGCGCAACATGCAGGTTTGTTACATATGTATACATGTGCCATGTTGGTGTGCTGCACCCATTAACTCGTCATTTAGCATTAGGTATATCTCCTAATGCTATCCGTCCCCCCTTCCCCCACCCCACAACAGTCGCCGGTGTGTGATGTTCCCCTTCCTGTGTCCAAGTGTTCTCATTGTTCAATTCCCACCTATGAGTGAGAACATGTGGTGTTTGGTTTTTTGTCCTTGCAATAGTTTGCTGGGAATGATGGTTTCCAGCTTCATCCATGTCCCTACAAAGGACATGAACTCATCATTTTTTATGGCTGCATAGTATTCCATGGTGTATATTAAAACTAATATATGTTAGGTTTTTCAGAAATAAAATTCTATTATGAGAAAAAAGTTGTCTTTTTTTCTTCTATTTTCTAGTTCTTATTTGAATCATTTGGTTTGGTTGCACTTTCTTCAAGAACATATTAAATATTAATGGTGATGGTGAGTATTCTTGCCTGATACCTGGCTATAATTGAAATGGTTTTATTGTTTGTCATTTAGAATGGTTTTCACTGATGGTTGGTTCTTGGTAAACAACCTTTAGCATATTTAAGCAATTATTTATTCTTACATTAGCAAGGATTTTTATTAGGAGCTGTTGATAAACTTTATCAGATCCCTTTTTCAGCACCTAGTGACTTAATCATAAGGATTTTTCTATCATTTTGTAGTTCTAATAAATTTTGTTGATTGATTTCCTGATATTTAAATGCTGTTGTAATCATTAAACCTGACTTTAGCATATTATGATTTTGGTACACAGCTGAACTCCACTTGTTAATATTTTGCTCATAACTTTTATACTTACTAGAGAGATGGGTATATACAGTATTTCACCTTTTGCATTATCTGGGGCTACCAGTTATATCAATAACACAAGTTTAAATAACATTATGCTGACTTTAAAAATATTGGTCTACATGTATGATGATCCCATTTATATAAAATTCTAGGCATGTTTCTGAGGAGATACATATCTAACTAAAGGATTGGTTTGTTTTTCCTGTAGTAGATAAATACATATGTGATAATAAATGCAGAGAAGAAAAGGTGGTTGTTAGGGAAAAAAGAGATATAAAATGATAGAATGCCCCCAATTTGTCAAGTAATGGAAGGGAAATGAATGGTAGAAAGCATAAATATACCCAGAGGCTTTTTTGAATACAACCTCCTCATGAAACTCATAATGAAAAAAAACCCTAAATATACAAGATGAGTAATGATCAACAAAAGACAAATACTGAAAAGATTGTTACAGGAGGATGCTATGTGCAACTCTGTGGGTGCACACATCAAATTTAACATAAATAGATGATTGTATTCTCCCTTCCTGGTCAATGAGAAAGACAGAACCCTTGGGCCTGGCGATAATGTTAATGATAGTGGCCACAGCCTGCCTCTGGGCCCTGAATTCACCTAAGAATAATTTAATTTTGAATCAGACAGACTCGGGTGCTGCTCCCAGCACTGCATTTACTGAGTCAGAGAAAACCTGAAAACATAGATGCTATAGAGCAGAGTGGAAAGATGATTAAATAGCCACATCGAAAAAGCGTCCAGATGGTTTACAGCTCGGTTCTCTCTAACCTTGAAACAGATCGTTCCCCAGGACTCAGCTGTGTCAGCACTTTTTTTTTTTTTTTTTTTTTTGGCATTAGGCTAAACTGACTCAATGTTTTGCATCTCTAGTCTTCATTTTAGGGCAAATGTAGTGGCCTCCAGGAGTAACCACGTGATATGTAATGATGGACTCACAGATATGAACACAGTGTTTGAAGCGGTGGCTTCCTTCTCAGTAATGGAATGGCGGCCTCAGCCCTATCTTATAACTGCAGCGACCAAGGCTACAGCTGGATTATGTATGCAGTCTAGAAATAATTTAGTTTGGAACTAGACAAAGCTGACTTCAGCTCTCAGGACTATCAGCTATCAGCTGTGTGACTTAGTAAAAGGTTTTTTAACCTCTTTTTTCTGAGTTTTAAAATAATAATAAAGTACTGAAGCTCACAGAGTTCCTAAGGATTTTGGTTAAGTAAGATAATGAACGTAGAGTGTTTAGGATTCTTTAGTCACACCGTAAGCACTCAAAATATCAACTATTAGTTAATGAACTCTGCATATACCTTGCAGTAGCTTATTCCTCAAAGTGGCTTTGGTTTTCTACTTCACAATCTGTTTCTCTCCCCATTTCAGTTTCTGAATTTGACATCTCTCCACCCATGAGCAAGTCTCGAAAAACCCCAGACAACATAGACTATTGTTTAATCCCATCTGCCTGTACACAAAGTGAAGCCAAGTGTTATCAATTCTACTCCTGTGATGTAACTTAAACCAACTTCTCCTGTGTCTTCAAAGCCACTGCCTTAATTTAAGACCTCCATCACATTCACCTGGACTTGAAGCAGCCACTGTCGATGTTTTGTTTATAATCTTTACCTTCTACAAACCCCTTTCTTATTGGTTACAGTTATTTTCCTAAAGCACGGTGGCTTTAAATTCTAACCAGCTCAAAAATTCTAACCCACCTGGGGGAAGGTCTTGTGATGCATGGTGACATCTTGTCCCTGAGTAAAGTATCTTACCTTGAGTTCCTCAAATTGTTGATGTGGCTGATTATTTGTATGACTTACTGACATTGAAAAAATGCTGATCTGTTTCTGAATCAAGAAGTTTTACTAATTTTCTTGCATACAGACATTTCAGCCTGTATGTTGCAATCCGTAGCCAATGATTATAAGCCCTGTATCATACCCTCCAATGAAAAGGACAACTCAGATATGAGGAGTCCCCTCCCTTCTCTTAAGCTTTCTTATAAAAGCCTTCCAACTTGTTAAAGACTCTAGAACACTCCTGACTTTGTTGATGTGTCTTCCTGGGCTGATCCTCACATTTGGCTTCCAATACACCTTTTATCACGTTATTTCAGCCTTAATTTCTGTCAACATTATGGTGTAGCCAGTAGGCTTTGGAGTGACCTCCATGGACCATCCAGCACAGCTTCCAGCCTTCATGCAGATCCTGGCAACAAACCCATTGTGAGCTTGGACGCCCCTGCTGGGTGGTACAGATGAGTTCTTCCTGAAATCAACAAACTTCCCGTCTTGGTCAAAGTTGTGATTTTTTTGAAGCTGGCTTTCTCCTTGGCTAGAAAATACAATGTCTTTCTCAGAACGAGTATCCCTCTTACCAATCCAAGGTAAGGGTTTTTGTTTGAATTTTAGGGCAAGGTAAAGTAGCTCTGTGAATTTTTCCCTGGAGGTTTGGGGCGAAAGCACTTTTCCTTAGTGATGGCATGAGGGGCACTTTTGCTCCACTACATAGCTGGTCTCACTCAAAACAATCACGATGGAAAGCAGGTCTTCTGAGACTGACAGTGCACTGCCTCTAATCAACACCAGCTGGTTTTATGCACAATACTTTTGGTCCTTTTACCTGCAAGTGCTTAGATAAGTGGATCCACCTAACTTGGCATGGTCATAAGCAGCAACACCCAAAATGGGGACCCTTTGAAATGCCTAAAATGATTTACTTGGGCACACAATTGGAAAAAGCTGGATTTAGAATTAGACAAATTGAATGGAAGACTTACTTCCAATAGCACCTAGAAGCTTCCATAAAAAATTTTGAAAGAAAAAATTGCCTCCATTCAAGAGGTAAACAAAAGGATATTCGCAACTATCTCTGCCGTGAAAAAGACTTCAGAGACTTTGTCCCTTTCACCTCCAACTGCTCCTCATTCCTCATCCTTCTCTGCTTGTTCCCTCAGCTCCCATACATTTCTTAGGCAGAGATTTTTGGAATTTCACAATGCACACATTTCCTTCTCTCTCAAAAGAGGGAAATGTATGAATTTGGAACAAAAGGAGCAAATGAAAGGACTACAGCATGAGAATGAAATTACTGAGATGATAAAAATACAGATCCAACAAGTTTTTTTCTAAACTGAAACTAATGAATGATACCAATTGATTTATTGTAAGCTTTGCCAGACCATTTATGATCCCGATCTTCCACTGGCATTGGTAAAATAGATTCAGCCACTCGTATTAAAATGAAATGCTTAATTGAACAATTAATAATCTAAAAGAAAAAGATAAATGTTTAGAAAAGTTAGGCCCTCAGGTCTAATAAGTCAGAATCTTGAGCTCAGAGCAATCATCTATCTGTGTCTAGCACAAAAATTTTGCTTTTTCTGCTACAAAGGCTGAAAGGAAAAAGTGCCACCTCCCCCAAAAAAGAGAGAAACTGCTAAAAATTTTTCCCCACCTGCATTTGCTAATCAAACAAGATCAGCAAACAAAAGATAGATTTGTTACTATTTCAAGACTACTTGGAGATTTTGTCTTTGTTATGCAATTTGGTCAGTTTTCAGGTAAAATGTAAACATTGAAAATTGAACTCATTTGAAACTTATAAAAAATGGTAAAAGAAGTTTGTAAAAATCAAACTTACATGGAAACTGCTTTACCCAAACTTTTGGTCTGTAGCTTTCATTAGATTACCCATAGGGGCAAAAAAAGTTTAGCCATATGAATAGGTCCCAATTTTGTCAGAAATATAACTTGGATCCAGCTGTCTTTTATAAATTGGTGAGTTTGTATGGTGAAACCCTGTCTCTACTAAAAATACAAAAAATTAGCCGGGCATGGTGGCACTCGCCTGTAATCCCAGCTATTTAGGAGGCTGAGGCCAGTGAATCGCTTGAACCTGGGAGACGGAGGTTGCAGTGAGCCGAGATCGCGCCATTGCACTCCAGCTTGGGCAACAAGAGCAAAACTTCGTCTCAAAAAAAAAAAAAAAAAAAGAACTAAAATTCTAAAATGAAAGCTGTACAATCTTTATTTGTGTTTGTGTATGTTTAGATGTGTTTACACTTACTTAGATGTATTATATGTTATGTCTACCTGGTACCAAATCAACATAAATAAATGAGCATTCATAAATTAGTAAACACAAATATTTCCCAAGTTCACATGACTTAAGTAAACCCTTAATAAACAAGCTGGTTTTTAAATTATTGATAAAATAAAAGTAGAAATGTCTTCAAGATTGTCAGCATACCCTTTTGCCTCATTATACTTGGAAGACAATTTTATATTTGTCTCTGCTAGATATTTTTAAATGTCAGGGTTTGGCACAAAGGTTATAGAACTACAAGCCCAGCCAAAACCAGAATGATTTTTGTGTAATTTTTTGAAGGGTAAGACTAATTTAATCTTGTTGGTTAAATGAAAAAAAGCTGTATCTTCTGAGTTATTAGCAAAATACCCATATATTTAACCTAAACTCCTTCCTTAAGTGAACATCTGATATTCACAGGCCATAAAAATGGTTAACAAGGAAGTAACTTGAAATAATGACTAACTTTGTCCAATATCTCAGTTTTCATGAGCAATCCAGGTAAACTGTTAAAAATAAATAAATTAGGTAAATATAAATGGGATAAACTTTTATAAATAATTGTTACATAATTTTCAATCTTAAAGTTATGTTCAATTTAAATAATACTCATTCTTTATTTCCAAATAAAATAACAATACTATAGCAAAACATATTTCTAAAAATTATAAATAAAGGAGCTATTTGTATTTTAAAACAATCAGGTAAAGTATACTTTTGTGAATAAAATTAAAACATTTACCTTTCTCTGTACCTGAATTCTCCAGAATTTGTAAACTATGCCTCCACAGTTAAGGCCAAAATAATGATCGTCCAGAGACTGGAGGTTGATTCATTATTCAGGAGATTGGCATGTAACCTCGTGTCATGATCTACCCCATGTTGCTAGCAACCTGGCCCACATGCGATGATAAGGTTTGTTCTCCCCACTCAGGGACATGACTTCTTGGGAATGAGCCTTCGCAGAGCCAAGGAAGGAAAGAAGGATGTCTACCCTTCTAACGTAAGCAGAGACTGATCATCAATGCTTCCATGGTTAGTTGTTGTTGTTTTTTTAATCAAAAGAGGGAAATAATACCCTACAGGTCACATTTGGCAAACTTCCAAATTAAGTCACCTGGGGAAGAAGTCTTGTGTGTCATCTTGTCGCTAAGTAAACAATCTTACTGTGAGCTCTTCAAATTGTTGACGTACTGATTACTGTGTGATCTACTGACATTGAAAAGGATGCTGATTTGCCTCTGAATCATGAAGTTTTACTGATTGTCTTGCACGTAGGCATTTTAGCCTGTGTGTTGCAATCTGTTGTCAGTGATTGGAACCTTTTTATTGTACCTCTTAATGATAAAGGACAACTCTGATATGAGGAGTCCCCTTCACTTCTCCTAAACTTTCTTATGAAAGCCTTCTGGCTTGTAACAGATTCTGGAACATGTCCAACTTTGTTGGTGTGTTTTCCCAGATCGATTCTCACCTGTGGCTTCCAATAAACCTTTATTACATCATTTCTGCTTCAGTAGCTTTAATTTTGGTTGACACCTTTCCATGTGCTACAGACTAAAGACTACACACAATGGAAGCTTCCTGAAGACCTCTCTCCACCTTTTCCCCAGACCTTCCAGCCACAACTTTTCAAGCCCCTCCCAAAACAACCTACTAACCGCACTGTCTACCCCTGAAATGTGGAATTATCCACCCTTTTCATTTTGCCTATTATGCCATTTCCGACTTTTCTCCCATGTTCAAGGACTGCTGAAATGTTCCTTCTGCAAGCCTCTATCTAGAGTTCCCAGCAATCCTCTTTCTTTCTCACCTTGTTCTCATTGCACATTGGATTAATACCTCCGTTGCAAAATATATTATGTTAAAACAACTACTTCTTTTATATGCAGGCTGAAAGCTACATAAGAGTAGAAATCTGTTTTTATTAATCACTGTATCCACCCACCACCATGTCTAGTCAGGGCCTTGCACAGAGAAGGCCTTCCCTGACTGTCACTTGAAGAGTATACGTGTGATGGAGGAGTGATGGTACACAGCCCTTAGCCTGCAGGGAACAGTAGCTCTGGGGCCAGAAAGATTAAACCACTACTGTACTGCTTTTCAGAATTTTTTTTTTTTTTTTTTTGAGATGGAGTCTCGCTGTCACCCAGGCTGGAGTGCAATGGCACCATCTCGGCTCACTGTACCCTCTGCCTCCTGGGTTCAAGCGATTCGTCTGCCTCAGCCTCCCGAGTAGCTGGGACTACAGGCATAGAGATGGGGTGTCACCATATTGGCCAGGCTGGTTTCAAGCTCCTAAACCTTGTGATCCGCCCACCTCAGCCTCCCAAAGTGCTGGGATTACAGGCGTGAGCCACTGCGCCCGGCCTCTTTTCAGATATTTTAAAGACATAAGTATAAATACTCATCTACTGTACTTATTTATTATTTTTATTTTACTTTGAGATGGAGTTTCTCTCTGTTGCCCAGGCTGGAGTACAGTGGCGTGTTCTCTGCTCACTGCAGCCTCCACCTCCCCGGTTCACGCAATTCTCCTGCCTCAGCCTCCTGAGTAGCTGGGATTACAGGCGCCTGCCACCACGCCACACTAATTTTTTTATTTTTAGTAGAGATGGGGTTTCACCATGTTGGCCAGGCTGGTCTTGAACTCCTGACCTCAAGTGATCTGCCCGCCTCGGCCTCCCAAAGTGCTGGGATTACACGCGTGAGCCACTGTGCTCAGCCTCATCCACTTTAAAAAGTAAAATCATGGTCTATGTGGTAAAAGTTAGAATAAAAGTAAGTAAAATATACTTGTTTTCTGTTCTATCTTGTAGTAAGAGAAGTAGAAACAGAAAAGGCAGGAGAGAGAAAAGTAGGACAAGAAAGACAAAAGAAAAAAAAAGAGAGAGAGAGACCCTCTGAGACACAGGAGAAAAATGAAATAATGACATAGGGGGACAAAGAGGATCCAGGGAATTTTACAGACAGAAATGAATACAGATAATACCAAGACAGTTTGTGCTACGATTTCTCACAATGTGCAACGTTCTTGCAGAAGACATTGAGTTCTTATGCCACCCTTTTGTTCCTGAACTAAAAGGGGTTTCAAACTCAGAGACCAGTCTGGTTAGAAGTCAGCAAATGTGGGTCACTGCAGGGCTGGTCGGCCCATGTCCTGTCTGAGGGGCCAGCTGCCTCTTAGCTCCAGCCAAATTTTGCTCTCTGTGAGCAAATGAGGATCTTGCTGCTGCCAGATCTTTGTATTTTTCAAGAGACGCCAGAAATCTGGGTTAGTTTGTAAAAACCACTCTGTGGGCCAAACAAAACATTTCAGTGGGCATCACGAGCTGCCAGTTTATGCCCTCTCAACCGTACACAAAAACACGGCTGTTTCCCCTCATGGTTTTCACTGACATGCTAAGTGAAATCCAGCCTCAGATTAGAGATGGCTCATGGGCCATTGCTGGCCCACTGAAGTTGCAGCCACCGTCCTGGTTATCAGTGGTCAGTGAACTCAGGACAACAGGAGCTGAAACCGAGGCTGAGCCCACTTCCCGGGGGCCAGCCTGTTCCTGGCTGAGATGACACCTGTCAGAACATCCTGTGCTTCCCATTCAACAGTGCACTGGGCTCTGTGCAGAACAGAAAAGAGAAAGAGGTAAGAAAGTGGGCTTCTGTTTCCTTCCAAATTTACCCTGTTTCAGGGCTGAGAGGACTAGCGCATAAAGCACTTAACAGAAATTAAATGACATAGAATAAAGTGAGAATTACTGATGCAGGGGTCAAGTATCCAGTGGAGTTTATTTGAAGAAGTAAAAAGAAAGTAGTCTCGAGTTCTAATCTCAGCCACATTCTGGAGTTCCTCTGGTAGTACAAACAGGCCTATTATTTGTTCTTCTTATTTTGGAATGGGTCTAATAATACTTGCCTATTTATGTCTCTTTCTGTGAGGAGTCAGAATTAATTAATTTTTAGAGACAGAGATAAAAATTCAAATTCTACATCTATGATTATATAAAACCAAGAAGGATACAGCTTAGAGAAAATACATTTCATTTAGATGTTAATTTAGTCATTAAAATAAGCAATTAAAACAAAGAAATTAGTAATTAAAACAAGACATAAAAATGGAGAAAGCCTGACATAAGCATAACAATAGAATACTTTTTTTTTTTTTTTTAAATAATCGACTTATTTTCTCCTTCAAGAATTTCCGGGAACTGTCTACAGCTCTTACATACTCATTGTGAGAAGGCAGTCTGCTGTTTTTTGAAAGATGAAACCAAAATTTTTAAATCCCGATTAAAATTATTGAATAAATGGCATTGAAATGGCAGTTATGGAAATCACCACACTAGAAAATAATACACAAAATCTCACCACCCAACAAGATTAAGTATTTTCATAGTTCAGTGTTCACTTTCTAGCCTTTCAATATATATAGTTGTTAGCCTAGTATATTGTATCTTTTTAAAATATATCATAAATATTTTTTGTATCGCTACATACCCTTCATAGCTATTATTTTAATGAATACATCATATTTTATCTTTTTTTAAAAAGTTATCTCATTTTCCTAGTTTCAAGTATTTTCACTATTGTATTAACAAATAATGCTGCAACTTTGTACAGAAGCATTCCCCAGAGCAAATAAAAATGCATCAATATTGTTACTGCTCCTGAAACGTATCACTAAGTTGCTTTCCAAACACCTGGCAGAATTTAAGTGATACAATGAATGACTATATAAATCTTAATGCTTCTTGTCACTGATAGCATTGTCAATAAAAAGGGCCTATACAGTATGAGTGACACAGGTCAATACAGTGACTCATTCTGAACTGGTGCGTTACATCCATAGCACTATCAGTGGAGGTTAAGCCAGAGAACTGTTCTTAGAAATTCTTAGTTTCCTCACCTCATAAAAGAAGAGTTTGAAAGACACAGTCTCTAAAGACTATTTCAGCTTTAAATATCTAAATATTAAGCACTGGTGAAACACTTCACCCTTCTGATAATTTTTGCTCTATTATGTTTTAAAAGAATTGGAGAGATGGTGTTAAATTTTTGTAAGAATTAAGTCCCCAAGAAATCTATTTAGTTCAGCAAAATGTATTAAGGCTATTTTAAGTGTATTTCTACAAGGAAGGAAGGAAGGAAGGAAGGAAGGATGGAAGGAAGGAAGGAAGGAAGGAAGGGAGGGAGGGAGGGAGGAGTGAAGGATGAAGAAAAGGAGGGAGGGAGGGAAAGGAAAAAGGAGTGTTCTACTCAGAAGATAAAAATTCATGAGGACTTTAGGAACCAGGCAACCATTGGCCAAATGTCCAAAGATCCAATTTTGGACCATGAGATATATTTGTGGTGGTTCATTTTTTAGGAAAAAAAAACAAGATACATAATAGAACAAAGGCCATTTGATAAGATGTGCTATCTTGTTGACAAGAGTCTTATAAGGAGCATGAAACGTAAAATAACATTGACATTTAAAATTGTGTTTAAAAGAGTAAAGTGTAAGGTCCCGGAATTTCTGTGACATCAAACATGTAATTCAAATAAAAGTGAGCTTAGGTTTGATTTTTTATTGATGTTTAGAGTTCTGCGAGTGCCTCTTGCTGTAATTACCAGCTCTGGATGCCTCTGCCTCACTCTGGGATGCAGGCTACATCCAGCTTCATGAGGGATGGACCTCAAAACTAAAGTGGCGTGGATTCCACTGTCTGCTACTGCTGCCTGGACCCACGCAGCCGCCCACATGCGGCAGCATCCTTGTCATGCTCCTTTGGACATCATCATCCTCTGTCTCTTCCTTCATAGAACCAACCCACTCCTCCTGCCTGAGCCCTGAGCCTGGCCCAGGCTCTTTGGTCTAGCCTAACGCTCTGGAATCCACATGTGGCATATACCCACATTCCAGCTGTTACAACTGTAATTCAGTCCTACGACACTCCTGAGGGATAAGACTGGACATTCAGAACTTGCACAACCGGCTGGGGTCCTGTTGTTCCTGAGCAGAGCACAATGCCAAGGCTGGAAGGTAGACCTGAAGCTCAAAGTCATGACCCCAGTGCTGAATGCCCCTCCACACCTGTCACTCACATGGATGTTTCTGGAAAACTGCTCAACTCTATTGTTTTGTTATTCTAGAGCGGTCATTCATAAAACACATAGCAGTGGAGCATCTACTATGTGCAGGTCATGGTGCTGAGCACTATGTGGGAGACAAAATTAAATCCCAAACAGAACCTGCTCCAGTGAGCTTAGAACTGGGCAGCAGCCTTTACAGCTGAGGAGAGCTACTTCAGAGATGATGCACTTGTGCTTTGGGGACAACTGTGCTTTTATTTGATTCATTTTCTGTAGAAATGTAGACAAGCACTTCAAAAATTCTCAAAAGAGGAAATGGATCAAGACATTTTGATAAATGTTTTCTAAAAAGCAGTTCTTAGCTACCATCAAATATGATATGCTATCAAATAATAAGGATCAGGAAATAGCCCACTATATATATATATATAAAATATATATATAAAATACATATATTTGTGTGTATATATATTTGTTTTATATATATATATAAAACAAAAGAATGCCCCCCAAATTGTGAACCATAATATAATCATCATAGAATTTTAAATGTTTACACATACAGAAACTCTTTTTTTTTTTTTTTTTTTTGAGATGGAGTCTCACTCTGTTGCCCAGGCTGGCGTGTAGTGGAACGATGTCGACTCACTGCAACCTCCAACTCTCAGGTTCAAGCGTTTCTCTTGCCTCGGCTTCCCAAGTAGGTGGGATTACAGGCATGCTCCACCATGCTCGGCTAACTTTTTAATTTTTAGTAGAGATGGGGTTTCACCACATTGGCCATGCTGGTCTCGAACTCCTGACTTCAAGTGATCCACCCGCCTTGGCCTCTCAAAGTGCTGGAATTACAGGCATGAACCACCGCACCTGGTCTGAACTCAACAATCTAAAGTGTTTGTGGTATTGTGAAATATTTCATGATTTCTACCATTTAAAAGCACAATAAAGGATGACTGAATTAGTAAATTTAGTCAAAAGAAATTGTTTGGGGGAAGGAAAGGTGAAATACATCCATGTAAATACAGAACTTAGCACAAGCTCTGAATTTGCTTAATCACCAGCTATCTTAAAAGCTTTCCTGCTGGATTGACAAAATGTTTGCAGTGATTTGCAGGCCCTTCCATCCACCTGTCCCATGTAAGAGCCAATCACAGTAAGCGCAGGAGCAAAGAAGAAGCTGGAGGCAAACAGGCTTTGGTACCTTGCAGTGACCAGCTATGAGGAGGGTCTGTTTTTATTGGCTCGGGAAAGAGAATGAGGTTATTAGAGGTCAAGGTTGTAGGGAATATTTTAAAATTCTGCTGACCACAGAATTTACCAATTCCTTTCCATTTCTCAACTTGTTTAAGGCTGTTTTATAGCCCAACTTAAAAATTACAGTTGGCCTCAGATTGCTTTTTATCATTTATACAAGCTCACAGCTTCTGGAATTCAAATGAGAAGAGAACACCTGATCAGTCACCAGGAAGGCAAGAGAACAGAATATGGAAGAGCTACTGCTCCCCATTCCCAATTCCTCCAGGCTGTGGGTGATCCTCCAACCTCCAGCCCCTGTGGAACACCAGGCTTCACCTTCTCCATACTTGCTCATGAAAACACACAGAGCATACACATATTCCATTGCTGGATCTCACAGAGTACCCAGGTTCTGGGCTGGCAGAAGAAATCAGCTTTAATTTGGAGATAGAGCAATTGAGGCATGATAATTTTAAATGACTAAGTGGCTCTGCGGAAATTAAATCCAGATTAAATTAAATTAGGATGCAGACCTCTAAATGACATTTTTTGTCTTCTTTATTTTGAGTCTGTTGACAGGAGCATTTAAATGTAGCTTTGAGAAAGGAATAATGAATCCATTAGGCTGTACATATTTGGTGCTTAATAAATGTTTATAAAATGGATGGAAAAGTGACATTTTAAGGAAAAAAGATTGCATTATATAGAATAAGCCAGCGAATTTCTGAGATGAGAACTTTTCTTTACCCATGGTGGTTTCTGAAGTCACCTTATTAAAGGCGACTTGGCTAAAATAACTTCAGTTAAAATATATGATCTGTCACAAGCTATTGATTTTAGAAAGAGAAGGCGGTTCACATTCATGTATTTCATTGCTAAGTGCTGCTGTTATGTACAACACCCAGCCTTTACTAAACTGACATCCTCACAGGAAATAATGATAACATTCCGACATTAAAATGCACTGACGCTCAGCAACAGTCTGATCATTTTATCCTCTCTATTAATATTAGAAAACCATTTCTACAACGTTAGTATTTCTAAGTGAGTTGAATCAGATTCTCTTAGGGGAGTAATTCTACCAAAGATGATTTTTTTAATGCAAAAATGCAGGCACATTCATTTGTCCTAGGTCCTACTTTGCAGAATACTATTTAATTCAATAAAGTGATCATTTTTGGAACTATGCCATCATCCAACAGCGTGAGGCCTCCCTTACGCCTGCAGTCTATGTTAGGGGCAGCATGCATTTAATACTAAATCTCAGCAAACCTTTTAATAAAAAGGTATCTTTATGCAAAAGAAAAGAAATGAAAGTATTTAAATAGCAAGTTACATGTTCTTTAGGAGGGAAAAGAAGGCAGCACAGCATTTCTGTGGATCTGGGGATGGGGTAGGGTAAAGATGAAGCCATCCTTCCTTCTCCCTGGGACACAGGCTTCTGGGACACCACCTGAATGCTCCCTCAGCCATCACTGAGCTGTGAGACTCAAAAGCTCATGCTCTAAGTCTCGCTCAGGATCCTTATCTGTAAAACCAGGGAACCGGTTAATTTTTTTTACAACCTCCTCTAATCCCGGATTATAGGATTCTAGGATTTCTGTGTTTCTGATTCATACCAGAGCCCTGTTATGATCGCTTTAACGGGATTCACAGCCTGTTTCAATTCTTGCTTTTTAACATAGCTTTAACCTTAGTTCTGTCCTTTGATTTCCCCAGTGTCTCAAACAAGAAAAGAATCAACTGCTTTGAGTTGGAGATTTATTTATTCTAATAAGAGTCTGAACATTTTGTAAACAAACAAAATGTTAATTCTCTTTAAATTGATTTTGGTGTATAACTCCAGTCAATATTTCTAATACATATCTTTAACCGTACATGAACATCAAATCTTAATGCCATTTAAATCTTTGGGGTCGAGTACAGTGGCTCAGGCCTGTAATCCCGGCACTTTGGGAGGCCAAAGCAGGAGGATTGCTTGAGTACAGGAGTTCAAGACCAGCCTGGGCAACATAGTGAGACCCTATCTCTACAAACAAAAACAAAAACAATTAGCTGGGCACGGCGGCACACGCCTGTAGTCCCAGCTACTCAGGAGGCTGAGGTGGGAGGATTGCCTGAGCTTGGGAGGTCAAGGCTGCAAATGAGCCATGATTGCACCACTTCGCTCCAGCCTGGGCAACAGAGTGAGATCCTGTCTCAAAAAATATACATATATTTGGGAAAACAAGTTTTCCCAAATCATAAAGCAGTGGCATTCATATTGACTCAGTATTTACTTTGAGGCATAAGCATCCACTTAATATAATTAGGGTAAGTACAGTCACAGTGCCTAAGTTAATACTTCCTATGCATGCGGAGACGAGCTTTTTTTAAACAGGATTGAGCAAATTCTCCTGAAGTATTCTACATGCATTATTGCAATTGTTCTGTAAATGTGTAAAAGCCTTAGGACTTTATCTTTTAATTATATATGATATGCAACACTTGTTCCCAACACCTGCAGAGAAATTTCCCAGACAATGAAAGAAACAGTGCTTTCATCTTATTGAATTAGCGTGGTTTCAATTTCACATTATCTTTGGTTGCTCAGCCTGTAGTATTACAAGTTTATTGCTTCTCCTTGGCTATGCTAAAAGTTGAAACCAAAAGTCATTTTCTGTTTTATTGACTTGCAGGAAGAAAAACTGAAATTATCCCGGTCATTAAAGAGAGTACTTACAATTTTTTTGCCTTCTATTAAGACAGTAGAAGTATTTGTTTCAACATTCCACAGTCTCACTGTTCCTTTCTGTTCTCTGTAGATGAATTCTGTATCTGTAAGAGAGGAAGTAGAAAAAAACCACATGAAACATCAAGGAACTCTCCTCAACTTTTGACGAATGCTTATGTAAAGTAAAATCACTAGTTCTGAAAAAAAGATAGGCTCCCACTCATCAAACGGCCCTTTCAATATGGTGCAATATGCCCAGCTCTTCTTAATCCAGCCTCACATGATGCTTCTCTCCTACTTTACACATTGACATAGAAAGCACAGGCGCACACACCGAAAACCTTTGGAACAGCTAGAATGTTCTTGGGCAGGACACAAAGAGCAGATTAAGAAAGCAGATACTCCAAGGAGCCAAAGACAACTGTTAGTAAAGGGACTAATTTCCTATATCCAACTTTGGAGTAAATCTGTATGCAGAATGCTTGTGGCCCATAGCCACATCCTGCAAAACATGCTTTCATCTGCTCCACGAGCTCCCCTAGGTGCTCTTGCTTGGAGGAATTAGCTCTTCGCTGCCATGAATACCTTTGAATCTATACATCTCATAGATGCTGAGTCTGGCCTCTTGTAGATGAACAACCAAGATTTCAAGCATCCCCTTAGAAAATTAGTAAAAACGCTTACTCAAAATGGTATGCATATGGACATGTACATATATATCTCCTATGAATGAAAGGGTGTATTTCTGAAAGGTAGGGTTGTATAAAAAACAACTCCCCAAAATCAATGAGATAAAAACACTCCAACAGAAAAAAATAGGCAAAATAAATACACCAATAATTTTTTTTAATTTAAAAAAATGTTTATTTCATCAAATGTATCCATCTTTAACGACATCTTAGTTTTGAACCATAATTAGAAAGATCTTTGACCCTCCAAGATGATAAAGACACTTTCCAATGTTTTCTTCTAGAATTTTTATGCCTTTTTTTTTTCTTTTTTGTATTATACTTTAAGTTCTAGGGTACATGTGCACAACATGCAGGTTTGTTACATATGTATACATGTGCCATGTTGGTGTGCTGCACCCATTAACTCATCATTTACATTAGGTATTTCTCCTAATGCTATCCCTCCCCCTGCCCCCCACCGTACAACAGGCCCTGGTGTGTGATGTTCCCCTTCCTGTGTCCAAGTGTTCTCATTGTTCAATTCCCACCTATGAGTGAGAACATGCGTACACCAAGAAATTTTATAAAACAAAAATAGTAAGTAAGCACATGAGTAGACTCTTAAAGTCATTAACACTCTGATGATGCAAATTAAAATCAGAGATAGGTACCATTTTGCAGCCACTACCTTAGAAGAGAGTAAGAAAATTTCATACAGGCAAACTACTTTCTGAAATGTAGGGTTGCAGGTTGAGAGGCAGGGCCCACAGTGGGGAGAAGGAAAACACTATCTTTCTGAGTGAAGGCAGTAACCTTGAGCCAGTTTGATGGTAAAGGCATTTCACACTATAATAGTTGATGACTGAAAAACATTATGCAGACTGGATTAATTCAAAAGCAGAGTTGTTATAATTTAAGTATGTGTAGATTTTATGAGGAAAATGAAAGTCTATCAATATAATGAAAATTTCATCATCGACATGGTCCTAGATCAATCTACTTTATGCATTATGTAAATTACATCCAAAGCTTCAGTGCTAAAGTTAACAGATGTTTAGGTGAAATTGTTTTCATTTATTTTCCTGGTAATACTTTCATGAACAAATCAAATGAGTCATATTTTTCTGTTTCTTAAGCAAACACACCAAGGTGCATCTATTGAATGAGCTATCTCACATTAAAAGAACTCACATGGAAGACTCTGCAATCATTTCAGTGAAGTTGCCCTTATATAGCAAATTTTAGAATTTTTTTTTAGAAAGCACTTAAGTTTGTTAGTTATATAAGTTGCAAAAAAGGTTACTACTTAATTTGATTGTCACCTTATCTCCCTTCGTCCATTAGCTTTTACTCTGAATGAATTTCTAAATATCAAGTTTGCCTTCAATGGATGAAGATTTACTACCTTTGACACCCCCTCACGAGTTCCAAGTTCTCTGCTTCTACCCCGCCCCCACATTACTGATCACCATGAAACATAATGATTGTTTAAGAGTATGCAGTGGGGAGCTGAACAATGAAAACACAGAGAGGGGAACGACATACACTGGGGCCTGTTGCAGGGGTCAGGAGGAGGGAGAGCATCAGGATAAATAGCTAATGCATGCAGGGCTTAATACCTAGGTGATGGGTTGATAGGTGCAGCAAACCACCATGGTACACATTTACCTATGCTACAAACCTGCACATCCTGCACATGTATCCCGGAACTTAATAAAATAAATAAATACATAAAAAAGATTATGCCGTACTACATTTGAGGTACATAAAACCTGCTTGTTTCTACGGAAACCAATGAGACCATTTCAGAATTAGAACGTATGATTACTTTTTTTTCCTCCTGAATTTTATCATTCCGGTACTTTTAACAGTTTTATCACATATTTATGTATCTTTAAATACTATGTTGTTTAGTTTTTTTTTGCATTTGACCTTAATAAGGTGATATTTACTGTGTTCCTCAGTAATTTATATTATATCATATTTCTGAGGTGAATATAATAGTCCATGCTGTCTTGGCTCTTAGTTCTCACTGATGTACACGATTCTAGTGTATATTACAATGGATACCAGTCATTCCTAGTTTTATTGTTATTACAAACCATTCTACCATGAATATTCTTCTTTACATCTTTTGGTAAAAATGTACAAGACTTTTGCTTCCTCTCCTCTTCCCTCTCCTCTCCTCTCCTCTCCCCTCCCCTCCTCTCTCCTTTCCTTTTCTTTTTCTTTCTTTCTTCCTTCCTTCTTTCCTTCCTTTCTTTTTTTATTTTTTTGACGGAGTTTCACTCTTGTTGCCCAGGCTGGAGTGTAATGGCATGATCTCGGCTCACTGCAACCTCTGCCTGCTGGGTTCAAGTGATTCTCTTGCCTCAGCCTTCCCAGTAGCTGGGATTACAAGCTTGCACCACCACGCTGATCTAATTTTTGTATTTTTAGTAGAGACGGGGTTTTGCCTGGGTTATGGGAATCTTAACCTTACAAGTTATTTTCAAAAGTGGTTATGACACTTTAACAGGCACCAATAGTGAATGAGATCTCATAACTCACATCCTCTCTAAAACTTGCTATTTTCAAACTTCTTACTATCTTCCAATACAGTGGGTGTAAAAATGGTATCTCTGATTTTATTTTGCATCATCAGAGTGTTAATCAGTTTAAAAGTCTCTTCATGTGCTTATTTACTATTCTTGTCTTATTTTATAAAATTCATTGGTTTATTTATTTTGCCCACTTTTTTCTGTTGGAATGTTTTTATCTAATTGATTTGTAAGAGATTTTTTGTACATCCCATATGAAATATTCATTAGTTTTATGTGTTGAAAGTGCATTTTCTTAGTTGTGGTTTTCGTTTTATATATAAAATATTTTGATAAGCAGAAATTATTAATATAGTAAAAATGTTTACCCTTTGTGTTTGATATGACATATATAATAAATATTTTCCCATTACATGGTCATAGTAATGTTCTCCTATATATTTTCTGAAACACTTTTGAATTTTCCTTTAAAAAATAAAGCCTTAATTCACTGGGAAATGACATGAATGTATGGTGTGAGGTAGGAATCTAATTTTGTATGTTTATATCTGCAACTATTTGTTGCAGTACAATTTGAGAAGGTCATTATTCGCTCTATAAGATGTGATGTGATCAATAATATTTCAGCAAGAATATCTGCAGTCATTGGGTCACATGGGACTTTTTTTATGTGTCCCCTGATGAGTTGACTCATTCCTGCATTGATACTACACTGTGAAATTATGTACCTTTGTAGTACATCTTGCTATCTGGAAATTTTCCCTTATGAGTTTCCTTCACGAAGGGTTTGGTGTTCCTTAGGATTTTGCTGTTTATTATATGTGTCAGATTCAGCCTTATATGCATTACATTCAGCCTGTTAAATTAGTAAAGAATTCTCCTGGGAAACTGATTGAGATTTCATTCAATTGAAAGTTCCATTTGGAGGAAACTGGACACCTTTACAACCCTGAGTCTTCCTTCTGCGTACTTGGTCTGCCTTTCCATTTATTTAGGTATTTTTCTTAGCATCTTTCCATGAGTTTTTATATTTTTCCATTGACAAAAATAACACAAAACATAACCTATCTAGAAATGAATCTAACAAGGGATGTGAAAGACCTCTATGCCCCTTTACTGTGGATCATCTATTCCATCAATAGACCCAGGTAACAAGTGCTCTGTTTTGTCATTATGTAGTTTTGCCTCTCCTAGAATTTCTTACAAATAGAATCACACATTACATAGTCTTTTGTGTTTCTCTCCTTTCACTTACCATAATGATCTTGAGATTTATCCATGTTATTCCATGTATTAATGTTTCATTCCCTTATACTACAAAGGAGTAATCTATAGGACTGACAGACCTCAATTTTTATGCATTCAAATTCATGCATTAGTGACAATTTAGATTGCTGCCAGGTTGTAGCTATTATATTGTTGGGTCATATGGTATGTTTGCACTTAACTTTATGGGAAACTGCCAAACTATTTTCCAAAGTAGCTATACCATTTTGCATTTCCACCATCAATTGTATAAGAGTCACATGCACATCATTTCTTCACTATCAGTTGGCAAAATCAGTCTATTAAACATTAGCCACTCTAGCAGGTGTGTAGTGGTATCTCACTGAGGTTTTAATTTGCATTTTGATGATACATAGTAATAATGAACATCTTCTCATGTGATTATGGGTGATTTGCAGGTTTTTTGCAAACTATCTTGAAAAATTTTGTCCACTTTTAATTTTTTTTTTTTTACAATTTATTACTGAGTCCTTTAAGCATTCTGGATATGAGTCTTTGTCTGAGATGTATTTTTTAAAATTCTTTACCAGGGTGTGGCTTTCCTTATTCTTTTCCCAATTAATTTTTTAAACACTGGGGCCTGTCAGGGGATGGGGGACTAGGGGAGGGATAGCATTAGGAAAAATACCTAATGTAGGTGATGGGTTGATGGGTGCAGCAAACCACCATGGCATGTGTATACCTATGTAACAAAACTGCACATTCTGCACATGTACCCCAGAACTTAAAGTATAATAATAAAAAAAAAAAATCTAAAGTGAATGAAATCTATTTTTTGTATTTTTCTTTTATGATTCATATTTTTAGTGTCCTGAGAAATTTTTGCCTACCTCAATGTCACAAAGATTTTATCTCATGTTTTCTTTTAGAATTCTAATAATTTTAGCTCTTTCATTTAGGGTCTACGATCAAATTTTAGTTATCTTTTAGACAGTATATGTAACAAGCAGCAACGTTCCTTTCTTTTCAGATACATAACTCGTTTGTTATTCCAGTACGTTGTTGAAAAGATTGTCTTTTTCCCACTGAATTACTTCAGCATTTTTTTTTGTCAAAAATGAATTGAAAATGTATGTGTAGATTTCTTTTTCTGGACTTTCTATCCCATTCCATTGATCTGTGTCTATTCTTATGCCAATGCCACACTGTGTTGATTACTGTAACTTTAGAGTAAGTCTTGAAATCAAGTAGTATAAGACCTCAAACTTTGTTTTACTTTTTCAAAATTGTGTTGGATAGTTTAGGTCCTTTGTATTTCAATATAAATTTTTTAATTATCTTGTTGATTTCATCAAACAAGTATTTGGGACTAGGATTGGTATTACATTGAATCTATAATTCAATCTAAGGAGAACAGCCATTTAAAAAATATTGCTTATTCCAATCCATGAACATAGTACATATCTCTAATTGTTTAGATCGTTCTTAGCTTCATTTTGGAATTTTAGTAGTTTTCATGTACAGATGTTGAATTTCTTTTTAATAATTTAATCCCAAAATTTCCCAATATTTTTTCATTGTAAATGGTATTACTGTTTAATTTCATTATTTGTTAGTTTGTAATTATAAAGTTAATTTTGTCTATTGATTTTGTGTCCTGCAACTTTACTCAATGCACTTTTTTGTTCTAGTTCACTTAAAAAATATACTTCTTAGGGTTTTAACATACACAATCATGTTATGCAAATAAGGACAGGTCTACTCCTTCCTTTCAAATCTGTGTACCTTTTATTTATTTTTTGGCTTTACTGCACTAACCAGGACCTTTATTACAATGCTAAATAAAATCAGCATTAGAACACATCTTTTCATTGTTCCCAATGTTAGGCAGAAAGCATTGAACTTTTCATCATTGAATATAACTTAGGTGTAATTTTTTTTTCATAAATGACCTTAATAAGTGAGGAAGTTCCCTTCTATTCTTAGGATGTTGAAAGATTTTATCATAAAACGCTGATTATTATAAAATGCCTTTTGTGCAGCTATTGCAATTATCTTATGAGGTTTCTCTTTTATTGTCATTAATACAGTGAGCTATGTTCATTGATTTTCAGATGTTAAACCAACTTTGCATTCCTAAGATAAACCCATTGGTCATGATATATTATCATGTTTTATATAGTATTGATTTTTTTTTTTTGAGACAGGGTCTTGCTCTGTTACCTAGGCTGAAGTGCAGTAGCATGATCATGGCTTACTGCATCCATGAACTCCTGGACCCAAGAAATCCTCCCAACTCAGCCTCCCAAGTAGCTGGGACCACAGGCACATGCCACCATGCCTGGCTAATTTTTTAAATTTCTGTAGAGATTAAGTCTCAGTTTGTTATTCAGGCTGGTTTCAGACCTCTGAGCTCAAGCAATTCTTCTGCCTCAGCCTCTCAAAGTGCTGGAATTAGAGGTGTGAGGCACCATGCCAGGCCTATTGTTGATTTTTATGTGTTAATATTTTGCCAGGCATTTTTGCCTCATGATCATGAAGGATATTGGTCTTAATTCTTTTTTTTCTTGTGATTTCTTTATCTGGTTTTAGAGTGAGAGTATTTCTGCTTCATAAAATAAGTTGGGAAGTGTTCCATTCTATTCTATTTTCTGAAAAAATTTATGTTGGGTTTTTATTATTTTTGCCTTAAATATTTGATAGAATTAATTAATGAAGCCAACTGGGCATGAAGTTTTCTTTGTGAGAAGGCTTTAAATTACAGATGCAAGTTCTTTAACCGAAATAGAGCTGCTTCAGTTTCCTATTTCTTCTTAGGTCGGTGTTGAAAATAGGAGTCATTTGATGATTTGTCCATGTCATCTAGCTTGTAAAATGTATTGGTATTGTAGGAGAGAAAAGATCTTTTCTCATTCACCATCAGGGTCTCATGGCTGAGGCACCTACAACAAAAGACACATCAACACGAGAAAAACATACACATTTATGTAACATAAGTTTTATGTGATATGGGAAACTTCAGACAGGAACATCCAAAGAAACAGGGAAACCTGTGTATTTTTATGCTTTGGTTTGATGAATGGTGGACATTTATGGAGAAGTATAATTGAAGAAAGGTGATGTGATCTAATGGTAATAAATGGGGAACTTAGCAAGGCCTGTTGGTTGACATTCTTCTTTGTGTCCCTGTGTCTTGTGAAATAAGGAAATTCCTTTCTTCTGAGTACAAGAATGACACTTCTAGAATGAAAGTCTTGTAACCTTCTTCAGAAGAAAGTCAGAGGATTCTTGCATGACCTGCTTTAGGGGAGAAGTGTGGAGGAAGGGCAGAGAGACCTTTGTTTCTGCTATTTCCTCCACTGCCAAGGTGCCATATTTTTTGGTAGTATATCCTGAACCCCATCAGTATAAATTTTGTTTTATTTTAAAAATAAATTATTTATTTAAAAATATTAATTTAAAAAATATGCATGCATTTTCTATTAATTAATAACATATTATCTTTTTAGTAAGATAACAGGTTATGCTTTAGTAGGATCGTGGCATCTGCATTTATCTCCCTACTTTATTTCCTGAATTGGTCATTTGTGTCTTCTTTTTTTCTTGACCAAACTGGATATTTACCAATTTTATTGACCTTTCAAAGAACAAGCTCTTGGCATTATCATGTGTATTATTTCTGTATTCTACTTCAGAAAGTTATTTTCTTTTCTTTGTTATTCCTTCCTTCTTTTTGCTTCACTTTTAATTTACTTCTTTTCTTCTAGCTTGTTAAGATGAAAGCCTAGGTCTTTGGTTTGATATTTTTTTTCCTTTCTAGTTAAACTATTAAAGCTAAAATTTTTCCTGTGTGTATAGCATTAGTGACGTCTCACAAATTTTGATATGCTCAATTACATTATTATTCAGTTCAAATTATTTCCAATTTTCCCTCAAATGTCTCATATGCCCAGTAGGTATTTTGAAATCTGTTAATTTCCAAATATTTAAAGTTTATCTGACCATCTTATTGTTATAGATTTTTAAAATTTAAATCCACTGGATCAAAGAATACTCTGTATATATTTCAGTCTTTTGAAACGTCATTTTTATGGATAATAATATAGTCTAACCTTTAAATATACCATATGCACATATAAGAAAACCATTTATATGGCTGGGTTTGGGTTTATCATTTGTTTGTTTGTTTTCTAAGTGTCTCCTCTGTCTTGTTTCTCTCTCATTATTTGGCTTTCATTTTATTGTTTAAATATCTTTAGAATTTTAATTTTCCTATTTTAGTTGCATTTCTTTGCATTAGCTTTTTTTGTGGTTGTCTTAGAAGTTATAATATATACCATTAAATTTTCAAAGTCCAGAAGCAGTTAATAATGTACCACTTCTTATTAACTATAGAAACCTGTTAAGCTTTCAGGTCCGTGTCCACTTCCACGCAATTATACTTGTTATGTGTATTACATCAACATAATTTACGTATTACAGAAGACAATGTTATAGTTTTAGTTTATGACACAACATGGTTTATAAAGAAATTAAAATTAAAAAGTCAAAAAGAAAAAAATGTCTTTTGCATTTATCCACAATTGGCCATTTCTGATGTGTTTTATTCTTTATCAAGATTTGAGTTTCCATTGTATATCATTTTCTTCCGTGATGAAATTCCCTTAGGATTTCTTTTTGTATGGGTCTGCTGGCAAAACACATTATTTTATATTTGTTTTATCTGAAAATGTCATTTAACCTTTATTCTTGAAGAATATTTTCTGTGAATATAGATTTCCAGTTTATAGGGTTTTTTGTTTTGTTTTTTGCCTTTCAGCATTTTGAAACTCTGTTCCACTCTCTTCTGGTCACCATGGTTTTTAATGAGAAGTCAACCATTAATTGAATTATTTCCCAGAGCGTATTATTTTTCTTTTGGTGCCTTTAAGATTTACGTGCTGCCTTTGGCTTTTGAAGCTGACTGTTATGTGCTTTTATTCTTTTGGTCTCTTTTTTCCTTCAACTTTTATTTTAAATTCTGGGGTACATGTGCAGGATGTGCAGGTTTGTTACATAGGTAAATCTGGTTTGCTGCACAGATCAACCTATCACCTAGGTATAAAGGTGGTTTGCTGCAGAGATCGACCCATCATCTAGGTATAAAGCCCAGCATCCATTAGCTATTCTTCCTGATGTTCTCCCTCCCCCAACGCCTCCCCTCAATAGGCCCCAGTGTGTGTTGTTCCCTGCAATGTGTCCATATGTTCTCACTGTTCACTTCCCACTTATAAGTGAGAACATGCGGTGTTTGGTTTTCTGTTCCTGTGTTAGTTTGCTGAGGATAATGGCTTTCAGCTCCATCCATGTCCCTGAAGAAAACATGATCTTGTTCCTTTTTGTGGCTGCATAGTATAGTATTCCATAGTGTATATGTACCATATTTTCTTGATCCAGTCTATCATTGATGGACATTAGGGTTGATTCCATGTCTTTGCTATTGCGAACAGTGCTGCAGTGAACATACATGTGTACATATCTTTATACTAGAAATATTTATATTCCTTCATGTGTATACCCAGTAATTGGACTGCAAGGTTAAATGGTATTTCTGCTTCTAGATCTTGAGGAATCGCCACACTGTCTTCCATAATGGTTGAACTAATTTACATTCCCACCAAGGTGTAAAAGTGCTACATTTTCTCTGCAACCTTGCCAACATCTGTTGTTTCTTGACTTTTTTTTTCAAGTTCTGGGATAACTGGCATGAGATGGTGTCTCATTATGGTTTTGATTTGCATTCCTCTAATGATGTGATGTGCTTTAGATTGAGCTGTTTTGTGTTTATTTTGTTTGATGTTCACTGAGCATCTTGTATTTGCCAAGGTATGTCTTTCATCACATTTTTAGCTGTTAATTTGACAAATTGTTTTTCTACTTCTTTATCCATTTTCTCTCCTAGAATTTTAATTACACATAAATTGGGCAGATGGATATCTCTTCACAGGCCTCTGACGCACTAAAAACAAATTTTCTCCCTGTTCATTTTGAATAATTTCCTTCTTTTTTTTCTTTTTCTTTTTTTTTTTCTTTTGAGACAGAGTCTCACTCTGACACCCTGGCTGAGTGCAGTGGTGTGATTTCTGCTCACTGCAGCCTCTGCCTCCCAGGTCCAAGCGATTCTCCTGCCTTAGCCTCCCATGTAGCTGGGACCACAGATATGTGCCACCACGCCCAGCTAATTTTCATATTTGTAGTAGAGACAGGGTTTCACTATGTTGGCCAGGCTGGTCTCAAACTCCTGATCTCAAGTGATCCACCTGCCTTGGCCTCCCAAAGTGCTGGGATTATAGGCATGAACCACCACTCCCAGCCTCACCTTGGATATTGATCTATCATTTAATCTTTCCTAAGTCATGGTAATTAAATTATCAAGTCTATCCAGTGAATTTTTTAATTTCAGAATTTTTATTGTTCTATTTATAAGTCCCCATTTGGTTCCTTTATGTTTTCTGCTGAGATTTTCTATTTCTCTGCTGAGATTTTCATTCATTGCAAAACAGGCTTATGTTAATTCGTTGAGGATAGTTATAATAGCTTTCAAAAAATCTTTGTCAGTTCCAGAAATCTGTTCCATTTCCAGGTCAAATGATTAGCTTTCTTTTATTTTGAGCATGTGTTCCACTTTCCTGGTTATTTGTATCTTAAGTAATTTTGGATTATATCCTAGACATTATGGATATTAATTTCTGGACATTCTGGGTTTTGATATTATCTCCCGATAAATGTGATTTCCTTTGTTCTAGCAGGCAATTTTCTTTGCTAGGCTTACACAGCCAAGTTTGTTTCTTGGGTAGCAGCTTTGTTGTTAGTGTTGTTAGTGAAGATGTTTAAGCTCTTTAGCTGACCTGCCTTGATTCCCTGCCACAGATATGATTCACAGGTCATTCAGCAATGTGGGAAGGCAGTGACTGGGGATCCCCTCTCTGGATTATTTCCTGACTTGCCCATTCTTCCTCTTGAAGCCTTCTCAAATCACCTGTCTTCTTCATTTCCAATGTTTCTGCCTTGGTTCTGATTGTCATCACCTTCACCATAGACTACTCCAGCAGCCTCCTAATGGGTCGCTCTCCTTATTTCCATTCTCTATGCAGACAAAGCCATATCTCTCTTTTAAAACTCCTTTTTATCCCTTTGGCAGAAACTATTTTAGTCAAGTTTCTTAGCCTGACATTTAAGGTCCTTCCGATTCTGGCCTTGGCCCCTCTTCCCATTTGAATGCCTATCACCCCAACAAAGCATCTGGAGCACCACCATGTCTCCCAATCCTCTGCACTCCCTCACACTGCTCCCTGCACCTGTAATGTCCTTCTCCCACTATGGCCGGGTAAGATCTTCCTGGGATCTGCATAAAGGCCAACTCCCTTGTACAGTTTTCATGCCTTTTCCAGGCAGAATTAATCTCTCTCTGCTTTCAGTCCATACTTCATTCATCCTATTTTATATTCATCACAGCATGATAGAGTTATTTGTTTGTAATAACTCTCTGTCTTCTGCACTAGAGTACATGATTCGCCAGAGAAGAGGCCACAGCTTCCTGATTTTCTATCTCTAATACCTAGCATAATGACTGGTACAAAGTTAGATGAAAAATATATGTATGAGGAATTGAGCCAATTAATACTATCATAAGTCTAAGTCACCAAATATCCACCTTACATACAAAACAATGACGAGAACCACTAGTGTAAGAGTAACTGCTCTAGAATGAGGAGGCCATGACAGAGGTGGAGTAAGGACGGAGGCGTAGGCATGGTGTTTCTTTTTTGTCAAATTATACCTTTTGTGCCTCTTTATGAGATTCAATTATCGTTATTTTATCCTTATAATTGCAAAGCAATAAGATGTTACATAGGGGAGTGTAGAGTGCATTTTAACGCTATATGGATAGGGAGATAAAGTTGAAAAGCCATGCTCAATGGGAGTTCTAAGAAACATACAATGTCAGATTCCTAGGAGAAAATTTCCAAAAGGAAAGCTTACAGCACCACCAATTGCTAGTTACTTTTCATGTGCAATATATCTAGTGCTTTGCATTTAAAATATGCCACTCATCTCATTTTCCTGTGTACCTATGCGATTCTTCAAGCTGAAAATATTACAGAAATGGAAAAAAATTGCATTGGTAGCTAGGACTAGGAAGATGATTCCTTTTTTGTTTTTTTTTTCAAACTGATATAACAATAACAAATTATTTTTTCTAACTCTCTCAACAATTAGATAAAATGCCAGTTATTTACTCATAGTATCATAGATCAGCTGATTTTATATGTTGTTTACTTTTGCTTGACAATAATGCATTTTTAAAAAGGCTTTTGAAGACCATGCGTATGTTAAAAATTTAAATAATGTTATGGCATCTTATGGTACTGTAGATTCATTAACAATTGAGCTAACAAATCTCATTACTAAGTGTAATTTATATATGCTGTTTGGTTTTGAAGAGTACATTAATCCCTGATTGTATAAATATCACAAAGAATCCCTACATAGTAATAGATTTTAATTTCTGAAACAAAGAGTATACACAATGAATGTAGTAAATTTAATTTTTCTCCTATCATCTTCTTTTAGTTTTAAATAACTAGCAATAGAAACAGTGTTCTATTATTTATTTTATTTCTATCTATAATTTACTTGTATTTATGTATGTTCTGATAACAAATAGCATACAACATACACATATCTTAAGACAGTCAACATCAATATTATGGTCATAAAATATTAATCTGTAATCTCCAGTATCCACACTGCAGTCTAGAAATACCATTTCCCACTAAATGAAACCCAGATTCTCTCTGTAAATGGCTAATTCCATGTCTGTGATAGGCAATATCTGAGCCCAAAGGTCAAAGTTTATTAGGACCATGTCAAAATGACTCAGAAGCCATCTTGGAGAGGCTCCCACTGGCCAAGAATAAAACAATTGGAGCATTGATAAAACTAATAACTGCAAAAGATTGAAGCTCATCGACTATGCATAAGTTCTTGAACTTAAAATGATACTTAAAAAACAAACAGATTTGGAGGTTTATTTACTATTCTTTCTACTTTAACATTTTCTATTAACATTTACAGTTCAAGAAGTTTTAAAAACATCATGCAGCTATAACGTAAATAAAGGTCTGTTGCACCTGTCTTTCATTTCATCCCTTTTGGGCTTCTGCAGTAATTTGTGTTTATAGAATTAATCTGATATTTCAGTTGCAGGCTATTAGTGATTGTGTTTTCACCATGTTTCTCCAATAATCACTGGGCCACAAGCTCCAATTCTGAAATTTTTCGCTGCAAAGTCAGGAGCTGGGAGCCTATGAACTCACAGCAGCCAAATGAAGGTCTTCAGTCCAGATGTAGATACACTGCCTCTCATGAAGAGTGATTTTTCCTTTGGCTCTTAAGCAATAAGGTGTGTATGGCAAGTTATAAGAAGAATCAAAAATGATTAGAAAGCTGACATTAATTCCTACTGCCAGTTTCTTTCAGGAAACATGAGTCAAATGCAAATATTTTAGTTGGACCATATTTATAATCTAGAACTGTACTGCTAATATGTAGCCTCTAGCCACATGTTTCCATTAATATTAAAATTAATTAAAATTAAATAACATTAAAAATTTAGCTCCTCATTTATACTAGACACATTTCAAGTTCTCAGTAACCACATATAGCTGGTGGGTACTGTGTTGGATGCTGTGGGTATAGAATATTTCCAATACTGTAGAAAGTTCTTTTGGACAGCACTATCTACGAGGTTATATTAAGTGATTATGTTTCATTTGGAATGTCTTAGTTTACACCACAGCCTATCTTTCACCTGGAAAAATCACCCTTCTCAGGCCATGGCTATGGAAGAGAACACCAAAGGTGGTGAGCAGACCTCCAGACCTTCCTCTTGCCAATAATGTCTTCAGTGTTAAAGATATTATCTTAAAGATAAAGAAGACAACCACTGTGGGACAAAATAGGAAATCTTTAAATAGTTAAAAACAAATTCCAGCATAACCCAAATGTCACAAGACCTTAAAAAAGAATGCAGGCTTATATTGTAGCAGGAGCCTCAGTAATCGTCATCAGAATCAATGGATTAAAAAGTAGGAGTTTGAATGCCATGGAAATGCCAAAGCCTCTTCTGGTTTTTAGGTTTTGTTAAAACTCATGATATTTTTAAAAAGTACGCAACATGATAACTACATCCTTTTCTTTGGGATTATGAGAACTGCACACAGCCCTTTAGCATATCAAGGAAATACTACACATAGAGACGGTGAGGAAATGTAAAAGAAATTATGTGCATTCTGCTTAAAGTAGATCAGTAACTCATTTGCATGAGAATATGCTTAGAAAAGGTAGGTGTTTCCAAAAAGAGAAATGATAGGTACAAGAAGCAAAACTCAAAAAAAAAAACACAACAAAACAACAAAACCAATAGACATTTTATGCATTAAAAAATATTTACAATGTACGGGATGCTCTGCTAGATATTTGGTATGGACCATGTGTTAGCCACGTTCTCTGACTTTAATGAAACTGATAATCATATGACAGTTACTGCATATTAGCTGTGGTAGCATTCCGTGTTAATCACAGCATTGTGCTCTCAGACATCATTCCAAGAAAATAAACAATTCCGTTAATGTTATTAGGAGCTAAGATTTTCTGTACAAGAGAAAAGAGACCCACATTTTTAATCATGGACATTCAGACCAGGTGCAGTGGTTCATGCCTATCATCCCAGCACTTTGGGAGGCCAAGGTAGGAGAATAGCTTGAGCCCAGGAGTTTGAGAGCCTGAAAAATTAGATGGGCAACATAGCCAGACTCCGTCTCTTCAAAAAAAATAATTTAAAAGTTAGCTGGGTATGGTGGTATTTGCCTGTAGTCCCAGATACTCAAGAGGCTGAAGTGGAAGGATTTCTTGAGCTCAGGAGTTTGAGGCTGCAATGAGCTATGATTGTGCCACCGCACTCCAGCTTGGGTAACAGAGTGAGACCCTGTCTTTAACAAACAAAAGGAAATTCAGTTAAAATTTAAAACTCTGTGATGTTGAATTTGCATCAGAAATATCAATAGGAACCAATGTTTCTTTATTGTTCAAAACTACACACTTGCTAGTTTTGTCCATGAAAACGGGCTAGAAGCATGATTATCCTAGACACCCAGATTTTTGTCTCTGAGTACCATTCTCCCCAAAATGAGCCAGGGATCCTTGAAAAAATGGATGTTTCCAGGTCTGAGGCACACAAAGTATATTATAAATCTAAAATATCTTACTGGCCAGAAAGCAAAGACCAGTGGGGGAGACAAGTGACTGATAAGGACACATCAATAAGACCATGGTAGATTGTAAATGGCTCCAATTCTTCACCCCACCCTTTTCCATCTAATTTTTCCGGGCCTTTTCTCATGACTCTAGGCTCAGACACAGGACTAGAATTGGGCAATGGAATATCAGTAAGTAGAAGCGGGCTGGTGCTTAAAAAGCTCTTACACAGTGGACTTGCTTTCTCTTGGGTTCTGCTATTGCCATGAGACAAACATGCCTGGTCTAGTGTCCTGGCCCAGGAGAAGGATCAAAGGCATGAAGAACAAACCGAGTTGCTCCAGTCATCCAAGAAGAGGCCACTCCAGATCAGCCAACATCCAGCTGGGTGTCTGGCCATGTGAGCACATCAGCCATGAGATACGTGGAGTTCCCTAACCACCACCTGCCAACAGCCAGGTTTGTGAAAAATGACTTATTCTATGTGTTCTGGAAGGTTGTTAGTTGTTTATTACACAGCACTCTGTGGCATTAGATAACTGACACAAGGACAGAATAACCCTCTGGAGGGGCTCTCCATGGTCAAAGTTAGGACAATCCAAACACCAAAAGAATAATGCTATCGGTGATGAAGACACAGTGAATACATTTTAGAAAGCACAAGTCAATAGTGATACTCACAAAACATTAAAGAAAACAAAACTATTTATTTTCCATAGCTGAACATAACTATGATATCAACTTCTTAATCTGAAAACTAATAATTAAAAACAGACAAGGATTCAGCTGCCTGCTTTGTTGGTACTTCAGGTACACCAAATAGCCTGTTTATGAAGGAGAGTTCCACCTTTCAGAAGACTGTCAACTCGTAAGTGTAGAAGAGGTGATTAATTCAGAACATCACCGCTTTGTAGCCCCTGTCGTAAAACTTGGTGCAGGTAAGGATCAATGATGGATGCTAACCTCATTTGGAGAAAAGTTAATGGGATATTATCCCACAGAAAATACGCCATTCTCAATGGGAAAAACATGTTTATAATAGAGAAATTTGGTGGTCACCTCTTTTGCCCATTAATCTCCCCTTCGAATCACCAATCATGGGACAAGTAGACATTATAGATAAACCTGTGAAACCACCTCACAAGAAAGCAATCAGTCAAGTGCGGAATGCAGGAGGGCCTACAATACAACTGGCCTAATCCAGGTGTATTGTGAAATAGCATATATCACAGAAAAAAGAGGAGCCATTCTACCATTAAGAGAAATGTAAAAGACATAATCAAGTACAATTATGATTTTTAATTTGATCCAGGCTTAAAGAAAACAAAAGCTACAGAAAATATTTTGAGACTGAATAAGGGAATTTGAATATGGCCTGGGAATGTAATGATATTTGGGGATTATGGTCGTTTTTGTCAGATACAATGATGTTCCTGTGGATGTATGGGAAGATACACTTTGGAGATGCATGTTTTAGTATTCAGGGATGAAAGAAAATGAGAGTATAATTTATGTTTACATATTTTCAGCAAAAAAAGAACTGATGGAGGACACAAAAATGGCCAAGGCATTGAAATTAATTGGCATTTGTACTGGTAATATAGGTGTTCACTGAAATATGTTTTCTACTTTTCTGTAGAGTACAGTATAGGGTAAGACTCCGTCTCAAAAAAAAGAAAAGAACGAGTTAGAAAGACCACAGTAATGTCTTCCTTCCCCCTTTCAAGAAAATATTTAAAATATTTCATAAAAAATGGAGCAGAAAATAAGACCACATAATCCCTGATTTCTAGAAACGTACAATAGGGTTGGAGCTCTTGTCCACAGTGCAGGCACCACTTGGGAATGACTCGGTCAGTGAGGAGCAGTGACTCAAAACAGCCTAGATGCTTCTCCCTGGATGATCAGGAAGGCGATCCCCGCCCCAGAGGTGGGTTTTGGGGGAACGTTGGGTGAGGGTAGAATTGAGAAAGACTAAACTGTGAGCAACTATTCTCGTGTTTAGGTAAAACAAGTACAGGAAGTGGGAGATACCGAAGGTGGGAAGCCAGAGGTGCACGTTCCCATAACACCCACTAATTGTACAGGTGAAGACAGTTCAGGGGGCTCCTGAGCAGACGCTGGGAAGCTCTACAGCGGGGCTGCAGTTTAGTACGTAGGATTAGGCCTGGAGGGAGGAGACAGAGTTCCAATTTTTTTTTCTCGTGTCTGGGTTTTCTGCTTTCTGGTTTACCTCACAAAAATTGTCAGAGGAAGGCAATGTGGGCTCCAAAGAGGTACAAAGGTTTCTTTCAAAAGAGCAAGTTTTCTAGTAATATTTCTTTCCATTCTAAATACAAACAGCATTCAGCGGCCCTGCCAGTAAGCGCTTAACCAAGGTGGTACAGCCTTGACATTTGTGAGACGTGCTCCCGAGACCTGGAGATTTCCCAGCTTCTCCAAGACCCTAAGTGAGATGTGAACATTAGAATTGCTGGCTGGTTAATGAGCTCCCTCTGGCTCAAGGGCCTCACGCAGGCCTCTTGATTCCAACTTACGCTGGCAACTTTAACATACGTGGCGGGATAACCTGACTGGGAGGTTCACTACACCTGATTTTCCTGCAGGATCTTGAGAATAAGAATGAGGCCAGGCGTGGTGGCTCACGCTTGTAATCCTAGCATTTTGGGAGGCCCAGGCGGGCGGATCATGAGATCAGGAGATTGAGATCATCCTGGCTAACGCGGTGAAACCCCGTCTCTACTAAACATACAACAACAACAACAAAAATTAGCCGGGCGTGGTGGCAGGTGCCTGTAGTCCCAGCTACCCGGGAAGCTGAAACAGGAGAGTGGCGTGAACCCGGGAGGTGGAGCTTGCAGTAGCCGAGATCGCGCCACTGCACTCCAGCCTGCGGGACAGAGCAAGACTCCGTCTCAAAGAAAAAAAAAAGAGTTAGAAAGACCACGTAATATTTTTCTTCCCCCTTTCAAGAATGCAACCAGGTACTGTATTTTGTAAGTCTGAGGTTATTAGGAGGCATTTGCTTTAGAAACCCTAAACCTTGGAAACAAAGGTGGAGAATTGTCTGGGGCTGAAATGGGTAAGCGTGTGTGGATAGACTGAGAGGAGGGTTATTACATTCTGTGGACTTCAAACTACGGTAAAATGATACCACAATATCTATTTTTACAACGTCAGTAATGACATTGATAAGTACTTTCGTACTTTCAAAAAAATAATCACAGCTTGGAAATTATTTGGGAAGTAGCTACATTTCAAAGATGACTTTAGTGGCTTTCAATTTCACTTAATTTTTAATCATAAGATCTGAGACTGCCCAATTTGCCTTTGATTAATGCATTGCCCAAATAGCTTTTAAAATCTTTTACATTTCCATTATTTTCTATTCAATTTTTATGTGCCTTAACAGAGTCCTGTTTAGACTTTTAAACAGCTTGATACACTGAAACCCCACTGAAACAACGAAGGCCCTCTTTCTGTATTTAATATTGTCAACCACCTGCTACATGGTTAAGGAAAAAAAAAAAAACAATTTATTTGTAGAATTAGGATTTGTTTTTGCAAATTATTTTTTCACTTGAACCTAACATAAAAGAAAATATAGAGTTAAGTAGGCTTTCAAATGTTGAGAGGGGTGAAGGTGAAATAAAGATCAGCAAAGAATAAAAATCCTTAAAAATTTATCCAGGAATGAATATCCTCAGAAATGTGTTATCAGCCAAGCCCTTTCCTGATAACGAACAAAAGGACTTCGCATATACACATTGTTAAGGATTCTTATGATTAGCTGTTATATAAATCTAAGATTTTTTGAAGGATCTCTAAAGGGATTATGATGATTCTATTATTTAAAAAACCTCACTTAGAGCAAATCAATAACAAGTATTACTGAAGGTGTCAAAAAAATTTAAGACTTTGAAATGGGCCGCCAGAAGATCACTGGCTATTTCTTCAGTAGAATACGAGGCATTGTCCGGTACATGCTACTTATATTAGGCATTATATGGGCACTTATATTTTGCGTTACTGATAATTTTGATGTCTGTTCCTATTGTCTCCGAGCTTTTTGTGACTCTGTAAGTTGTAGACACTGATGGAAATGTGAGGAGGTCTTACTAGACGCAAGTGAATTCTGGCTGGTGGAGATGCAATAGATTTTCCTGCCCCATCCCACTCCCATAGAAAACACTAGTTTTGCAGTAAATTCATTTCAGCATTTCCAATGGAGCCAAGCCTCCACCTTACCTTATCTATGCATCCCTGAGAAAAATCACCTCCTACTAGCAAAGACTAATGGATAGGCTGAGAGACAGAAACTTGACCAAAGATTACATCAACACAACGGTGACAAAAAGCTCCAGGCGTAAGGGACAGATTGTTGGAAAGAGCTTGGTCCAAAAATCTGGAAATTTGGCCTCTATTTTAGGCTTTGCCACAGACTGGCTATGCCAGAAGTATGCAGTGCAACCTCTAAAGCAGAGTCCTGAAAGGGATAGAGCATGATAGTCCCCTCTCCTCTTTCATATCTGCTAGCAGGAAGGCTTTTATGATGGCTGGAGCTAGAGCAGCCATTTTGTTCCTTTAGGTGATCTTGGAAGATAAAAGCAAAAGATGAAAATGGAAGATAAAAGCAAAATACAGTGTAGATTCCACCTCTGGACTTATATGTGGAAAATAAATAAATTTGAGAGACAAGTAAATTTCCATCTTTCTTAAACTAGTATTATTTTAATCTTTCTGCTGCTGAGAGCTGACTTTAATCTTAATAAAGAAATACAATCATACTCTGACTGTAACTTCTGGCTTTGGAATCAGGAGAATTTGGTTCTAATCCCATTGCAGCGTTTTTTGAGAGCAGTTACTTTACCTTGCAGTCTTTCATTTTCAGTAATAGAATACCTTATTTTTCTGAAAGGGTTACTGTGCTGATTAATTGAGATCAGCTATGTTTAGCATTTTGAAAGTAAGAAAATAAATAACATGTTTTATAAATATGAGATGCCACCTCCCCCAGCGGCACTCAGATCTCTGAAAGGGGAAAACCAACTACACCTTTTGACCACACATTCACCTATGATTTTATTTACAAAGGAAAAAACTGAATCATATTCCAGAAGAATTTTAGGTAGAATCTATGATAAAGCTTGTCTATACACAACTCTTGTCCTTCTGACTTAAAAGCAAACAAAATAATCCAAAATGCAAACAGCAGGAAGGCCAGTGTCTTATACAGAGAGAAGAAAAATCATTACATGGAACAATTCTGTCTACTCATTGGGTTGGAAAAACAGAGAAACCAATGATTAGAGGTTTCTTCACTCTCCCAGGAAAAGTAGGCAGGTCCTCTTAGAGGGAATCATCTACTCCTTCCGACTTGCCCATTTATGTCTGTGAGTGTCAAAGTGCCTGATGGCACAGTGGCTGTGGTGCACTGTTTCTTTCTGAGAAGATCTGGCATGTGTCACAAACGTGGGATGTCAAAGGCAGACGTCTCCTGGTAGCGTGTGTCTGCCTGTGTCCCTCTGCCTTAGGCAGAATGTGAGTCTGAATTTGGCTGGCTCCAGGGGGCTGTCTGTGCCACCAAGGACAGAGGGACAGAGGGACAGACTGCCTCCCAGCCTCCTCCAGCATAACATGCTGGAAGTTTACCAAGTGGCATCATTAGTATACATTCACTGTGTCTTATGACTCTGGCTCTGACTAGAGACTCTTTCCCTTCTGACTTTGACCCATAAAGACTTTGCCAGTATTATTAGAGAAAGTCTAGTCAATTAGAGAGGTAGAACCCATCATCTGAAAGCTGCAGGATAACCGGGTTATCACTCTAAGCTCCGAGTGGGTGGAGGTATCATCACACACTAGTCATTAATATATTGTAGTAAGTGGAAGTAAGAATGTCCTCGCATTTGTTTCCTGGTGAAATGAGAACCCGTGTCTGATGTAGTTCCCTAACCTGGAGTCCTAGGAAATTCCCATGCTTACTAGCTATTAACTGTGGAACCTCAGACAGGTTATATGGCTTTTCTGTGCCTTGATACTCCCATCTGAAAAAAAATGGGGATATTAATAATGTCAATTAATAACTTAAATGACATTAGAACCATATCTGGGTTCACCTATTAGGTCCTGCTAAGTATGAAGCGTCAGGACTACTAATGTTATTAGCAGAAACCAACCAGGGACAACTCCCAGACATCTGAGTAACTTAGGCCTTCCTGTGAAAATCCACAAGGCCTATGGGAATACTTTACCTGTAGGGCCTGATAAAAGTGTATCCTAGAGATCAAGTATGGCTACAGTCCTCCCATTTCACATACTTCCAATAAGACTGTGCAATTCATCATCTGGACTAGGACACTTGGCAGTGCAAGGGGCTGCTTTAATAATCACAGCAGGGCAAGTGCTGTCACCTGGGCATGGACACTGGTTTGTTCTCAAAGTCAGAGTCATTTTGCCAAAAAAATCGGCAAAACCAAATTTTTTCTATGTACCCAAAGCTTTAAAAATTCAAAATCCTGACTTAGTTTAATGGATATAAGTTTTACTTTAATGTATTTGGAACAAGTGTTTATCTAAGCTTGAATCATCAGGACTGTAAATCTGACAATTATATTCCATGCATGCCATCGACAAAGGTTCTAATTTAAGAAACAAAAAATCAACTCTCTCAAAAAAGAACAAATTGATCTGAATCATAATTTAACTAACACACAGTAAGACTCAGCTAATCTTTACGGGTTGTTCTTGTAGTCATCCACAAAAATCAATGAATGGCATATCAGGTCTTCTGCGGTACAAGACATTGTTTTTACGAGTGAAGGAGCATTCATTTTAATGGTACACATCTCAGTCAAAGGCATCGTAGCAATCTTCAGTCAGTAATGAGTTCTGTCCTGTTAGCTGATGGGAATGTTCAGCTCAATTTATAGCTATCGGTGGAGCCGGTAAAGGTCATCACTGCATCTCATTTATTAGAGCTGCCTCTCCGAATGGTGGAGGTGTAGGGTAAACGATGTTGAAAATTGTAACTTGCAGTGCGATATCTGTTTACTCCATTAGGAAATGGATTTCTTAAGTGCCCAAGTTCTGTTGGTTTCATTTTTTCTCGTTTTTGTTTTGCTTTTGCTTTCCGGACACAACACCGCTGTCATTTCCATGTGATCTCCATGAGAGCGCTGCTGTGTATTTAAAAGGCAACATATTTCTTTCCCTACTTTCAACACCACAGAATTACAAAGTAAATTTTCTTCCCTTAAACAATGTCATGATACTTTATTTATGCTAGGAACTAAACAATGTCAACTAGATCAACATTAGTAACTCTCATACAAGTACAGAAACAACTGCGTGTGAATACTCACATACACAGGCCTACCTCACTAATGCCAAAGTATCTGACTTTATGAACCATGAGTTCACCTTCCACACCCTGTCCTAGGTTTGCTTATTCAACTCCATTCATTCATTCAAGATTTTTGTCATCCTCTGTGCAGACACCGTGCTGGGTGCTCAACTCTCACCCTGTGGAGAAGCTCATCTGTAGGATCTTCTCCTTCTCCAAGCAGAATCGCTGGACACACCTGCCCCAGACTCAAGGAAAATGCTGCAATGAGTGTTACAACTGGGATCTGATTTTGTTCCTTTCCCTTGAATGGAATCACACTATTATTCCAACCTAGAACACCAAATAAATACTGACTGTGGGGGTGCCTCCTACATGTCCAGTCCTGCCAGGGGAGCTACAGAGGCAAGTGATGACCTTGGTCCACACTCAGCACTTTCTTCACCATCTCCCAGCCCTTGGATCATGTTTTTCCTTCCCCATGTGTCATTCTGCTTTCATGGGAGGGACTGTGTCATGCTACATTTTGGTGTGCTTTCATATAGCAAACACATAATGAGGATTTCAAAATAAAAAAAGATAACAGAAAAGACTGGAAGCCTGGGAGTGAAATCAGAAAATTCGAGATGGCATTCAGCTGCTGTGTGCTATTCTGGTGCCTTGGTCCGTGTTGCCAAGGCAAAACACACACAAGTGCTAGAATAAACTACCCCACAGAGACATCCAAGCCCTGAGTCCTTTCAGTGAGGCCATTGATCACTGTTCAGAAAGAAGAGCAGATTTTGTAAGTTTGACCATTTGATTTCTGCTTATGCTTCTATTCCACGTAATTGAACCATAAGCAAATAAATATTTTCATTTTATTATTTTTGAAATTCATGCACCTTACATTTCTCATCCCAGTCCTGAGTCTTATGTCCTCACTCCATGTGTTAAATCAGAGGATAGAGTCCTACTCAAGTGAATAAATATTATAATTGTGCTTCCCAGATAGATTTGCCTGGTTGTTTTCCTCTTTCGTAGGAATCAGCCATGGTGTGTATAATATATGTCTTTCATGATTATACGTCACATTTTCTTGAGTCAGTGCATGTGAGAAATTTCTCCTGGGAGACTGCAGATGCCTCCCCTGGGGCTCAGCTCTCATTCTCCTTTCAGTAGCACGGTTCCTCAGCGCCTTCCTGCGTGGCTAAGCATGGTCTCCTGACATTCCCAGTCCTTTGCGCTCCCTGCATCTTGGAATGCTGCACCTCTCTTTTTATGTTTCTGTCTGGACCAAAAAAAAAAAAAGCAGAGTTCGGAGTAGGTATTGAGGAAGTCCTTCTGGTCATCTGGGAAAGCAGGAAAACACCCTTCCAGGAAGTCAGGCTATGGAGCAGTTTTGTGAAGTTACATTAAACAGAGCTGGTGCCGCAAGAGTCTGGCCCCAGGAAAGACCTTGAAGACTCTGTCAAGTTCACTGGACTATCCCCAGACCTGAGGAAGAGTGATTATTTGTAGGAAAAAGAGAGAAAAGAAATCAGAAAAGGTAGTAGGTGTAATGTATACCATGGATCGAATTTGGCAAAATTTACTGAGCTCTGAAGACCTTTTCAATGAATAGATTGTATTTTCGTTCTCACTGTTTAGGCACAGACACTCCCACACAACAAAATTGATGATGGTTTTTCCTATTCCTGCAGTGATCATCTGGGCCTCCGTGCACTGTGGGAACTTAGAGCTGGAAGAGACTTGGGGTTGTCTTCACATGCAAGCTTATTCATTTTACTCATAAAGAAACAGGCCAGGCGCAATAGCTCACGTCTGTAATCCCAGCACTTTGGGAGGCCGACGAGGGCGGATCAGGTCAGGATTTCGAGACCATCCTGGCTAACACGGTGAAACACCCTGTCTTTACCAAAAACACAAAAAATTAGCCAAGCATGGTAGCACGTGCCTGTAGTCCCAGCTACTCAGGAGGCTGAGGGAGGAGAAGTGCTTGAACCCAGGAGACAGAGGTTGCAGTGAGCCGAGAGCGCACCACTGCACTCCAGCCTGGGAGACAGGAAGGAAGGGGAAGGGAAAAAAGTAGGAAGGAAGGAAGGAAGGAAGGTAGGAAGGAACTCAGAAACAGTAAATGCCCAATGTCAGGAATCTAGTCCATGGCCCAGAACTAGGTCCTCTGGCCTCTCATGCACGGTGGACCCTGATTGTTGTAGAAAGCACACCAGGGAGGACAGGACAATTATTCCATGAGGAAGGAAACAATCTGCTTCTCCAATCACATGGTATTCCAGAGAATGGTGGCTGACCTTTTGAAGTGCCACGCCAGAGTCCCCAAATGCAAATTTTATGACAGGCCATTCAAAACAGACTTTGTAAGCCAGGTAAACTCTCCAGCCACTTCCACAGAATGTAGTAACAGACTCTCACACAGAAATAACTCTATTTCCATTGAAGAGAGACAAGTGTATATTGCTTGTTCTTTTGTACATTAAGCATTTTAAGGCCTAATTTCTTGAGTGTCAAAATGGCATTGAAATGACTTTGTCTTCTTGGCTCATCCACTATTTGGGATGGTTTCTGGAAATATTAAGAGCTTCTTATAAATGTTATGACAGTTCCTCAAGATTAAACATAGAATTACCACTTGATCCAGCAATTCCACTGCTAGGCATAGACTTAAAAGAAGTGAAAACAGAGACTCGAACAGATATTTGTACACTCATGTGCATAGCAGCATCATTTACAATGGCCAAAAAGTAGGCGCCATCCAAGATTCTATTGACAGATAAATGGGTAAACAAAATGTTGTCTGTCTATATAATGGAATATCATCCAGCTTTAAAAGAGAAGGAAGTTCTGTCACAGGCTACAACATGGATGAACCCGTAAGACATTATGATAAGTGAAATAAGCCAGTCACAAAAGGACAAATACTGCGTGATTCCACTGACATGAGGTCCCCAGGGTAGTCAAATTCACAGAGACAGGAAGTAGAATGGTGGGTGCAGGGGCTGGGGGAATGGGGAGTTAGTTTTAATAGGGACAGAGTTTCAGTTTGGAAAGTAGGAAGGATCTGGAGATGGATGGAGGAGATGGGTGCATAGCGATGTGAATGTACCACTAAAGTATATACTTTTACATGGTTAAAATGGTGGATTTTATATTATATATTTAACAGCAATTGAAAAAAAAGAATTCCTGAGAAAGAAAAATGGGTTTGATGGAAAGTATGAGAAGGAGAGGGTCTGAATTAGCGTCTAGCTGTATTTCTAACCCATTTATTTTTTTCTTTTTGAGAGGGAGTCTTGCTCTGTTGGCCAGACTGGAGTGCAGTGGTGCTATCTTGGCTCACCACAACCTCTGCCTCCCGGGTTCAAGGGATTTTCCTGCCTCAGCCTCCCAAGCAGCTAGGATTACAGGTACCCACCACCATGCCTGCCTAATTGTTTTGGAATTTTAGTAGAGACAGGGTTTCACCATGTTGATCAGGCTGGCCTTGAACTCCTGACCTCAGGTAATCCACTACCTCGGCCTCCCAAAGTGATAGGATTACAGGCATAAGCCACCGTGCCCAGCCCTCTAACCCTTCTTAATTTCATTCAGACCCAAAGTTTATGGCTTTGGAAATCACAGCTTTAGAAATAAAAATCAGCATGAAAGAAATTAGTTGTGGCTAATTTAAGAAAGATGTATGGGTTTGAGTAGGTGTTTATTTCATCTCTCCCCTCAGTGGCATATTCAGAAGTGCTGCTGGGTGGCACGTGCCCAGGGTTGGACAGTTGTTCCTAGGATGACTCTAACGTCTGGTGGGAAGGAAACTGTCCTCATACAAAGCTATCTTGCTGTGTTGACATACAAGGCCCAGACCCCACTGGGAGCTTGTGGTGGAATCAGTGCAGGGCTTTGGGTGGTGTGAAAATTTTCCCATGTTTCCCAGGGTGGACATCTCTAATGGATGATCAGAGCTGATGAAAAGGCAGAGCTGAGTCCTTGCTTCACCCCTAGAGTTCCTGCTTTGGGTCAATCCACACTTACATTCCCCCATGAAGGAGGGATGTAGGGTGCGAGATTGTTATCCACTTATCCAAAATCTTCTTGTTAGTCTCAACATTTGTCCCACACCAATAAAAGATTAATTGGGCACATTAAAAAACAAACCAACAAAAACTCAACTCTAATTCCAAGAGGAAAGTTTGGGGCAATTAGCTTTTCTGGTAAAGCCTCCTCTAGCTACATTTGAGTGACTACCCACAGTAATGCAGATGTCTGGGACTGTGAGGTTGGTGGGAGTTCTGTTGGACATTCGTTATTCACAAAAAGCAGTGGTTTCAGGTTGACTAAAATTAGGTAGGATGGAATAGAAGATATGGAAAATCATTCCATTCCCAGCAAAAATGGCCCTATAAGTCATTTATGAAGAAATTCTATAATTGAGTAGACTTAAGGGCTTCAGGATAAAGAGAAGGAAGAAGAAAATAATGAAAGAACTAGTGTATTTGGGGTGTCACACTTTTAGATTACTGGAAGGATGCTCTAAAGACCTTTTCAATAGAATAGATTGTATTTTTATTCTCATTGCTTAGGCACAGTCCCTCCCAGACCACAAAATTGAAGATGGTTTTTCCTGTTCCTGCAGGTAAGAAAGCCATCGTCTAGTCTATGGTCTCCCACAGTTGTCCCTAGAGTATGTCCCCTTGAGTCTAGTCTAATGACTGAATTCTCAATCTAGAACTATTTTTGTCCTCAAAAAATTTATTATCAATCAAGGGATGAAAATTTATTCATCTACAGCTCTGGAAACCACAAGAGGTCCAGCATGAAGTCATCCTTCTCAGTAAGAACTTGCCATCCCTAAGATGATGATTTCACTCCCTTCCCATTACACATGATTTCCACTTTGTAGTGTGTGATTTGAGATTTTATTTATGGGACCTATTGATCGGGCACAAAAGGTCTGATAGTTCTCATCGCCTTCATTATCCTCCCCATCGAAGACATCCCTCTTCCACAAATGAGAATAACTCATTGCAATGTAAATGAGGATTAAGTCATTATTTTTAACTTGCCATTCTCTTTTCTTCACCCATGAGCAAAGGGCTTTAACAGTCAAAGCTTTAGTGATGTGTCATTATGCCTGGAAGCTACCAAGTGTGAAGGAAAAATTACCATTAGAATTATCAATGATACTGTCATGAAAAATAATACAGCGTGCTTCAAAGTGCTTTATATAACATTACACGTAGAAGCACATGGGGGCACTTTGGTTCACCAGGAATAGAGAAAAATAATCATTTCTGTGACAGGATTATCTGAAAGCCATTATATACGTCATTATGCTTTTATAAAGAAACTGTTTAAGAGGTTTAAAGCTTTTCCGATTAGCTGGGCAATCAAAATTGAAACACAATTACATCTAAAAGTATATACAAGTTAGAAGAAAAATGAATAATGTTTATGAATTGAGTGCCATGATTTTAGAGGAAAACATAGCCTTCTGTCAATGACCTCAATGACTTTTATTTAATCTTTATCATTAGTTACTAGACCAATTTTATGTAAGTAGGCTTCAGGTCCATAAAGAATCAAGGAACTGATTATGTGATAGTTTATGGCAAATGTTAGTCCAGCACACATCTAGAAAACTGTGCTTCACTCGTAACTTAAATGTTTTAACAAATTCTATTAGGATCATTTACAGCATGATAAAAAGTATATCACCAACTAATGTTTGAATAAATCCATTTCATTTGAAAGTATAAAAGCTGTTAAGATAACACTATGGTAAGATCATAATTGATTCTCTAGAAATAAGTTAGGAAAATGGAGTATTTGTATGGCTTACAATTAGGTGTTACCAGGATGCAAACCGCTTTACAGGACATACTTGTATTTATTAAATGGCTCTAGAATTTTGCCAGTTATGAACTAGTCCTATAGATTTACCTTTTTTGACAACTAAAACAATCATCTCTTTTTCCCAGTCTTTCAGCTGCTTTCTCATTTGCTTGCAAATTTCTACAGATTATTTACAATGGTTCTGTAATTTCATTGACAAGTCAACTAGTACGCCTTAGGAATAAAGTGTTACTACTAAATAAAATATCACCAATGCAAAAAAACATTTCTTTACCTGCGCTGAATTCTCAAACACATGGCGTGGGCTTTCACCTTGCCCCCAGAGCCAGAGAGAGGGTTTTTCAAACTGGTGTTCATCCTGTCTACAGGCATGACTAAGAATAAGTTACTTAACCTCTCTGAATGGGTGATAATGATATTACCTACTTCACTGGGTTACTGAGCAATTAAAAGAGATAATGCATGCTAGATGTTTTGTCCTAGTACCTTAAACCTAGTTATTTTTATGTTATCCCATCTCAAATTTACTTTAGATTGAGGTGAATCTCCCTGAGCAGCTCGGTGTTCTCACTATTTCCTGAACAATCTTCCCTCCCTTCCTAAGAAAGTGATATCGAATTTTCCTTTTCAATTTTGAAAAATACATTCCTTACTGGAGAACATGCAAGAATATTTACTGCATGGTTATCCTGCATACCTCCTCCACGCCAGGGTCTATCTTTTCCTTGCTCTCTCTCTCTCTGTGTGTGTGTGTGTGTGTGTGTGTGTGTGTGTGTGCATGTGTGTGTGTATGTGTAAGAGAGTCATAGAGAGAGAGAGAGAGAGCACGAGAGTGAGAGCAAGAGCAAGCACATGCTTTATCAAGATATAATTCACATACAAATAAATTCACCCAGTTAGGTATATAATTTAGTGGTTTTTAGTGTATTCAGAGTTGTTCAACCTCCTTACCCTCTTACTTGCTCCAATATTACCTGGCAGTTCTGTTCAATGCCCTTTACACTATTTTTTTTTTTTTTGAGACACCTGGGCTGTCACCTGGGCTGGAGTGCAATGGCGTGATCTCAGCTCATTGTAACCTCCACCTCCCAGGTTCAAGCGATTCTCCTGCTTCATCCTCCCAAGTCGCTGGGATTACAGGCACCTGCTATCACACCCGGCTAATTTTTTGTATTTTTAATAGAGATGGGGTTTCACTATGTTGGCCAGGCTGGTCTTGAACTCCTGACCTCATGATCCACCTGCCTCAGCCTCCCAAGGTGCTGGGATTACAGGCATGAGCCACCGTGCCTGGTCCCTTTACACTTCTTACAAGCTTTACATCATCTTGGATCTTGGTCATCTTGGCATGATTTTTAAGTTCTGAGGTTAGCTCCATTTGTATATACATTTTTCTTAAAGTCAAGATCATCAGAAAGCTGTCCAGACTAGTACACTGGTTGCTGGAGATGCTTGTTCTATTTCTTCCTCATTAGTATTTCTCATGGTTGAGTGGTCAGAACTTGGTTTCTAAGGACCTGCCATGAGTGTTGCACAGTCTTTCATCTGGGTAGGCCAGTATCTTATTAACAATAATGCATATATTACCTTTCATTTTTAACAGCTTCATTGAGATAGAATTCGCACCATACAATTCATCAATTTAAAGTGCACAATTTAATGGTCTTTAACGTATTCACAGACATGTGCACCCACCATCATAATTAATTTTAGAATATTCTCAGAATCTCAAAAAGGAATCCCTTAACTTTGATCTATCACTTTCTTTGCCCCCATGCCCCTCACCCCCATTCTAAGCAACCACTATCCCATTTTCTGTCTGTATAGAGTTCTCTGCTCTGAATAGTTCATATAAAAGGAATCATGTATATTGTAGTCATTTGTGACTGTCTTACAGTTTTCAAACTTAATCAGTACGTAGCATGTAGCAGGAATCAGTATTTTATTGCTTTTTATGGCCAAATAATGTTCCATTACACAAATGTACATTTGGGTTGTTTGCACTTTTTGGCTATTATGAATATTATTACAAACATTAGTGTAATTAGTTGTATATGGTTATATGTTTTCATTTTTCTTGGGTATATAGCTGGGAATGAAATTGTTGGGTCAAAGGATAACTCTATGTTTATTTGTCTGGGAAAATGCCCAGCTATTTTCCAAAGTGGTTACACCATTTTCCATTACCACCAGCAGGACGTGAAGGTTCTGTTTTTTCCAAATTCTCACCAACACTTGTTATCTGACTTTTTACTGTAGCCATTCTAGGAAGAGGGGAGTAGTGTCTCATTGTGCTTTTGATTTGCATTTTCCTGCTGAACGATGACGTCAAATATCTTTTCATGTACATATTGCTATTTGTAAATCTTTCTTGGAGATATGTCTCCTCAGATTTTGTGCCCATTTTTAAATTGGAATAATTGTCTTTTTATTATTGGGTTTAAGCATTCTTATATAGTCTGGATATAAGTTCCTCAACAGGTAAATTATTTGTAAATATTTTCTCCCACTTGATAGATTGCCTTTTCCCTTTCTTCATGGTATCCTTTGAAACACAAAAGCTTTTAATTTTGATAAACTTCAGTTTATCTATTTTTTCTTTTGTTGTTTTTGCTTTTTGTACTATATCTAAGAATCTTGCCAAATCCAAAGTTATAAAGCTTTATCCCTCTGTTTTCTCCTAAAAATTATTTAGTTTTAGCTCTTACATTTAGGTTTTTGATCCATTTTGAGTTAATTTTTATCTATGGTGTGAGGTAAGGGTCCAACTTCATTATTTTGCACATGGCTGTCTAATTGTCCAGAATTATTTGTAAAAAAAGATATTAACATTCATTTTTATGCCACATTACCAGATTATAAGCATTTTCACATGCATTATTATATTATACAACTTTACTCCATAACATAGAAAATCTATGCTATTTTCTCTTCTCTAAAGCTGATAAGCTTGGAAAGTCTAATTAGTGCCTTTTCTTTCTTAGCCTTCAACCAGACTACATTTTCCAAATTCCTCTGAGGTTAGTTGGGGACTGTGTGCCTGAATTCTAGCACAAGTGGAGGCAGAAGTGACATGCACTGGTTCTACATTTGGTCTTTTTCCTCCTAGGCACTCAACTAGGCTACATTTCCCCTGCTCTCTGGCAGTTAGATGGGGTCAAGTGACTGACTGTGAATTAATGGGAAATATATGCAGAAGAGATGCATACCTCTTTCATGCCCAGCCCCTGAAAACTTCCTGTGACAGCCTCACCATTCTCTTCTTGAGTCTGCCATCAAGATACAGAGTATCCGATGGAGGAATTTGAGCCCTTATAGATACCACAGTCACCAGCTGGAGGGAACCCCAGTCCCTGAAGGACTCCATGGAGGAACCCCCACCTCCAGGCTCATCCTCATTAATTGCAACGTGAGAAAGAAATAAAACTATCCAAATTAGTGTAGTGTCTGGGCAGAGATGGAGAATCCAGGTATAAGATAACAAGATGGAACTGCATAGGAGACAGGAGTTCACTAAAGGGGGGCTATCTTGGAGCAGTATCCCAAGCTGGAAGGCAAGAGTTCGAGTTGCTTTTCATAGAGCCAAGCCCTGGATAGGGAAGGAACAGAGGGAAATAGACGCTATATATAGTTGAGACAGTTTAACTGTTCTTTGCTTACAAAGCAAATAATACATAGCAGAGTTGGGGCTAGAACATCTTTTCTCAAATTTCTAATCGGAGACTCTTTCAATTAAGTTGAATGGGGGAGAGAGATTAATAATAAGTTCTTCCTCCAAGATCTGAAAAACTGTCACTTCCCCAAAATATTAGATTGATTCTGAGTTGCTCCAAAAGGAATAATTGAACCCAAGCATAGAACATTCTGGGGACAAATTTTATCTTAATATTATAGAGCCATGTAACAATCATCACTGGCTTCCTCACTAAGAGCACTGAACTATTATTACTTGATCGATACATTCAGACACAGATTGGCTGACCACAGGCCAGGGGTTGCTGAGAGATTTCTTTATTGGGTGGATGATTGGTGAGATGACATCAAACCCTCTCCAGTCCTGCTCTTGCCTGCTGCTTCCTCACATAACTGACTTATGTTCACATCAAAGCCCTGGTTTGGAATGTCCTGCTAATTTATGCCCATGCATTCCTTTAACATCTGATTTTCAAATCACCTCTCCAAAGTCTTCAAAGACTAACCCTTCTCTGTATTTTCCATCTCACTTTGACTTAAAACTTATTATGGTTTCTTACTGGGGCATATCAGGGCGGGGAGCAAGGGGAGGGAGAGCATTAGGACAAATGCCTAATGCATGCAGGGCTTAAAACATAGATGACGGGTTGATGGGTGCAGCAAACCACTATGGCACATGTAAACCTATGTAACAAACATGCACATTCTGCACATTTATCCCAGAACTTAAAGTAAAAAAAAAAATTATGGTTTCTTAAAACTCTTTATTTGATTATGCTTTCTAAATATTGTCTACTTGCACTAATGTTCATTTCTTCAAAACTTCTCTGTCATTCCACAAGTATCAAGAGCCTTCCATCACTCAACTTAAAGTGCTTTTTATTATGAAGGGCATACAGTTGCTGCTTAACACACTCAATGGCCATCAAAGAAAAAATGCCTCAGGAGATTGACTAATATACTTTGTTCACTTGGAAACCAATTTATCTATCTGCTGGAGGCTTTGGCAAACTCACAGTGACCCAGGGCTAGAAAAGTATGATGTGAAATTTCCAGGCTCTCGGAAAACTTTCTAGGGGAATTATTCCCAACAGTGTTAATCTATTGCTACTAGAAAGGGAAAATGTGTATGTATGCATTCATCATCCTCCTAACTGAAAGTGCAGAAAGAAATGTTTGATAGCGCTTCTCTGTAGTTATCCCCTGATCACACTAAGCAGCTTCTAAAAGGTGGGGAGAGAAGCACCTGACTTTTGCTATCATAAATATAGATCTTAATTTTAAGAGAGAAAGGAGAAATCATGTTTTTCTCTTTCAGATAATATGGGTCATCATCTTTTTACGCCTTTAGCATTATATCCATGAAAGAATGAAGAAGTTGCTTTAAAATTGGTTATTTGGAGGAACTTAATGAAACACTGAGTATCACATTAATTTGATACTAAATAAGCCAAACAAGACAGCACTCATTTTATTATAAAGAGGATGTTCCTTCTCAAAGCATTAGCCATTTGAATAATGCAGAGTAAATATGCCAATGTGATTCTTTTTAAGATAGTTGTATTATTATGAAATATACCATTAAACACAAAAAAATCTCAGGAATGTGGGTTTCTATATATTCAATAGTCACCCTCTAAAGACACATTTCTCCTGGTAGCACAAAAAATTGTGAAACTTAAAAAATCTTTACTGAAAATTCTTGAGAGCATTGAAAGGGATAAGAATATCATCCAATATCAACTGTGTCAGAGTTCAGGCCATTCTGAACACAACAAAAACTGAGAAAAAAAAAACTGTGTGTAAAATCCTACAAAAAAAGGAGCTACATCCAAATAGCAGAGTTAAGATCTCCAAAAATCTCTTCCAGAAAAGCAATGAGATTGCAAACATTGTCAAAATCAACTTTTTCAAATCTTGGCAATTAAACAATGACTTCCAACAGTCTTAAATAAGTATCTCTAAGTCTATACTGATATTAATAAATGATTCAATAAATAAATAATAAATACATAATTTATAGATAAATAAATATAAATAAATGGGGGAGAGTAGACAAATCTTCCATATGGAAGAATTCCAGGTAATTTCTACAGATACCCTGCTCTCAAGAAGAAAGAGCATTGCCTTCCACTCCAAGTGAGGGCTATGCATAGTGACTTCCTTCCAAAGAGCACAGTATAGAAAGAGGGGTAAAAAAATGTAGTTACAGTAGAGAAAATGACAAGTACGACTTTAGCCAGGTGATCAAGGTCAACACCAATGGCCATAAATCATGTTGATAGCCTGTTCCTTAGATATGTGATGAGAAAGGCATTTTACTTCTGTAGTCTTCCTCCCAAAGCCCTATAAACCCAGTCTACTTAGGAGGGAAAATGAAACAAAACAAAACAGAAATGATGCAATTGAAGAATATTCTATAAAAGACGTGACCCATGTTCCTCAAGTACCCTTTTGTCAAGGTCACCCAAATCAAGAAACAGGAACTTCTGCGAAGCTGTCACAGCAAGAGGAACTGAAAGAGATGCACTGCGGTGTCCCGGATGGGATCCTTGGGAGATAAAGGGGACATTAGGTGAAAGCTAAGAAAATCTGAATTAAGCATAAATTTTGTCTAACAGTGATGCATTATATCAATACTATTAATTCATTGTGTCAAACGTTGCATAATATATAAGATGATAATAATAGGGGAAAATGGGTTTGGGGCATGTGGAAACTTTCTGTACTACCTTTGCAACTTTGCTATATATGTAAATCTATTCTAAAACATAAAAAGTTTATTTTAAAAAGTCTTTCAGAATAAAATTAAGCCAAGGATTAGTATGGGCTGAGAGGTCTGTGCCAGACTACAGGGGATCCTGCCAGCTCTGGAATCCCAGGAATCTGAGTTGGAAGTCTCTGAAGAGACTACAGTATTTAGACTTTCCAGATGCTGCTGTCCAGAACACAAGTGTAAATCATACATTCCAGGTAGTCAAGAGACAGTCTCCTAGTTCTGATTCTGCAATTACAAAATGGAATAGTTTTTGTCAGCTTAATTCACTAAACATTTATGATCCTTACTTTCCTAAACTGCAAAATCTCTTTCAACATGGTAACTTTGACTGCATGGACCCAGATATGCATATATTAGGTAATGCATGATTGAGGATTTAAAACCACAAACGACAAGTTTCAAAAACATGTAATTTTAATAGCATTCCACAGCAAAAAAAAAAAACACCCTGATACTGTATATTTTCCATTACCGTTTTGTCTTTTTAACCAAAAACTGCCTAAATTTGTAAAAGATAAACTTGGATATTTTTAGTTAAGAAAGGCTATTTTGAGAGGCAGTATTTAATTTGCATTTTGAGGAATATGGTATTGAGCTTTTGGGTTGTAATGATCTGTTGGACAAGAAAAGAAGAATGAGACAGGAGTAATTTTTCATAAAAATTAGGTCCCATACGTTGATCCTTGAGTTATCTATTCTTGTACTCACATCTCTTTTAAATCATACCTAACTACAGTTTAAAAATAATTATTGAGGCTCTTGGCTTTGGCAGAAAGCAGTGCTCTTGCTCAAATGATCATACGTCACATCGCTAATGTTATTATAAATGACAGGCAGCTAAATTTACACTCACGATAAGATTATATATTAATAAGTGATTTAATAGGTCGGTGATCAAGAAATCATACACCTAGTTAACAAGCCAGACAGTAACTGTCTTCATGCTTATTTGCTACACATGTACAATATACACATCTGCCACAAGATAATACATCTCTTTAAATGCCAGCCTCGCCATCAATTCTCCAGCTAGCTAAAAATAGCACCTGTTATTGCAATTTAAAAGTGTATCCTTAGCCACTAGAGGGCACTGTTTCATAAAATGCTCTAAACACTATTAAGGCTGTTAAGAAAACTAATTAAAAATAATAGTGAGTAGAGGTCAACTGAAGACACATTTCTAAATTCATCAATGTTAGCAAGCAGGGATCATTCAGCTAAAAGGATACTTTGTTGTTTTTATTACTTATCTATAAATCAGGAACATTGGTTTTTTTTCATCAACTTTTAAGTTTCAGGGTACATGTGCAGGATGTGCAGCTTTGTTACATGGGTAAACATGTGCCATGGTGATTTGCTGCACAGATCAACCCATTACCCAGATATTAAGCCCAGCAACCATTAGCTAGTCCTCCTGATGCAGAAGCATTGGGTTTTAATCGCAGTTTTTCATTTAGAGACTGACGTGTCAATTCTTTAAGTCTCAAAAACATCTGTAAGCCTCAGTTTCCTTACCCCAAAAAATCAAACATCTGTGGAACCTTTACACAAAATATTTGATGCTGATCTTAAATGTTGTGGCTATGAGGGTCACAGGTTTCTTGAAATGCTCCTTTACTGAGAAGCTTTTGCTGTTAGATTTGACAAAATGCTTACTTAGCTAAAGTCAAACAATAATCGCAGATTCTAAAGCAAAAGTTGTATTCTTTAATGTCATTTATGGTGGCCAAAATTGTGTGTTCCCAGAGTGCTTTCAGTCAAGAGAGCCCACCTTGCCTCCAGTAGTTACATAAGAAAAGCCTGGTCAGGTACATCGTGTAGGTGAAGAAAGGAATGGCTGAGAGGCAGCAATCAATTGGGTAGTAAGCATGGAACCTGGGACTGGAGTACCTGTCTATTGGCTTCAAACCACATGCTCTTTGGATTTTACCTTGAGGCTCTGTTTCCTTATGAATCACCTGGCCTGGCAAGTGAAGATGCTCTGTGAATACTTGTTGAATAAGCAAATATAAGGACAAACATACAAAGGGCTAAGCCTGTCACTTTGTCCATTTGGCCAAGGGGTTTTAATAGTGTAAATAAAGGCTGTACTGTATTGCAAGGTGTAGCTTCAACTCTCTGATCTCCAATTTTCCCTTCTAGAGCAGAAACAGAGGAAGCAAGGATCAGGAGAATTCTTAGGAAATCCAGGACCACACATAGAACCGTCCATGGTAGCCGTTATTCTGCTGTTGACCAGATAGAGACCTTAAAAGACAAGTTCAAGTTTTTTGATGATGAGCATCACAGCCATCATCAGAACTGAGTCACAGGCATGTGAAACATTTTCACTAGAGTCTTTAAAAGACTCTTTTGCATGTTGTCATTTTCCTTCCCAGCTGCTATTTACATCCTGTCAACAGAGCAGTCTCCATTAACTTTTCCCTCCATGAAAACTCCCTAGGCTGGCCTTCCTACGAACTACAAAATAGAGTTCAGTCTCCTTACCTGACATTCAATATAATGTAAATTCACCCCAAATTCAACTCATAAGTTGTATTAGTCCATTTTCACACTGCTGATAAAGACATACTCGAGACTGGGCAATTTTAAAAAGTAGGTGGTTTATTGGACTTACAGTTCCATGTGGCTGGGGAGGCCTCACAGTCACAGCAGAAGGTGAAAGGCACGTCTCACATGGCAGCAGACAAGAGAAGAGAGCTGGTGCAGGGAAACTCCCCTTTTTAAAACCCTCAGATCCCATGAGACTTATTTGCTATCACTAGAACAGCGCAGGAAAGACCCACCCCCATAATTCATCACCTCCCACTAAGTTCCTCCCATGACACATGGGGATTGTGGGAATTACAATTCAAGATGAGATTTGGGTGGGGACAGAGCCAAATCATATCATTCCACCCCTAGCCCCTCCCAAATCTCATGTGCTCACATTTCAAAACCAATCATGCCTTCCCAGCAGTCCCCCAAAGTCTTAACTCATTTCAGCATTAACTCCAAAGTCCACAGTCCAATGTCTCATATGAGACAAGGCAAGTCCCTTCTGTCTATTAGCGTGTAAAATCAAAAGCAAGTTAGTTACTTCCTAAATACAATGGGGGTACAGGCATTGGGTAAATACGGCCATTCCAAATGTGAGAAATTGGCCAAAACCAAGGGGCTACAGGACCCATGCAAGTCCAAAATCTAGCAGGGCAGTAAAATCTTAAAGCTCCAAAATGATCTTTTTTGACTCCATGTCTCACATTTCGGTCATGTTGATGCAAGAGGTGGGTTCTTATGGTTTTGGGCAGCTCCACTCCTGTGGCTCTGCAGGGGACAGCCTCCCTTCAGGCTGCTTTCATGGACTGGCCTTGAGTGTCTGTAGCTTTTCAAACATGTGTGGTGCAAGCTTTCAAGGGATCTACCATTCTGGGGTCTGGAGAACAGTGGCCCTCTTCTTATAGCTCCGCTAGGCAGTGCCCCAGTAGGGATTCTGTGTCGGGGCTCCAACCCCACATTTTCCTTCCACACTGCCCTAGCAGAGGTTCTCCATGAGGGCCCCACCCCTGCAGCAAACTTCTGCCTGGGCATCCAGGTGTTTCCATACATCTTCTGAAATCTAGGCAGAGGTTCCCAAACCCCAATTCTTGACTTCTGTGCACCCACAGGCTCAATACCATGTGGAAGCAGCCAAGACTTGGGGCTTGCACCCTCTGAAGCTACAGCCCAAACTCTAACTTGGGCCATTTCAGCCACAGCTGGAGTCACTGGGACACAGGGCACCAAGTCCCTAGGCTGCACACAGCACATGAACCCTGGGCCCAGTCCACCAAACCACTTTGTCCTCCTAGGCTTCCAGGTCTGTGATGAGAGGGGCTGCTGTGATGACTCTGACATGGCCTGGAGACATTTTTCCCCAGGATCTTGGGAATTAACATTTTACTCCTCATTACTTATGCAAATGTCTGCAGCTGGCTTGAATTTCACCTCAGAAAATGGGATTTTTTTTTTCTATCATGTTGTCAGACTGCAAATTGTCCAAACTTTCATGCTCTGCTTCCCTTATAAAACTGAATGCCTTTAATAGCACCCAGGTCACCTCTTGAATGCCTTGCTACTTAGAAATCTCTTCAAGCAGATAACCTAAATCATCTCTCTCAAGTTCAAAGTTCCACAAATCTCTAGGGCAGGGGCAAAATGCCACCAGTCTCATTGCTAAAACATAACAAAAGTCATCTTTGCTGCAGTTCCCAACTAGTTTCTCATCTCTGTCTGAGACCACCTCAGCCTGGATTTCATTGTCCATAGCACTATCAGCATTTTGGGAAAAGCCATTCAACATTCAACAAGTCTCTAGGAAGTTCCAAACTTTCCCACATTTTCCTTCTTCTGAGCTCTCCAAACTGTTCCAACCTCTGCCTGTTACCCAGTTCCAAAGTCATTTCCACATTTTCAGGGATCTTTTCAGCAGTGCCCCACTCTACTGGTACCAATTTACTGTATTAGTCCATTTTCAGGCTGCTGATAAAGACATACCCAAGACTGCGCAGTTGACAAAAGAAAGAGGTTTATTGGACTTACAGTTCCACGTGGCTGGGGAGGCCTCACAATCCTGGTGGAAGGTAAAAGGCATGTCTCATATGGCAGCGGTCAAGAGAACAGAACTGGTGCAAGGAAACTCCCCTTTTTAAAACCATCAGATCTCATGAGACTCATTCGCTATCAGGAGAACAACGCAGGAAAGATCCGCCCCCATAATTCAGTCACCTCCCACCAGGTTCCTGCCACAACACATGGAAATTGTGGGAATTACCATTCAAAATGAGATTTGGGTAGTGACACAGCGAAACCATATTATAAGCTTTATCTCTCACTATTCCTTTTTATAGAAATGGTGCCAACTGGGATGTATTTCTCTTAGACAAAATTCCCATAACAAAAGTCATCATTTTAACTATTTTACAGTGTGCAATTCAATGTTTTTTAGAATGGTCACACAGCTGTGCAACCATCACCACTATCTATAATAATTCCTGGACATTTTTCTTCAAACTGATCACTGATCAAAGTGGCTTTCTGTGCCTAAACTATTTTGTTCCCTGTGGCTTTGGCTGGTCACCTGCTTTCCTTCTGAAAGTCTAGAATGTAGTGTGACGAGCCACCTATAAAACCCACGGGAACTGAGTCTCTAGTGAGGTTCTCTGGTAGATGACAGTCCGCCCATGCCCATGCTATACAACTCGCCAGGGGCACTAAGCATGTATTGTGTTTAGAGAGGGCCCTTAGATGTTTGTGCCTGGTTTCCTCTGGATGTCACCCCATGTGCCTTTTCCTTTTGATAATTTTGTTCTGTATCCTTTCACGATAATAACTCACAGCTGTAATTGTGTCTAAATGCTGACTCTTATGAGTCCTCCCAGTGACTCATGAAACCTGGTTGTCTTTAGGACCCCCACACACATACTGAAATATCTGTAGATGGAATGATATAGTGTATGGGATCTGGGGGGGTTGGTGGGTGGTGGGGATATAGAGGAAACAGAGATTCACTATGACTTGTTACTTCTTCAAGCTAAGGGTGAGGTTTCATAGGGAATTTTTTTATTATTCCCTAATTTTAAACATCACAGAATTTTTTTAACCAAAATATACTAAAATAAATGAAAAGGTGTGGTGTCCTAAAGGACCTATAAAACATTAAAAAATATTTAAAACCCATGAGATGAGAAAATGAAGAGACTCTTAAGCAATGGCCAATTAACGCTGCTCCATCTCAAGACTTAATGTTGGCCTCACACTGCAGGGACATGCAATTTGGAGTGACTGCAGGCACACCTATGGTCTAAGACTTGCCTCGTGGAATATGAACAGGAGCCCAGTTTCTTTGGGAATGGGCTGCTGCAGTGCTCACAGACACTCTGTGCTCCTAGAAGGCAGGGGGGCAGTGCTAGAATGGCCATGCTTTGTACCGCAGGGGGGCCCTCCTTTTGTATCCATGAAATGCCTTATCATTGAGGTCAGTGAAATATCTGTTTTACTCCTTTCTTCTCTAATGTCTTCTTGTAGAGCCTGCCAGTCACCTGCCCCAAACCCATTCTGTCCTCCTCAGAACCCTAATGTTGGCTAGGGATTCAATATGTCCAGATAAAAATATTCTCCTCCCCGACTTCTGTGCAAGTAACAAAGGGTTAGTCACGTGGCCAAGCTCAGGGCCACGAGACAGATGTGAGCTGAAAGCTACCACAAGGCTTCTGTAGAGCTGTGACTGCCAACAAACTCACCTGCCTACTTTTCTTTTGTGAATCTAAAGATAAAAGCCATATGTTACTGATGGCAGAGCAGGGATATAGAATAGTAATTTCTCAACAAGGGCTGATTTTGCCCTCTCAGGGGACATTTGGGAATGTCTGGAGACTTTCTGATTTTTACAGCGTAGGTGGTGGGTGCTGCTGGCATTGAGTGGGTAGAGGGCAGGCATGTATCCTACAGTGCACAGGGCAGCTGCTGCAACAAAGAATCATCTGGTCCGAATGTCAATAGTGCTGAGGTTGGAACACCCTACTCTAGAAGCCTGGGTCCTTGATATTTGAGGGCAATGACACTAGCCATAATAGATGGTCTATCTGGCTGGGCTTGGTGGCTCACGCCTGTAATCTCAGCACTTTGGGAGGCTGAGGAGGGTGGATGACTTGAGGTCAGGAGTTCGAGACCAGCCTGGCCAACATGGTGAAACCCCATCTCTACTAAAAATACAAAAATTAATCAGGTGTGGTGGCATGTGCCTGTAGTCCCAGCTACTCAGGAAGCTGAGGCAGAGAATCGCTTGAACCTGGGAGGTGGAGGTTGCAGTAACCCGAGATCATGCCACTGCGCTCCAGCCTAGGTGAGAGAGCGAGACTCCATCTCAAAAAATAAAATAAAAAATAATAAAAAGATGGTCTATCTCTGATTGCTTGTATGTGAGGAAAATTCATTGCGTATTTGGTTAACCCAATTATTTGGGATTCTATTACCTTCCACCTCGCTCAGTCCAAGTACCTCACTCTCCTTTCTTTCCTTTTGTGTTCTCGACTGCTTCTAAGCTTAGACTTTTCAAAAGGCTGTATTCTGAGCTGTATCAACTGTGGCAATCTCATGTAAGCACCATGTCAGTTCAGATGTTTTTCTGTAACTATCTATGAAGCAGGCAACTGCCTCTGATATTATTCTCTCCCATGCTCGGTTTCACCCCTTCCCTGATGACAGAATATCTTCTCCTTCTTCTGATTGCCATGATAGAGACACAACGCGTCCTCCCCCATCATCCTGCTGAGCAGGAAAGACCTTGCATGGCCTGGTAGAGTGGGCTGGTTTCTGGTATAAAGATAAAACAGGTAAGTCCAGTTGTCAGGGATGCTGTAAGGAGATAAGTGAGATGAAAGAAAAAAAGCATGCCTGATCCTAGAAGATAAATATTGACGACCCTTTGTTTTATTCCTTCCCAGGCTTTTTCCTCTAAGCATATTCAGGAAATGCATGCCAATTTTAAAAAATGGGCATACATTTATTCTATTTTCAAAATTTTTTATTTGATACTATTGTGAATATGCTGCTGTGAATGATGATCTAATTTATCCTAGCTCTTTTTTCTTTTCTTTTTTTTTTTCTTTTTTTGGAGATGGAGTCTCACTCTGTCTCCCAGGCTGGAGTGCAGTGGTTTAATCCTGGCTTACTGCAACCTCTACCTCCCGAGTTCAAATGATTGTCCTGCCTCAACCTCCCAAGTAGCTGGGATTACAGATGCCCGCCACCACATCCTGCTAATTTTTGTATTTTTAGTAGAGATGGGGGTTTCACCATGTTGGCCAGGCTGGTTTCAAACTCCTGACCTCAAGTGATCCAACCAACTGGGCCTCCCAAAGTGCTGAGATTACAGGCATGAGCCACCATGCCCAGCCTGTCCTAGTTCTTTTTCTGAGGATTGACCAACACTCCCTTCTTCTCACCTTCCTCCGCCTTCCTCAGTCTCAACTCCAGGTTGAAGGTATAGTACAAACTAGAAGAGACTCTAATTGGGCAGGTTACTTGAGTGATTTTAGTTTTTTAGTCTGTCAGATGTGAGATGGAATTCCAAGTTTGTGAAGGTTACATCCAGTTCTGCCTGGTATTGAGCTCTGAAAAATACCACTGGGCTATTTTAACCTACAATGGTTCATGGGGGGAGGGAGGGAGTTTGCTTTCTTTACCTTTTTATCCCAGTGGCTGAAATAGTCCCTGTCACATAGTAGGTCCTCAACACAATGCTGCATGAGTGAATGGATGAGCCAGAATGTAACCTCCTTAAAGATGGGAGTAAATTTTTTATATTCTCTAAATGTATTCTAGGCTAAACAATAAAAGCATATCCAAAATTCTGTAGCTGTAATCATGGAAGATTGAGCTACACCAGTCATCTAAACAAGCAGGTGTCACGTGAACACTTCTATGTTATGAAGTGACACTAAGGAAGGCCTCGATCCTGTTTCCCAGCACACATTTCCAAGTTCTTCCAAGCACAGGCGTTAGGTCTGTTCTCCTTTGTTCCACAGCAGGCTGGATGGTAACGATGGGGCAGATCCAAAAGGACTCCTTCCCCTTTCTGTTGAAGAGGCCCCTTCACAAAACCTCTTCCAGAGAGTCGAAGACCCCCAGCACACTGTGGGTTCAAAGGAGCTTGACTTTCTTGTGGGGTCTAGCCACGGGCGCATGCCATTCATTGTGCTCAGGGAACATTTGCCATTGAGGAGTAACCCCACAGTAAAACATGCTGAAAATTATGGGATAAATATATGACACTTGGTAATGGGATATTCTCACATAGTAAAAAAAATCTTAAGTCTCTGGACTCACATAGCTCCCCTTCGGGTCAAGTTAATTAAATTAAGTGAATTTTTATAGCTTTTATGTCATAACATCTTCACTCTGCTTTTCAAAAATTAACTCATTCCTTTTAGACAGGAGATTTGCAGTCTTGGATTCTGAGACTATGGAGTGTATGTAGTATGTTTAAGAGGTGCATCTGTATTCTTCTTGAAATAAATTAAGTTCACTAGTATTTATTCCAGAGAGGAAAAAAAAAGATCTTAGAAACATATCATAGGCATCTCCTTGAAAATTAAGATATACAATATGTGTGAAACCTCCAACTCTTAAGATATTCTTCTTTATGAAAATTTAAGATTTTGCCTACTAAATTGTCTATTACGAATAGGTAGACTGGATGAGGTATTCCCTATTGTTGAATCCCAGTGGAGGAGAAGTTCTTTCTGGCAGGTGTTTGTTTAATGGTCATTACCAGAGGCCCACAGCACTCAGCTCTGACAGTCCCTGGCTCAATGCACTGCTGTGCCAAATGTTCAGTGTGTCTTTTTCCTTCTGTGTCCCTTCCTGCATCTGGGTACACACACAGCTGTTGGTGTTTGTGACTCGCCCACTTGTTGTTGGACTCCAAGCTTATTAAAAGAAGGAGATTTGCCTAAGTCATTCTTACCTCCCCGCACTGGTTCCTGCAAATAACTTTTTATGTAGAAAGTGACTCATTAAAACATATATACAGGCCGGCCGCAGTGGCTCACACCTGTAATCCCAGCACTTTGGGAGATCAAGGTGGATGGATCACTTGAGGTCAGGAGTTGGAGACCAGCCTGGCCAACATGGGGAAATCCAGTGTCTACTAAAAATACAAAAATTAGCCGGGCATGGTGGCGCATGCCTGTAGTCCCAGCTACTCAGGAGGCTGAGGCATGAGAATTGTTTGAACCTGGGAAGTGGAGGTTGCAGTGAGCCACTGCACTTTAGCCTGGGCAACTGAGCAAGACTCTGTCTCAAACAACAACAACAACAAAAAAAAAAAAACCACAACAAACCCCCCAAAGCCAAACACATATACATGTCTTTCTCCTAGCCCACTATCTACACTCCACCCTCATCATTTAAGAAATAAAAAGCTCTCATCACTCAGAGCCCACCATGGCCCCAGCTGCTAGAGAGGGGCCTGCAGAAACGCCCTGAGGGTCTGTCTTCTCCTCACACTCATGGCCCCATTTCCTACCAGATACTGAATGTTGCAGGCTTAAGCCAAATCCATATTCTGATCAGTTTCTGGATATGCCACAACTCTTTTCCTAAACCTTTTTACCTGCAATATTTAGAGAAATTCCCTGCTCCCTCCTCATACCAGACGCCTCTACATGGCAATGTCCTAGTTATGTGCAAATGTTACTTTGGTTCAAATGTCACCTCCACGAGACTCTCTCTAAGCTCCTACAGCAGGAAGCTGCCATTTCTCTGTATTCTCCCTCCTCTGTCTGTATCTCGAGAAAGCACCCATGCTTTGTTATGTCTTTAACCATTTACCTGACTCCCTCCCTTAATCTGCAAGTACCTGAGGACAACGTCTATACATGCCTGATTTATTTTTATACCATTTTTTCAATTATTAACTGAATGCATTTGGTTGACTTGGAGGAGGCAAATTGATGGAAAGACAGTGGGTTGGGGATCACTGGGCCTGATGTGAAACTTGGATAAAGTACTCAGCGTCTTTTCTCTTGCAGAAAAGAGTCTTGGTAATGAGGTATCAGGGAAATCAATAATGTGGTGCTTGCAATAAGAAGAGAATATAATTTCCCAGGGAGAAAGCTATCATGAAATTTAGGTATCTGAGTTTTATCTGAAATATAGAAAGAAACAAAAATTATAAGAACATATTCATCCTAGATTTTAAGTTCTAGGATGCTGAGATCATTTGTGTGATGTGTCACTGTGAAGTTTGTTAGTAATATTAAACTACTGAGGCTTACAAGTGATATACATATATATATAAATATATGTTATCATATATTATATATTTATATATAATAAAAAATATGTATAATATATATTTTTTTGAGACAGGGTCCTTCTCTGTTGCCTAGGGTGGAGTGCAGTGGTGCGATGTCAGCCCACCACAGCCTGTCCCTCGCAGGCTCAAGTGATCCTCCTGCCTCAGCCTCCTGAGTAGCTGGGACTACAGGTGTCCACCACCAGGCTTGGCTAATTTTTACAAATTTTTTGTAGAAATGATTTCTCACTTTATTGCCCAGACTGGTCTCAAACTCCTGAGTTTAAGCGATGTTTCGGCTTTGGCCTCCCAAAGGGCTGGGATTACAGGTGTAAGCCACAATATCCGGCAATATATCTTTTAATAAATAAGAACCAACACACACAAAAATTTCTAGTTTCCATGAGCTTTCCACTTTCCATCTAAGTAAGATAAGAACTATCAGATGGTCCTCTTACTTCTTGGCTTATCTTACCTGCTACAATTCCTAGGAGAAGTCTGGCAACTCCATGTTTGAAAGGATCTATAAAATTGGATAGTTTCTACAGATCTATGACACATTTTGCTCACACATAAACCAAACCAAATCAAAACAAAACTCCCTGCCTGCATCCGTATACAGAGGTTTCGCAATCACAGTGTGACCGATATTGAATTCCAGAAACGGAATCCTGCTCTTGAATTCTTTAAAAATTCACAACTTTTTACACAGTTCACGAAAGCCAAATAACAAGGCAACAATATAAATGAATGATTACAGGCATTTTAATTTCTTAGAATGAATAAGATTCATGTCATTAAATGGTATTTTCATTTATGTAAGATGACCATCATCATACAATAACTATTTTCTCTCTTTAGGCATTCAAAACATAAAAATAAATCTTTTACAGAACAAAAGAAATCCAAATATTTTAGTTTTGCTGTCTACATCTTCAAATAAAACGATGGGCCACCAATCCTCAATTCTTTGTGTCAATTTAAATAAAATCTCCCTGTGAGGCCTGTGATGAGTGCACCTACCCAGGGTCTCAGTCTCACTGAACCACGGAAAGTTGCAGGTCTGTGCTTACAGATGACACCATAAGTATGGGCAGAGAATGACTTTCCTATCATCATTTGGTTCACTTACAAAATGACCCTTATCCAACGTATAATTCATTTACTAAAGTCATGCTTGACCCAAAAGCACCAAGGAGGCTTAACGAAGTTATTGAAGCATAAACTTCAAGGAGATCTGGCTCTAGCTCAAACATGGCTCTTGCAGCAGCCTTGGGGGTCATTATCCTCAGGCTGAATGACATCTTTGATGGGTCCCATATCAAACTGTGCACTCATTTCCAGGCTGCTTTCATTAGTCCTAGTTATATAAGAAGCACGATCTTCTAAAGGAATCTCGAGTTTAACCCGCACACGGGGGTCACTGGGCCATGTTTAAGAAGAGGGATGCGGGAGCTTCGTGGATTTTTACTGACTGTTTTTCTATTTGGGTTACATCTTAGTTCTGGACTCGTTTAAAACAAGCCTCAACCCTTCAGTGAGATTTTACTGCTGATCTTCAGAACAAATCCTCATATGTTGAGGAAAAGGAAAAACAGGAAGAACAAGAGCTTCATCCCGGATTAGAGAACCACCTCCTTGTAGGATGGTGTAGGGTCCACATCGAAGGCTTTTGGAGACAGACAAGCCTGAAGTCATATCTGCTCTCTTATGACACTAGCCATGAGACTTGTGATCCTCATTAGCCTTTCTAACCTTCAGTTTCCTCATATGTAAAATGGAGATACCACCAGCCAGCAGGAATGGTTGTGAATATCAAATGAGCTGATGTACTCATAACACCCGGTGCGGTATCCCACCAGAATAGGGAATGGGTGGAACGAGGGAAGGACGAGGTGAACGAGTGTGAGCTCCAGAAGCCAGCAGAGGTGAGGCGAGAAGGAGAAAGCAGGCTTTGGATATATACCTGGCCACAGACGTCCTTTTTTCTTTTGAAATTCCTATTAAATCAACATGCACTGCGGGCACAAATCTCATCTTTTCTCCTATTTTCTTTCTGTTGCAGTTGTTGGGATTTGGGATATTGCTATCTGATGTTTGCACTGAGTTGCCCAGAATCCTTTCTGGAACCATGTGGTGTGCGTCTGCATGCATTCACTTAACTAATACTTCCTGGGTGCTATACAAGGTGTTACAGATTCAGCCCCCAGCATAATCAAATAAAAATAAAGCGATGGCTTTTAACATTTAAAATATACCTTCTGCTCTAAATACAAGGTACAAAGCTTGTCTTATTTGCCTTTGTGATCCCAAGTCATCTAACAAATCAGAGCTTTAGGCACCTAGCAGCACTTTTATCATATTTATAAAGTGAATAAAAGATGCTCCAAGGATGCTACTTTACCTGTTTACATTGTTGGATGCAGCTAGAACCATGGAGATCTTAGTCTTTTTTGGTAACATTATGGGATCCTTGAGCTACTGAGCTTGGACAGAAATCACTTAAAGAGATTAAGTTCCTGGAACTTAACGCTGGAAGGGAAGTCATGAAAAGACACATTAGTGGATGATTTCTAAAGGTCACGGCAGGCAGAGAAGAGGAACTTGCCTAAATCTGCCTGGGAGCCCAAAGGAAAATCCTCCTTCGTATGCTGGGGGCATGATCACAGTCAGTGGTGTCGGTTTCAAATTCAAGTCCCTCCATAAAAATTAGAAAATGACCATGCTGGGCCATCTTATTTATCTTCTCCTGTTCTTCAAGTATGTAAGACAGGTGGATGGCGATGGGATAAGGTGGAGCTTTTGTTCTTCTTTTATGCTGTCTCAAGGACTGATTCAAAAGAGGGAGGAGGAAAGGATTCTGGACGAATTGTAGGCTCCAATGGCAAAGGAAGATGATGGGAAGAGAACAAGGGGCGGGGGATGGGTTTACTTGAGCCTCAAAGTGAAATAGAAACATCTTTTTAGACTTGAATATGTTGTGTCTTTTCTTAGACATTTAATACTTTCTTCTAGGCTCATCTGTGGGATCTGAGCAATCAGGGAGTAAGGATTTTCCGAGCTTAATGAAGAACCTGGGGGAGCGCTAACAGGGCCATTGTTGCTAACGCACAGCAGCTGGTAAATTGGCACTCCCTAATTTTATTTCCAACCCCCTTGTTTGTTTAACCTTGCTTATTAGGAGATCTTAATCCAACATTAAGTTTTTAAAACCCAACAATTTGGGTTTTATTGAGGAACATAAGTACTTTATATTCAGTAAAAACCTATTTTAATGTCAGAAGCCATTGAGAAGAAAGTTGGAAAAGAAAACATCCCATGAGAGATTGGGATGACATTTTGTTGCCATGCACCCCTCTGATGTCAGCCAGAAAGGGGCATTCTCAGTCGCTGACCATCACACATGCATTTTGTCCTTTGTATATCGCACGTGCGTGTTCACTGGTGTGTCGCAAATAGACACCTACAGTATAGTCATACAGGAGTCTCCTTCCTTCGGCAACTTACAAGTAATATCAAATAATTAAAATGACTTATAAAGCTTCATTCCTGGTCTCCGGCTGTCACTCTGTAAACTATGTTATCACTGGTGAGAACTAAGCAGCAGAGGCTCAGGGTCTGAATAAATGTGCCCATTAAAATTCCTGACTCAGAACTCGGCAATTCCCAAGCAGCTAGCATGGATGTATGGAAAACACCAGCAACACGTTAGATACAACACACAACACTTTTAAGTATCCCAAATAATTCTCCAGCAACATTATTTTATTTTCAGACTTTTATTAGGAATTTGTCTTTGCGGATCACAAACTACTTTCAAGTATTTGGTGCCCAGAGGTGTTTGAGATGGGAGTGAGAAGCTAACAGCAAAAATAAGTAAATAACATCTGGTGGAAAAGGCAAAGCTCACACTCCATCTGGCTGCCCTTCAGAGCCCCAGGCAGCCACGGGGCACTGCTGACAAACTCATCCTTTACCCCACAGCACTTCTGCTGTGACCTTCAGGATGCCTGGCTTGCAAAAGACTGCAGCAAGGAGGGCTGCGTGCTTTGGATGTAGCCACGGGCTGCACTAATGAGCTGGGCTGATCTTGAGAGAGCACGAGGGAGCCGGGGGAAGAGACACCTGGGGGTGTTGTCTCATCCTTCACAGATACTTCCAGATTTCCATTGCAGATTCAAGTTCAACCCTATGAAGACTTAATTGGTACCGTTGTATTTAGTGAACATAACTTTCCACTGGACTTTGGGCATGTTTTCAGAATTGTCAGAAGCATTTTCAAAGTAAAGACTAGCTCTGTCACCTATTAGCTGTGTGGCCTAAGGTAAGTGACTTAACTTCTCTGATTCTAGGGCCCCTGATCTGTAACACTGGTGTAAATAAGAAACATTCTGCTACTTTGAACTTCCGAGGTTTATTCCATCTTTCCCTTCTTTGGGTTGTCCTGTGTAAGAATGTGATCTGGGAGAAGTTAAGAAAATGAATGCACATGTCGGTTCCTTGCCTCGCAAAGGGTAGAAATTCCAGAAACGTATCTTTCGTTTGGGGAAATTCCTGCATTTGGCTTTTTGTTGATCCTTGAGAAAGGTACCTGAGGCAGGAGCACAGGAGAGAGGCCTGACCAGCACAGCTAGATTAATCTGCTTCATAAATTGCTGGAATCTGAGAGCTATCACCTGTTTTTTTTTCTGGAGGGAGGACATTTCAGAGGATCCCAAAATATTCAGAGAAGAGGGGGAATGAATAAGGGGTCTTGAGAGAGAACAGAAGATCCTGACCCAAGAGACGGTCTAGGCTGGGTTCCAGGGAGCACTCGGCAGAAGCATCAGATGTGAGGTTGGCACTTATTTTGGAAATCTGGGTTTAAAAGCCCAGAACCTGCTCAGCATCACAATATCCAGATGCTATATCTATTTCTACACATTTCTACCACTTTTACACTAAAGAGATATGAGAAAAGACACCACAAAGCACGAATTCCATTTCAACTGCAAAGTGCCGGATATTAGAAAGGTCTACACCAATCTCAGAACAGCGTCCTGCAAATACTCAGCTTGCGAAGGGAGCATAGGATATGGGTGTCAGCCCTGCACAAAAGGGCCCCTAAAGCATTTTAAATGTGAACATGAGATTCACACTAAGTTTGAAGAGAACTCTGATTCACTTCGATATCCCTGAATCCCAACTTGGTCTTTATTGGCAACAGTTTAGGGCAATGGGGGCTACGGAAAAGTTCTGTGATAGAAGCAACCGCAGCACAACCAGGCCATGCAGTTGTTGGAAGACCCCATAAACAAGAGAAAAAGGGGCAGTCAAGGAAAGGTTCTCTTAAGCAAGAATGTCTAGGGGCTTTAAGAAGAGCAAGCCGTGCTGTTCATATCGGTGTTGCTTCATCTTCTGTGGTACCCACAGTTCTCCTTTGTCATCCTGTCACTTTTTGTAAATGTCTGTTATGAAGCATGTTTGTGTTAGTGTATTTTGGAAAACAGAGAAGATGCAGTGCTGGTAGCAAAGTATCGCTGAGAGATAAACACGTCATGAGGTCCCAGTGATGCACAGGATGGAGGATGGAGGAGGGACGGGGATTTAGGTGGAAAAGAGACCAGGATGATATCACACCCCAAATATTTAAAAGGCCACAGTACCTTCCATAGGACATAGCTTCATGCCTGTGTTTCTGGATGGCCCCATCCAGTTGGAAGATTTGTAAATATGTGGGCTGTGTAGAGACGATGGCCTCGCCTGTCTTTCACGGGATGCTAAGTGATTAAGAACTTAGCATCATGTCTGGCACATTCTGCACATGATCAATAAGTGGCAAGTATCAAACTTACGATGGAGAACACATCTAGTATGAGGAGTAGCAGGAGCTATCTCTTTCATCTGTTAGAGAGTCCCAGTTAAAGCAAGAAAATAGAATCAGATGTGCGTTTCTTATTACAAGGGTGTGTCTGCTTTCTTTTTTTTTTTGAGACAGAGTCTCGCTCTATCAATCACCCAGGCTGGAGTGCAGTGACGCAATCTTGGCTCACTGCCTCCCGAGTAGCTGGGACTACAGGCACCCGCCACCACGCCCGGCTAACTTTTTTTGTATTTTTAGTAGAGACGGGGTTTCACTGTGTCAGCCAGGATGGTCTCGATCTCCTGACCTCATGATCCGCCAGCCTCGGCCTCCCAAAGTGCTGGGATTACAGGCTTGCGTGAGCTACTGCGTCCCGCCCCGCCCACGTGTGTCTACTTTCTTAAAACACGAAGAGTTACAATAAAGAGCCTGGCCAGCCCTCAATTAACCAAAAATTCAGTTCCCAGAGGCCTCTTCTCTGGAGACTCAATTTGCCCATTTGCTGAATCATTCAATCAGTTAATATTTATTGAGACTTTATCCCACCCCAGATACTGTGACCTATGAGGGAACTATGATAATTACTACAACATACCTGTGACCCCCAAGATGTTTGCTGTCAAGAGCCAGACAGAGATGCAGACAGACACCTGAATGTGAAGTGAGACATGCTGTGGGCAAAAGATTGATGAGTCACAGGGGACGGTGCTCAGTTACCGAAGAGATCAAGTGAGTCTTTTTTATTAATTAAGAAGGTGATCGATGTTTGAAAAGATGTCAATGATAATTAATTAGACCCTAGCAGGTTACCATGGTTAAGGACTCTGTGAAGTAATTTAACTGAGACAATAAATGGTGGTGTCAGTGCTCATGTGAATATCATCGTGTTGAAGGATGAATAGTCTCTAATTAATGGGTCTTCTGAATGCGCTTCACTCTAAAAAGAGGACGCGGCAGAATCTCACCCTTGGGCCAAACAGCTACAGTGCATTGGGATTCACCTGAGCTCTCAGACTCTTTTAATTGGAACGGAACTAAAGTAAAACAAACTCCTGCATCCTGGTCTGTGGGCTGCTGGGGCTGAGCTGCGTTGCCAGGCAGAAAACCGCCTGCCCCAGGCTTTGATTTTGAGCTTGACCTTGAAGAAAGACCAGGCTGGCCACAAGGCACGCTGCACGGCGTATCCTGTCATCTGCTCTATTAGGTAGGAGGATGGAGGGGCTGAGTACGGCGGGGTCTTCAGGATTATTTCTTGAGATCCTTGGAGCCCTGGAAACAACCGTATAATGACCTGGAGAATATCTGTCTACTTATCAGAGTAGGAAAAAAACATGAACATCTCACATGAGATCCCTTTACTTAAGAGAAAAAAATATGTACGTATACACGTATATACACACAAAATCAAATATTTATTTCCCTAAATCAAAAAAGCAAAAACAAAAAAAGAAGAGCCTGTCCCTCTGTATACTGCAAACAAATAAAGTTGAAACGCGATTTCAGTCTTGGCCGGGGTCTAAACTGGAGTCAACAAAGATGGAAGTTGTATTTAAATTTCCCAGGGATGCAACGTTTGCCAAGGAAAAGTAATTAGTAGAGTCTGAACATGTATCTCTGCAGGAAGCAAGTTGGCCCAGTGGAGCCTGCAGAGACTTGAGTCCCCAAATTATGAATTAAGCAGCATCAACAGCGGGGCCCAGCATCATCCATCAGTTAGGAACTAGAGTCCGCCCAGAGGACCTACAGGCAGAGGACCTACAGCACCTCTGGAAGGGACCAGCGTGGTGTGGAAGAAATCGGCTGCCCTGCCCCAAGACACACCTCTCTCTGCTTTCAGACGGAGGAAGTGCATCCAGCCTCTGCGAAGTGGGCTGCATCCCCAAGGTGGTCCAACCCTAGCTGGTTCACAAGCTGATGCTCTGACTGAAGTTTTGTAAAGTTCTACTGCGGTATCGTGGAGTACACAACTAATTCTAATTTGGAAAATCAGAGAGAATGTATTTTGGGTCAAGCCATGAGGATTAATGAGACTTTCTGAAGCAGAGAAGTGATGAGCAACGGTATTTTCAGAAAAAGAGAAGAGCAATAAAGTCACAAAGCTGCCAAAGAACCTAATATGGCCAGGAACGTGGTAATAGAGGCCATGAGTGGCCGGGCATGGTGGCTCACACCCGTAATCCCAGCACTTTAGGTGGTCGAGGTAGGCAGATCACGAGGTCAGTAGTTCGAGACCAGCCTGACCAACATGGTGCAACCCTGTCTCTTCTAAAAATACAAAAATTAGCTGGGCGTGGTGGCACACACCTGTAGTCCCAGCTACTCAGGAGGCTGAAGCGGAAGAATCGCTTGAATCAGGGAGGCGGAGGTTGCAGTGAGCTGAGATCGTGCCACTGCACTCCAGCCTGGGCGATAGAGTGAGACTCCATCTCAAAAAAAAAACAAAATAGAGGCCATGAGTAGGGGTGGTGAGGAGACCGGGGAGGCAAGGTACACTGAGGCAGGAACACCCTGGATTCTCTAAAGCCATCTTGGTAACTTTGAAAAAGTGATTTAGTGTCTTTGACTCATAGTTTTCTTATTTCTAAAGTAAAGGTAAAAATTCCACATCCTCTCCAGCACTGTTGTGGGGTGGGGGGAGGGGGGAGGGATAGCATTAGGAGATATACCTAATGTTAAATGAAGAGTTAATGGGTGCAGCACACCAACATGGCACATGTATACATATGTAACAAACCTGCACGTTGTGCACATGTACCCTAAAAGTTAAAGTATAATAAAAAAAAAATTCCTGCCTCCATGGGTTTCAGTGAAGACTGAACTGAAGTAACTGAGATATTTCATGCAGCTACTGTTATCCTTTCAATTCCTGTTGCAATTATTGCTTCCGCTGCTGCTGGCGCTAAATGATACTGTCTTTTGAGTTCTTCCCGTAGGTCCTATAGAAAACTCCAATAGGAAACTTTTGCAGAAGTTTAAGCAAATAATTGTCTTAGCTCAGAGACCAGAAATGGGGAAGATGCATTTAAGGATAAGCCTGGCCGTGCAGACAGGATACTGTTGAAACTGTGTTAGGCAGAAAAAATGGGAGTGATGGCATGGACAGATTTTACTGCACGAAAATAGTCAGAGACATGATTGGGTTCCTAATGCCAGACAACTGAGGCTCTCTTCTCTTAAGGAAAGGTGCGACCTTGAGCATGACAACAAAAGAGAGAAAAAATAAACTGGTGGTTTACACCAATGTAAACCATAATTACATTTTGTTTATTTCTTAAGGACTTCATTAAGGTACAACGATGTGCTTCAGTGTGTATTTTTATGTAATGACTTCAAATGATCACTGTTATGCTCTCCAAACACTCTCAGAGCCGTGGGAGAACACAGTCCCTCTTACGAAGCCTGCCCTTCCTGGGTACTTCCCTGAAGTCCCTGCTGGCCATGGGATACAGGCTGCTGTACCAAGTGCCCTCGAGGGGACTTTATTACTCTCTGCAATTCTAAGGCTTAATGGTTTTGATTGAAAAATGTGGCCTCCAAAAAGCAGTGGAAATACCCAAACCATTTTAAACTTGAATTCCCCCCTCTACCTAACCCCATAAGCTTTATTTAAAAAAAAAACCCATCTGTTTTTTCAGCATAACAAAAGAGAAGAGGATAAAGCACATATGGAAATCAAGTTGCTTTGAGCCCTGTGCACTAACTCCAATTTTATCTTCTGAAACATATACTTTTCCAGTATCAACCAGCCAGCTGATATTTTCCTCCATTCAAAGGAAGCAATTTTCTTCAATTTTACAGTCTCTCTAGTACCGCATCCTAGAGACACAGAGGGCTCTCTGCTAACAAGTGGCTGGATTAATGAAAATGAGCGTAAACAAACACAGACAGTGGAGAGATGCTGGTGCCAGCCACATGGTCTATCACCATATTCAGACTAAAGTTGAACATGCTGCAGGGGGCGGGGAGGAGGCAGGAGCCGGATGGGCTGTGAGGCCAAGCTCTGCCTGGAGCTAGCAGACAAGTTAATCAGGCCCAGCGAGCAGCTTCTGTCAATCAGCTCCAGGCCTGCCTGCATCCAAGAGATACTGGGAGGAGACGGGAGGAGAGGGGACCCCTTGAAGGATGCAGGAGGCTTCGATTTGCTCAGAGCACAGGGCATGGGGCTTATCAAACCATTTCCAAGGTTTAGCCCAGGCTGCCTTCATAAAAGGCAGATCTGTAAAAGCAAATATGTTTGTTGAGCTAGGTGGCTCACCAGGTGCAGTGGCATCAGCTACCTGAGCAGAGTGACAAATTCTGTTAAGACAGAGGAGACACTTTCTGTTGGTCACAGATGCGGTGAGGAGAGGGTGGAAAGCTGTCTGCATGTAAGCGTCTTTCACCCTGCTTCTGGAATTAACCTTTCCCCTACTATAGTCTGCAACAGTGTCAATAAGAGGGTATTTGCCATATAAATTAGTGTGGTTAGTGATGTTAAAAGTAAGTTAAAAGGCCTAAAGAATCCTCAAGGAGACAAAGCCAGTTGGCCTTGTAAGTGTAAGTAACCTTGACCTTGTGTGAATTGCAAACATAAATAAAATTTAACCTGGGCCGGGCGTGGTGGCTCACATCTGTAATCCCAACACTTTGGGAGGCTGAGGCGGGCAGATCACGAGGTCAGGAGTTCAAGACCAGCCTGAGCAATATGGGGAAACCCTGTCTCTGCTAAAAATACAAAAATTAGCTAGGCGTGATGGTGTGCACCTGTAATCCCAGCTACTAGGGAGGCTGAGGCAGGAGAATCGCTTGAACCCGGGAGGTGGAGGTTGCAGTGAGCCAAGATTGTGCCACTGCACTCCAGCCTGGGCGACAGAGCGAGACTCCGTCTCAAAAGCAAAGCAAAACAAAACGAAACAAAAACTTCACCTGGGCTTTTTCTCATAAATGCCTATATTAAAGAAAAGTGAAACTTAAAGACTAACCAGTCAGAAGCTCCCAACTAACTTCTGTAACTAAGAACTTTCCAACAGGATTGACCAAATAAGGCAACTCCATAACTGTAACCAATCAGATAGTTGCTTTGCTTCTGTCTTTGTTCTGTAAAAGCCTTCTCCCTTGTTCCCTTGGTAGAACCCCAGAACCACTTCTGGTTTGGAGCTGCCCAATTCATGAATCACTGTTTGCTCAAATAAATGCTTTTAAAAAAAAAAAAATTGTATTGTGCCTCAGTTTACCTTTAACAGAAAGAAATAAACAATTTAAATATGACTCAAATGATCACCACTATTGTCTACACAAACACGTCCCTGGGGCTGTGAGCCAGGAAGAGGTGCGTGGCCACCGTGGGGTGGTTTTTCATTTACATCTGCCGTTACAAAATCGGCAGCACACTAACTCGCCTAGAGCATTTTCTCCTGCCTTGACTTTGACGTGGCGTGGTAGAAGTTCTCCTCCTGCCTCCCTGACCACACTTCCTCAGACACCTCCGTGTCCCTCTTCCCCTCTTCCCTCCGAGAGGCTCTGAGCAGTACCTCCACAACCCACGCTTTCCATGGTCCTCCAGATGGCTCCAACCTCTCACCTGGCTTCATCCCCAGTTCTCAATACCTAACGAACATTTCCACCGAGTTATTGCTCATAGACTTCCACTCCAAACTCTTCATCCAGTCACAGAAACTGACTCCCTGTCAAGAATAGAGAATCACCATTCCAGCTGCCCAGGCCTGAGATCCTCAAGTCAGCCTTGACAGTGCTCTCTTCCCTGGTGTTCCATTTCTATACACTACCACCTCCTGCTGATTTGTCACTCACCATGGCTTTTTACACCTGCCACTTCCTTTCCTGTCACAGCCTAAACTTTCAATATCAGAAGATGGCGCAAATTAAGGCACATTAATATCGTGAAATACTATTAAGATGTTAAAAAGATAATGACGATGTATACTTACTGCCATGAGAATATATGTATGTATAGGTTATGAATATTTTCCTACTTAATACACTTAGTATTATTCAATATATGTTATTATCTGGAAGGAGAGCTATGAAAATTTAATAGTGGCCATTTTCAGTTAGAGGGGTTACAGGTAATTTTTAGTATCTTTTAAATTTGTGTTAATCTCTGATTTCTAATTTACTGTAATAAATACATACATATAACAAATGTGTAGTATATATAATACAAGAAGTTGATATATCAGCCTAAGCTTGCACCATGTCATTGTTATTCTAAAACCTTCAGTGCCAATAAGTTAAACCCAACTTCTCAGCTTCTCTAAATTCTCCCCCATACTCCCTTTGCCCCCTTCATTGCCACAGAGCCTGTAGGTGTTGGTCCCAGCCTCCACTCTGATCTTATCTCTGGCTCTTCTCCCTCAGGCTCAACACTGTTCATGAATATGCCAAGCAGCCTCCTGCACCAAGACCTTTGCGTTGGTTGTTCCACCCTGCCTGGAAGGCTTTCCCCCAGAGAACTCATCTGCATGATCCTCACCTTCAGGTCCCTGCCCCCAAATCACATGATCAGAAAAGATTTCCACCATTCTATGTGAAATCACATGCTTGTAAGTTTCCTTATCTTTAAAACTAGGCTGTTTAAGTATCAAATGAGAAAATGCCCAAGAAGTCTTCGTGGACGGCCACAAACTGGGGACTTTGCTGGTGCTGGGGATACCACAGTAAACAGAGATGCGAGTCCCATCCTTGTGGAGTTTACATTCATAAATAATTATACTTAACCTATGTAACAAAAGGGTCAGTGCAGGATATAGGAGAATCCAAAACCAGAAGAGTCAATGTGGGGCAGAGCAAGAATTAGGGAGCAACTTAAAGGAAAAAGATAACATGCAGGGTGGTGACTAGGAGTGATCACAAGTGGACGCGGAGAGGAGAGCGAGTGGGCTGGACAGAAGGAACATCCTATGTAAGAGCCACTCTGGGGGAAAAGAAGATGGACTTCTGAAGCAATCCAAAGAAGTTCACGTAGGCAAAGTTTAAGAGAAAACTGGGGAGATGGCCAATGATGAGTCAGGAGAGTAAACAGATCATGTAGAGTCTGAGACATGGAGGGTCGGGGGGCCAGGGCTGTGCTCGCACAGTGGGCAGCGGGGGGTCTGTGAAGAGGTTGGGGGAGGATGATGTAGTGCTGGGCATGAGGATGTGAGGTGAATGTAAGATACTGCAGTGGACATGGAAATTAGCCAGTGACTGACATGCACACACACACAGACACACACACACACACACACACACACACCCCTCTCTCTCTCTCTCCAAGTGTATAGCTCGGAAGAGCATTTGAGCTAGAGAATTGAAACTCATCATCATATAGACAATACCTAACATTGTGGGGGTGAATTATTTCCCCTCAGGGAGTACAAAGTGAGGATAAGTGAGAAACTTGAGGAATTCAGACTTTTAAAGTTAGAAACATTAAAATTCCACCCCAGTCACCCAAGCATCCCCTTCTCCTTGCACCTGAGCTAGTACCTGAGGTGCCGGAGTAGAGCCTCGGTCCTTCCTGCTGCTGCTGGGCTTGAGTCCAGCCCTCCAACCCTCCGAGTGGACTGATGCCAAGTCTGCCATGGTATTCATGCACCCAAACATCACGTGGAGGCTAGGATGGGCACGTGTGTTCTGAAGGCAGAGCTGGCAGGATTTCTTGATGGATCGGATGTGGGATGTTAGAGAAAAAGTAGAATAAAAGATGACTTGAAGGTCCTTAGCTTGTTCTACAAATTTTTCCATCAACTGACATCAGAAAGGTTGTGGATAGGGTGGATTTTTTTTCTTTTGTATTTTTGGTTTTGGGGGGAAATCAAGGACTGAGACTTGGAGATATTAAGGTTAAAATTGAAATGTCTCTCAGACATCTGAGAGATTTGAGAGAAGGTTTGTCTGATGACATATGTTTAGGAATCATCAGTAAATGGAGGATATTTAAAACTATAAGACTGGAGGGAGACACCAAGGGAGGGCGTGCAGCCATGAAAAGGAGAGGAACAAGTCCTGAGTCTTGCAGCAATATTAAACGTCAGGGAGAAGAGGGAGAACCGGCCAACCCTCCTGCAAAGGAGATGCCCATGAGCTGACAAGAAAGAAAAAAGTGTATCCAGGGCAGAGGAGGAATCAATGGTGTCCAATGCTGCTGGCAGGTAAAATAAGTTGGGGTCTGAGAAATGCCTGTTGCATTTAGCAACCTGGAGGTCATCTCTGACCTTGACAAGAGGAGTTTCGGAGAGTGCTGGGCGTGGTAGCCTAACGGGAGTGGATTTAGGGAGAGTGGAAGAAGAGTACCTGGAGATGTTACAGATAGAAGACTGCTTCAGGCTGCAAAGGGGAACAGGGAAGCCAGGCCGAGCCAGGCAGGGCATGTGGACTTGAGATGAGGTGTTTGTGTTAAGGTAAGAGAAGGAAGACCACATTTCGTTCATGATAGGAATCAGCCAATACAGAACAAAAATTTAGGGGAGAAAGGAGGGGCCTGCTGTAATGATTCCTCAGGTAAGTGAAGCGAGTGCATCTGTGGTTCCTTTAGATTGAGTGCAGACAGCAGACAGGTCACCTGTGGGGCGGGGCAGGGGCGGGGTGGGAGTGGTGCAGGAAGAGCCAGCGGCAGTGTTGAGGCCAGTTGACAGGACAGTGGGAGTGTTCCTAAGCTCTCTTCTGGCAGTTTCAGCTGAGAAGGAGGATGGGGAGGGAGTTTGCAGGGTTGGGCAGAGAAGGTGAGATTTGCAATTATCATCATCTAGAAATGAGAAAGAGGGAATGGGCCAGGGGAGCCCAGGATGATTGGTCCATGTAAACAAAGAGTAACCAAAATATCTCATCACAGCCCCTAGAGTGGAGTCCCAGAATGGCACAAAGGGGCTCCAAAAGGTTAAGAAGTGCAATGCGGTTGTTATAACAGGTATAAGAATTTACTCAATGGAGCAAATACTTGGAGAGGCAATGCTGTGACCACTTCTGGGAGTGTGCACCTCTTTGAGAGGGAGCCCAGAGTGAGCCTTTTCTTTTTCTTTTCTTTTCTTTTTTTTTTTTTTTTTGAGATGGAGTCTTGCTCTGTCACCCAGGCTGGAGTGCTGTGGCGCAATGTCGGCTCACTGCCACCTGCACCTCCCAGGTTTGAGTGATTCTGCTGCCTTAGCCTCCCGAGTAGCTGGGACTACAGGTGTGCCCTACCACGCCTGGCTAATTTTTGTATTTTTAGTAGAGACAGGGTTTCACCATGTTGGCCAGGCTGGTCTCGAACTCCTTACCTCAAATGATCCACCCACCTTGGCCTCCCAAAGTGCTGGGATTACAGGCGTGAGCCACCACACCTGGCCCAGAGTGGGCCTTTTCATGGCTTTACACACCTCATTTGGCTTGCCCCAGTAGTTGCAACAAACAAGTAAGGAAGTCTACAAGGTCTTCAGGATGTTAGAGAATGTGAGGCTGTTGTACCAATCATTTTCAGACAAGGTAGATTTAAAAAATTAAGCATACAGTATAAAAATGAGGGAAGGGAAATTCAATTCCAACCTAACACATTTCCTCCTGATAAATAAAGCGTATTAGTTCCAGACTGTTAACTCCAATATTAAACCCAAGGTACACTTGTTAACTTCAGCAGTTAATGTGTACTAAAAAACAAACAAACAAACAAACAAAAAACAAAATCAAGTCTCTTCCTCTGTAGAGAATTACACCATTTTTCTTCATCTCTTGCGTATTTTGTAACTTTGACATGGTCACTATGGGAATAGAAAGCTAGAATAGAGACTTCAAAAAGTGGCAATTATTCTGAACTGTTCGGAACCTATAATTTTGGTTAAAATACACAATGTAACTACTAAGGTTGCAAAAGAAATTGGCAGGAGACCTGAATTTTATCCAGAATAGGGTAGTTTATAAAAACCAGACAGACCTAGGTTCAAATCAGAATTTTGCTACTTACAAACTTTGTGATATTGATCAAGTTATTTCAATACCCTGAGACTCAGTTTCTTCATCTGTAAAATGGGAATCATTGTAGTTGTGGTAATTAAATGTCTATATATATATATATGTATATAGATCATTTAGCCTAGAGCTTAAGACACAGTAAACACCCAGAAGATAATGAAGATGATAATATGATCTTGATGATGATGTTATGATGATGACGGTGATGTGAGGAAGAGGAGGAGGAAGAGGAGACTGTGATGGTGGTAGTGGTGATAGATGGTGGTGGTGGGTAATAATTCTTATGTCTATCACTAAGAAACAGTTCCATGAACAAATCGCTCACCGCTTTTGGGCCCAGCAATTTGTCTGCTACACTGTGGGCACTCAAAAATCTCTTACTGAATGAATTAATGTTCTAATAATTTCTAAGGCTCATCCCAGCTCTACAACATGAGATAATCCTATGGATTTGTAGTAATCTTTTCCCAGATCTTAACACTTAGACTTGTGGTATTAAAAAAAAATGGGTGAACTCTATAGTATTTGTCAAAAACCAATTATAAAGACTCCGTTCATCATTGCAAAGTTACTTCATTCACTTTAAGCTATTGCCTCTTTAGGGAGCGGGAAGAGAGAGAATGTTTAGGAAGAGGAATAAGATAAAAAAAAAAAGGTAAGGGGAAGCTGAGGGTCATGTGTGAGTGGAATTATTAGGTTCCAAAACACTCCAAATCAAACCTGTATTTGGGGACCCAACCACTTGGTTACTTCACAGCAAAGTTTCTTCAGTGTGTACATTTACAGAGGGAGAATCATCCTAAGAAAGCTCCTCAACACCAAAGGCAGGTCCATTTAGAACTGCAGGTGGTCATTATGAATAGGCATAACCTGATGATACAGGCAGGCTGGGCATTTTCTGCTGGGCACATAGCCACGTCTCAATTGCGTGTATTAACTCCCAGCTTTGCGGATATAAAGAAAATCCGGCTGGTCTCCTCTGGCCAGAAAGCCAGTGCCTCTCTGGGCAGACTCCATTCATTTGCTCATAAAAATCAAACTCCTTATACCATGAACTGGCACACGTTCCTCCAGAAACATCTGTGCTCTTGTGTCTCCACATCTCTACATATACTTTTTTTTTTTGGCATGGAATGCTGCTTTAGGCCAAGTCTGATGCCATGGGCTTTCTAATAAAAATATATACCTTATAGGTATGAATACACTTTATTTCAACATATCATGGCGTCTTCCCAGGCCCTCCTCCAACCTACTCTGAACCCTAGAGCTCAGGTTTGGTGTCCCTTGTTTCTGGCCTCTTGATTCATCCTTGAATTCTGCCTCTCCACGAGAAGGAGAAGGAGAAGCAGAGAAGGAGCAGAAAGAGAAGCCTGTGGTGCTGGTGCTGCTGGTGGTGGTGGTGGGAGATCATGGTGGTGGGTGGTGTGACTCCCATGTATACCACTGAGAAACAGTTCCATGGACAAACCTGCTCCCTAAAGACGTAATAGCTTAAAGTGAATGAAGTAACTCTGCAATGATTAACTGAGCCTTTATAATTGGTTTTTGACAAATACCAAAGAGTTCACTCTTTTTTTTTTGACAGGGTCTCGCTCTGTCACCCAGGTTGGAGTGCAATGGCATGATTACAGTTAACCGCAGCCTGGACCTCCCAGGCTGAAGCCATCCTCTCACCTCAGCCTCCCACGTAGCTGGGACCAGAGGTCCCACATGGCTGGCTAGTTTTTTATAAAGGTGACGTTTCAACATGTTTCCCAGGCTGGCCTCAAATTCCTGGATTCAAGCGATCTGCCTGCCTCGGCTTCCCAAAGTGCTGGAATACAGGTGTGAGCCACTGTGCTCACTCATTTTCTTAAATACCACAAGTCTAAGTGTTTTGTTTTGTTTTTGTAACTGCTGGGCATTGTTTCTCAGCTTGGTTTTGGTTCCCCCAACCAGGGTTTAGCAAGACTAACATTCTAGACCTAACATTCTTCCAGGGCTCTATTCTTAGCTTTCTCTAACAAGCTCCTAGCCATCGCTTTAAGACTGAGTTTGTGCACTGTCTCTGGGACATCCTTTGAGAAGGATGAGAACTTCCGATCCTCCTCTCTGAGTCTTGTGTGTTAGGATTCCCACTGGCTGCTCATAGATACGTCTCCAACACAACTTTGAGCTCCTCAAGGAGAGTTGTCATGTTTTCCTCCCAAGGTCTACCTGTGGCATCCCACAAGTGCTTGCATTTGCTGATGCAGCGGGTGTACACGAACATACAGTGAACACGAACACGAACATTTCAGCAGGTCAGCCGAAAACAAAGGCAAAGTCAATTCCTCCACCAAACAAAAAGACCTCTGTGCTGTTTTGTTTTGTTTTTTAATTTCTGTGTGCCCTTGGTATTCATGATATACTGCTGCTCTAATTTCTCCCCAGTTTTCTAAAATACATTCCCTCTGAGATCCACCTACTTTTTTCACTTTTAAATAAGCTAATCTAAGGGTCAGAAATGAATACTGAAGCCACAATAGAGGACGAAAGAAAAGTGATTGCCCCTAAGCAGGAGACTAACAGCCAAGAGTCATTGTTAATTGATTTCTGAGAGTTTGTGAAGCATGAAAAGCATTTTAGAAGCAGTTTGACAGAAAAACATACAACGACACTCGATCACTCAGCAAAAGAGGATGGTGGGAAGAGCACTGAATTGGAAGTCAGGGGACGGGCTGCTAGCCACAGCTCGCACTCATCAGCTCTGTGACCTCAGAAAAGTCACTTGACCTCTCTGGACCTCATTTATTATAAAAGCAAGGATCTGAACTAGACTTTGATCACTATAAAGTTCTCTGGCCTGAGGATAAACCTTCAAGTGTATTCCACTGAAGCAAAGATGAAATGTAAGCAACAGCAATGGAGGCAACAGGGAGGTGCTGGCAACTTGGCCTGTGGAGGGATGGGTACATCTTCCATGGATGCACTTGAATTATTTCAGACCCAATTAGAAGAAATAGATTATGTTATGAACCAACACAGGCATTGTGAACATATGCCTTCTGCCCCCAACTGTATTTTGTTCTGTTGTTTTAAAAAAAAAATCCCCCATACAAGGAAAGTAGATTTAATCCAAATTAAAGTTCAACAGGGAAAATAAATGAATCTGCATCTGTGTACAGCACTCCAAGTTTCATTTGGAAGCTATTCTACAAGAACTCCATGAGTTGCTTTTGGTCCTTCTGCCTAACGGAAAGAGAGCAAGAGAACAAAGGGGAATGAAGATTGTGGAGAAGGAAGGAAAGCTCACCGTGCCCTGCACTGTTCCTGTTGCTAAGCAACACCCCACAGCTCCCCCGGAGAAATGATGTCTCTGGGAGGTGGCACACAAAGGACACGTCTTCAGCAGACCCATTTCTCATTAAGTGAAGGCTGTGTGGATGCTCGGGAGGCAACACCATTACAAAAGCCTGATTTTACCAGATACACATTTTCATAGAATGATAATCTGATGATGACTACAGCAAAAGCTCTGTAGATCCCCTTCTGTGGCCAAAGGGGGAAATCCGAGAGGCAAATTACTAGACCCAACCTATTGAAAGTGGGGGTGAGGCATGGGGAAGCGATGTCTTGTGCACGAAGGACCTGGACTCACCACTTATCCACTTAGCCTCGGGGTCATGAATTTTGAAGTCTTCACTGAAGAGATCTTCTACAGTGACCTTCTTCTTTTGAGACAGACTATTATCTTCCGCTAGAAAAAAATAAAAAGCAAAGAGTTAAGCTTGTTTCATAATTAGTAAAATGAGAGGACCATAAACATTCTGATTGTCATTTATAAATAGTATGGATGGGAACACACATGACGTCCATAAGTGAATGGGGATAAAAGCCAGTCTTGCATTCTGTTTTTAATTAAACTATCAAAACCTATGCTAAGGAAATCATGATTCAGTAGAACGGCATCACGCCTTCTCACCCACACCTGCAGCATGTAAGTGATCATATTTCTCAGCACAGAGGTAAATAATTCTTTCAGGATTGATTTATGAACAATAGGGTGGGAATAGTCGAGAGGAAGATACGGATATCCAGAATGGACCTCAGTCATATGATGTAATTGGTCAATCATGAAGCATTCATTAAGTGCAGCATTTTAGCTGCTGAGAATTCAAAGACACAGAAAATATTCCTTAGGTCTTCATTCTCCATAAGCTTCACTTGTCCCTGGCTGTCTCTGGGTTGTGGGTTAGTTCTTGCTCAGACAGGATCAAACCCCAATTATCTGTACACAGACTACCAGATTCTGCCTTGCCGCATCTCTGTTACAAGGCTTAGGAGAAAGCACTTGGGATAAGCCTGTGAACACACTCAGCTAATGTTCATCCCAAGATGAGATGTTTAGTTAATGGCGTCAGTGGGTGAGACTTTAAAAATCTGAGAGCTTTTATCCTGTATTTCCAGAGATCAAAGCTTCTAGAGTTTTTGCTCCTCCTCAGAAGAGGCTCTCTCCATTAGAGGCACAAAAATCCACTTATTGACTTTGAAAAGACACAGGGCTGTCAGCATGCCTGACCTGTGAGCCTACAGGCCAGTCCATTCCACCACCTTCACTTCTGTGATACTAATAAGAAACTCCTCTGTATATTGACTTGACCACATCTGATGGACATTATCTACCTAGGATGCTTATTTACTTCCCTGCCCTCTTAAATAGAAGATGCTAAATATCATTGCACATTTTTTTCAAAGACTCCCAGTTTTCTCATTTCAACAGTTTCCTGTTGTGCTGCTATGTGGGGTGATCTTGGTGCTAACTGAGGTGCATATGTCTGTGTGCATTCCACATTCAGTGGCTCTAGAGCTGTGTGTTTTTGTATTTCAATGTCTGGTGGTATGTCTGTTTCTTGTTTCAATTTCTGGCTGTTACGCTTTTTGGACTGTTGTTCTTGACCTTGACAGAACCATTTGCCTCTTTTAATTTTGTGTTTTAAACTCTGTGGCAGGTTAGAAAAACAGAAAGAAATTCTGTTAGGATTACATAAACAAATAGGAATAAATAATCTCTAAATAAAATTTTCAAAGCTTCTAGGACCCCAGTGCATTGCATGGGTTTTATTACGTCACTTTTGGTTTCTTCCTTTTGGGTCTGGTTGTTGACAAATTACTGAAATTGTCAGAAAAGTCATGTATTCCTTTGTGCATTGACTGATCTCTTGAATATCAAATAGGGTTACTGTGTGTAGCAGTCTTTTGAAAATTACAGAATGCTGTGACTCAAGGTGGCCTTATTGTGAAACATGACTGTATATGGAGCTATCCCGGGCGCTGAACATAGTGCATTAAACCAAACCAAGTTCTTTCTTCGCTCTAGGAGCTTTCTAGGTGTGGCTGAAGCAGCCTCAGGAAAAGGCACATGGCTTCAAACATGACACACTTCCATATACACGACAATAAATGAGAATTTTAAAAATTACTAGACATTAATCTAATAAAGTTACACTCTGATCTTGCAATTAAGAAGTCTAAAACTTCCTGAGACATTCTTAAGTACGTGGTCAGAAAATAATAATCATGTTGAAATTTACATTTTATCTGATTAAACTTCACTATTCAAGAATGATTCTAGCCATGCAACTTAAGGTATCTATGTGCCTCATAAGAAAAAACATGTAAGACTGCCATTTAAACAAACGTTGGAAATAAAAGATGAAAAGGCAATGTATTCACTTTCTGAAAATCTTTCTTTCTATACATGTATTTTATTTTAAAAACTGTAATTTTATTTGTTTTTTAAAGGTATTTTTAAAACACTTAAGACTTCTATATAGGGAAAGTATGTGGTGGAGGCATTATGATATATGCTATCAAAATTGCTCCATTCAAGCCAGGACATGACTCTGTCCTTAATTAGCTCTGTCTCCTTAAGAAACTCACTGCTGGCCTCTCTGTACCTAGATGGCTCATTTGCACATTCAACTGATATCTAATTCATTGGTTTATCATTTGATTCATTCCCAAAATCATCTGAGATAATGACAGGCACAGGAGACTGCCACATTCCACAAACCATGCTGAGCCCTGAAGAAGAGAAAGGCCTTATACAAGCTCACAGAGCAGTGGAACCAAAGCAGAATGAATGATCAGAACATAGCAGGGACGGGGCTGAGAGGAACAGGGCTTGTCCTGCTAATATGGAAGCAGACTATTAAATAAGAAAGTGGGAGGGATTGATTCCAGGAGGACTTGCTGAAGGAAAGAGGCTGCTAGCCAAGATAAAGGAGAGAGAAAAACATTCAAGCTAGGAAGGCTCATAAGGGCAGAAAGTTGTCGGTGGATGCAGTATTTTCAAGAGATTGTGTGTGTTGGCATTGGCGTGGCAGACAATGTGAACAGGAAATCCTAGAGGGGAAGGGAGATTCTCTCATTGTATTTGATATTCTGAAATTCCATTAGAAAAAATGTCCACTTGTGGATTTTCTTTAAAAATTCTGCTTAACAGTCAGTAATATTTTCAGCTTAAAGACTATTTTTCTTCACATCAGGAATACTACCAGTAATTATCTCATACAATATGGCTCCTGCAGCATTTGATCCCCTCCTTCCAGAATCCCATCTGGACTGTGCTGGAGCTTCTAGGTCAATCCCCACACCTCGGGCTTTTTCTTAAGTTTTTCCTTTTTGACTTTGGGAGTATTTGGATGATTTCTTCAGTTCAATCTCCTACTTGTCAATATTTTAATACACCTAGACTGTTCTATTACCCAACTAAGGATTTAAATTTAAAATAATTACATTTTAATATCTAATATATCTAAATAACTTTTTTCAAGATCATCTACTCATATTTTATAGTTTCATGCTTCTTTAGCATAGTGATAGTTATTTCAAAAATCTAAAATGTCATTTTCTCTTTTCCCTATTGATTTAAATTTCTTTGGATTTTGGTTTTCATGTGTGTTGGGTTGGTTTCTGCTTTATGGGGGGATGTTTTCTGAAGATGCTTTGTGGTTCTTGGTTGTAAGCTTCTGTCTTACAAGTGTTCTGGGTCTTGAGAGGCCCCTGGTTGGGTGGTCCTCAGGCAGTTTTGAGATTCTGTCTAGGTAACAGCTCTAAACTAAGTCTTGGTGGTCATTTAGGCTGGAGCCCTTTCCCCCAAATGGGTGATGTGATCTGAGGCCTTCTGACCATGAACCCAGTTTTCAGGCAGGGACTCCATGTACCCCTGGTCTCTCATGAAAACCAACCTTCCAAGCCCTCCTGTTGTGCCTGACTTCAGTCTCTATGACTTGAGGATGATGGAAATTTGGCCTTCCCTCCTGCCATAGGTTTTTACCTGTTCCTTCTTATGAGGATGTCTTCCCTTTCAATCCAGGTATGTGAAGAACTCCTGTTCTTGTTTTTGAGAAAGAAGCAGCTATGCTTTTGTTTGTTTGTTTTTTGAGACGGAGTCTTGCTCTGTCACCCAGGCGGGAGTGTGGTGGCGCAATCTTGGCTCACTGCAACCTCCGCCTCCAACATTCAAACGATTCTCCTGCCTCAGCCTCCCGAGTAGCTGGGATCACAGGCACCTGCCACCGAGCCCGGCTAATTTTTGTATTTCTAGTAGAGACAGGGTTTCACTATATTGGCCAGGCTGGTCTCGAACTCCTGACCTCAGGTGATCCGCCCACCTCAGCCTCCCAAAGTGCTGGGATTACAGGTGTGAGCTACCATGCCCGGCTGCAGCTGTGTTTTTCGTTATTTATTTTGCTGTCACTTCCACATGCTTTTGCCATCAAAACAAGGAACATTTCTGTGCTCAATCTTCCTTCTTAAACTGGAAGGCAACATAAAGGTGGCGATGCAAGAAGGGGCAGTGGCTTTCACTGTTTGGATTTCATCCCAAAGGCAATTCAGGGATCACTGAAAAATAAAGTTCCTTCCAGCCCTTTAGCTTGATATACTATAGAAAACTCCATGGCACTTCAAATTGACTTGGCCTGGTTAGCTCACCAGCATGTAAAGGCATGCTGAAATCTGCAGTGATGTAGTTACTCTTTACGGTGGCCAATGTGTAATGCAAATTTCTCAGCCTCCTTTCCCTTCCTCAGATATTTGTTAAATAGTAAAATTCCTGGAGAACCATTTGGAACTCCTTCTCTAAATATTTTAAATACCAGAAAACTAGAAATAAATCCCATCACCCGAGCATAGCTGCTGGAGGGGCATGCAATCCCTGCAGGTAGAGGTAAGCTACTGACAAACTCAGCTTGGTAACAAAGAAAATCTACCCAGAAGAGTCCAAGACTTTCTGTGAGATTCTGCTTTTGTGAGCAATTTGGAATAACTGACAACTCTAAAGTGCTTTATAGTCTTCCGAGTGCAATGATATTTATTATCTCTCCTGATCCCCACCATAATGAGGAGGAAGGAAAGTTACATTGAGCTACTGAGCTGCTGAGAGGTGAAATGACTCCTCCAAAGATGTGTGAGGAATCGGTTGGCAGATGTCAAGCACTAGGTGTTTTCAAAACTCAAAGGAGACAAGGGTTATGGAGGGCTAGCTTCACAGGGGAGACAGACCCCCAAGCTGAGGCTCAGAGTAAAGCAGTCTTTGTATTTAGAACAATTTGTATGTTATTCCTACAAAATGGATACTATTTGTTTGCTTCCTTACCAACACTTCACAAAAACAGGTGGAAATCAAAGAAGCTGTCCATTTTCCAACGTCGGTACCATTAATTCACAAATTCCAATGAGATCACTTTTGCTTAAAAATAAACCACTGCAGCCTGTTCCGTCAGCGATGGACCTAACACAGATGCTGCTTAGTAACAAGGAAAAAGCTCAATGAGAATGCAGGAAACACATCATTTAGTTCTGCCAGCATATTTATTGATTGAGTGCCCTGAGTCAGGCACTGCAGATGCTTGAACAAGACTTCCAATTATATTTCTTTCTTTTTTCTTAAAGTAAAAGAGGTAGAATCCATGCTATGTGTTGCAGGTGCTACTCCTATTTCCTCGGTAGATTCTTATCATAATGAAAGAATAAATTTATATCATGCTGTACCATCAAGAGATTAGAAACAATGAAATTTAAAACCAGGTAGCACGTCTGCAAATCACCATATGAACCTTGGGGATTTTGACCTATTCCTGAATTAAACTGTCCCACTGGCAGATTGTTCACCATATGAATCCATAGGTCAGAGCTGAGATGGTAACATCTCATCCATACACAAAAACCCTAGAGACGGAAGGAAGCCGTGGCAGCAGCTGTGAGTCAGGGGAACACTCTCTCTCTTTACAAAAGTGAGATTTACTCAAAATACACAAAAACATATTTCTCTGAAGAAATCTCTCTAGAGTCATCCAACCCCAAATGTAAGAAACAAAATAACTATTGTTGGGATGAGAATTGCATTAAATAATCTTACCTGAGTGATGCTAGAGGAGCTACAAGAAAATGTACAGTCAGTACCTCTTTACAATGTGTGTGTGTGTGTTTTACTTTCTCAAAGTTGATCATGCTTTCTTTTCTGCTACCAGGAGCTACTATCAATGAACTAGTTATTTGCTTTCAAGTCTATTTCCCATACTAGCTTGATATTTTCCTTTTCTGTTTTAGTTAGGAATCGCAACTTCATGTCTCTAAGGGGCCCAGCAAACAGATGTTCAGTTCATTTCTTTTGAATGAAGAGAGCATTTGTTTTAAAAATCTGTGCCTTTGCTTGTATTTTCGCTTACTTTTTTGTAATGCAGTCTTTGTGTTACTAAAGTATATTATTTATGGTTATACTCCAGACTTATGTCTATAAAAAGTCTCACAGAGATACTAATTTATCTTAAAAGCTTCTCCTTACAAATTCACATGTCTTCAAATAGTCTAAGAAAACTAGTAGCATAACATCAAAATTAGTCACATAATACTTTTTATTGAAATGGTAGAAACTAAGTCATCAGCATTATTCAGCACATCTTATGAACTAAGAAATTGTAGTTATGCTTTATTTTAAGCTTCTAAATCAAATACATCAAAGGTATACATTCCCTCTTCATGTCCTTACCTCCATTCTTTTAGATCCAGGAAATAAACTGAAACCTTAAAATATATTCAGCAGCCTGTTTTCTTTAGTGAGTTACCGCATTAGGCACCTGTGACTTCACATGATTATATGCGGATAGGTTGATATGTTTCCCTACCTAGTTTATTCCTTTCTTGACACCTTTATTAGAGATAAAATTCACATACCATAAAACTTAGCCATTTAAAGTCTACAACACAATGGTTTTAGTATGTTCAGAGTTGTGCACCATTACTGACCTAAATTTGGAACATTTTTATTACCCCCAAAAGATTAGCATAACAATTAGCAGCCACTCTCTATTCTCCCACATCTCTCTTCAGCTCTTCGCAACCAAAAATCTTCTTTCTGTCTCTAAACATTTGGCTATTCTGGACATTTAATGTAGATGGAATCATACAATATGCATTTTGTTGTGACTGGCTTATTTCAGATAGTATTGTGTTTTCAAAGTTCATCCATGTTGTAATACGTACAGAATGTACCACTACTTCATTCCTTTTTATAGATGAATAATATTACAAGCTAATGATGTTGAGCATCTTTTCATGCACTGACTGGTTATTTTTATATCTTCTTTGGAGAAATGTGTCACTTTATTCAGATTATAAAAAATGCTGAAATTAAGAGATTCACTGTCGAGAAAGATACTGCCATCCTGAGAGCATGGCTGAAAAACCTTTGCTAATACCTTGAAAGATCAAAAGGTAAGTATTCAGTCACACAAAAGGCCCTTTGAAGAGCTTAAATGTGTGATTCACAGACCCCAAACCTCTCTCAGCAGAAGGCAAACATAGAGATGAAAGTATCTAGAAGAATCCTAGGAAGAGCCACTTGTCTAATGGAATGAATTCCCATGACATACATAGAAGATCCGCAGATTCTTAAGAATTTATATCTGTAGAAACATTGCCAGCTTGGACTGAAAAGGAGAGAGGGAGTATGAAACAAATAAAGGCTGTTGGACGCTGTATTAGCCCATTCTCACACTGCTGTAAAGAACTACCTGAGACTGGGTAATTTATAATGAAACGAGGTTTAATTGACTCACAGTTCTGCATGGCTGGGGAGGCCTCAGGAAACTTACAATCATGGTAGAAGGAAAAGGGGAAGCAAGCACCCTTTGTGACATGGTGACAGGAGAGAAAGAAAGCAAAGAGGGAGGTGCTACGCACTTTTAAACAACCAGATCTTGTGAGAACTCTATCACAAGACAGCACTAGGGGGATGGTGCTGAACCATTAGAAACCAGCCCCATGATCCAATCACCTCCCACCAGCCTCTCATTCAACACGTTAGGATTACAATTTGACATGAGATTTGGGTGGGAACACAGAGCCAAACCATATCAGACCCCCAAAATTCTCAGGCAGAAAACATGCTTATAAAACTACTCAGCTACAATCTCAAGCTGCCATTCATGAAGAAGAAAGATGACTCCCAGAGGGCAGACCTGAGAGCCCTAGGATACTATTCCCAAGCCTATAAACCTAATGCAGTTTCCCCAACTGAATTTAGAAGTTGTTTGGAACTAGTGACTCCTTTTTCTCCCTTTTTGAACAAGAATGTCTATAACTGTCATCCTATACCCGTCCCACTACTGTGTTTACCTCTCCAGTTTCTCAGAGCCACAGTACAGATGAATTGTGCTTTGGGTGGAGTATGCCCTGAGGCCTACTCAAAACTCATTCAGATGATTTCAGTGTTAAAATTTGGGAGTTCTGAACTGATGAGATCACAGACTTTGAGTTGATACTATAATAGGTTGAGATTTCTGGGGACCTTGGGGTAGAGTGAATGAATGTGCTTTATATATGAGAAGGATGTGAATCTTTGCGGGTCAGAGAACAGACTGTGTTAGGTAAGACAGGGCCATCCCAAAGACGTCCACGTGCACTGGTATTATGTACTGAATTGTACGTACCAACAAATCCATATGTTGACACCCTAACCCCCAATGTGATTCTATTTGGAGATAGCGCCTTTAAGGAAGAAACTGAAGTTAAATGAGATCAGAGGGTGAAGCTCTAATCTGGTAGGACTACTGTACTTAAAAAAGAGGAAGAGAAACAAGAGCTCTATTTTCCTCTCTTCAGGCACACATATGTGCACTCACAGAGAAAAAGCAGGGAGAGGATACAGCAAGAAGGTGCGGTCTGCAGGCCAGGAAGGGAGACTTCACCATAAACCAACCCTGCTGACACCTTGATCTTGGACTTCCAGCCTCCAGAAGTGTGAGAAATGAAATTCTGCATTTATTTATTTTTTTAGTACACTTTAAGTTCTGGGATACATGTGCAGAATGTGCAGGTGTGTTATATAGGTATACATGTGCCATGGTGGTTTGCCACACCCATCAACCCATCATCTACATTAGATATTTCTCCTAATGCTATCCCTTCCCTTGCCCCCCACCCCTCGACAGGCCCCAGTGTGTGATGTTCCCCTCCCTGTGCCCATATGTTCTCCTTGTTCAACTCCCACTTATGAGTGAGAACATGCAGTATTTGTTTTCTTGTTCCTGTGTTAGTTTGCTGAGAATGATAGTTTACAGCTTCATCCATGTCCCTGCAAAGGACATGAACTCATTTTTTTTATGACTGCATAGTATTCCATGGTATATATGTGCCACATTTTTTTATCCAGTCTAACATTGATGGGCATTTGGGTTGGTTCCAAGTCTTTGCTATTGTGAATAGTCCTGCAATAAACATACAAGTGCATGTGTCCTTATAGTAGAATGATTTATAACCCTTTGGGTATATACCCAGTAATGGGATGGCTGGGTCAAATGGTATTTCTAGTTCTAGATCCTTGAGGAATCAACACACTGTCTTCCATAATGGTTGAACTCATTTACATTCCCACCAACAGTGCAAAAGTGTTCCTATTTCTCCACATCCTCTCCAGAATCTGTTGTTTCCTGACTTTTTAATAATCATCATTCTAACTGCAGTGAGATAGTATCTCATTGTGGTTTTGATTTGCATTTCTTTAATGACCTGTGATGATGAACTTTTTTTCATATGTTTCTTGGTCACATAAATGTCTTCTTTTGAAAAGTGTCTGTTCATATCCTTTGCCCACTTTTTGATAGAGTTGTTTTTTTCTTGTAAATTTGTTTAAGTTTTTTGTAGGTTCTGGATATTAGCCCTTTGTCAGATGGATAGATTGCAAAAATTTTCTCCCATTCTGTAGGTTGCCTGTTCACTCTTGAAGATAGTTTCTTTTGTTGTGCAGAAGCTCTTTAGTTTAATTAGATCCCACTTGCCAATTTTGGCTTTTGTTGCATTTCTGTTTTCTAAATCACCCAGTCTGCATATTTTGTTGACAGCTCAAGCTGACTAATAAAATTTGTATTTTCAAAAATTTTTCAACTGTGTGTTGCTAGTACATAGAAATGCAATTAATATGTGTAAATAGACCTTGCATTCTGTAACCTTTCTAAACTTACTTACAGTAGGCCCCTCCTTACCCATGGTTTTGCTTTCCACAGTTTCAGTTACCATCAGTTGACCATGGTCTAGAAATATTGAGATTATTTTGAAAGAGAGTGAGAGATAACACATTCATGTAACTTTTGTTACAGTATATTGGTATAATTTTTCTCCTTTATTTCTAGTTATCATTATTAATTTCTGACTGCACCTAATTTATAAGTTAAATTTTATCGTAGGTATACATGTGCAATAAAACCCCATAGTATAAGTAGGATTCAGCACTATCCATGGTTTCAGGCATCCACTGGGGTTCTTGGAATGGATACTCTGTAGATAAGGGGAACTACTATACATATATTATTTTGGCATATTTTGTGCAGGCATTCATTTTGTCTGTAACAAGGACAGTTTATTTCAAGTAGAAATAATCCAATAAAATTATTGAGAAAACCCAATTTATTTAAGTAAGTCATGGTCCCAATATCAATAGACCAATTGTAACTATTAATGAATTTTAAGAAAAGTCCACTTGACTGGAATGCCTCAAGAAAAGTTGTTCAGTTACACAGGATTATATATTTTTTCCTCTCTCTATGGCTTCAGATTTACAACAGAAATATTTGTTTAAGTATAAAATTGTGAATTTTGAAAGGAGGCAGAGCAAGATGGCCAAATAAAAGCCTTCACTGATCATCCTCTCTATAGGAACACCAATTGAACAACTATTCACAGGAAAAAGCAGCTCGTAAAGAACCAAAAATCAGATTAATGATCACAGTATCTGGTTTTGACTTCATATCACTGAAGTAGCACTGAAGAGAGTGGGAAAGACAGTCTTGAGTTTCCCCTTCCTCATCCCCTGGCAGCAGTTGTGTGGCAGAGAATCTGCTTGCTTGGGGCAGGGAGAATGCAGTGACTGTGGGACTTTGCATTGAAACTCAGTGTTGCTTTGTCACAGAGTAAAGCAACGCTAGGCAGAACTCAGTCAATTCCCACGGACGGAGCACTGAGACCAGCCCTAGCCATTCGGGAACTGCATATCCCAGCAGTGGGAACCTGAGCTCCAGCAAGCCTCACCACTGTGGGCTAAAGTGGTCTGGGGTCCTAAAATAACTTGAAAGGCAGTCTAGGCCGCAAGAACTGCAATTCCTGCGCAAGTCTTGGTGCTGTTCTTGGCTCAGAGCCAGTACACTTGGGGGACACACAACCTAGTGAGACAGCAGCTGGGGTGGCCAAGGGAGTGCTTGCATCACCTCTTCACAAACCCAAGGCAGCACAGCTTGCAGCTCTAGGAGAGACTCTTTCCCTCTGCTTGAGGAGAGGAGAGGGAAGAGAAAAGAGGAAATTGTCTTGCAACTTGGATACCAGCTCAGCCACAGTAGAATAGAGCACCAGGAAGAGTCATGAGGCCCTCATTCCAGGTCCTAGCTCTGGGATGACATTTCTAAACATACCCTGTGCCTGCCTTGAATGGAAAAACCCAATCTGGCAGGATTCCTCACCTGCTGACTAAGGAGCCCTTGGGCCCTAAATAATCAGTAGCAGTGGTACTCAGGCAGTACTTGCTCAGGGTCTTGGGTAAGACTCAGAGACAGGCTGGCTTCAGGTGTGACCCAGGACATTCCCAGCTGTGGGGCTACAGGGAGAGACTTCTTCTGCTTAAGAAAAGGAGAAGTAGGCTGGGCGCGGTGGCTCACGCCTGTAATCCCAGCACTTTGGGAGGCCGAGACGGGCGGATCACGAGGTCAGGAGATCGAGACCATCCTGGCTAACACGGTGAAACCCCGTCTCTACTAAAAACACAAAAAATTAGCCGGGCGTGGTGGCGCGCGCCTGTAGTCCCAGCTACACGGGAGGCTGAGGCAGGAGAATGGCGTGAACCCGGGAGGCGGAGCTTGCAGTGAGTCGAGATCGTGCCACTGCACTCCAGCCTGGGCGACAGAGCGAGACTCCGTCTCAAAAAAAAAAAAAAAAAAAAAAAAAAAAAAGAAAAGGAGAAGTAAAGGTAAAAAGCACTTTGTGTTGCAACTTAGGTACCAGCTCAGCCACAAAGCGGCAGGGTACTAAGTGGGCTCTTGGGGTCCCCAATTCTAGGCCTTGGTTCTTGGATGATATTTCTCGACCTGCCCATATTATCCTTGTTTGCAGATAATATGATCTTATATTTGGAAAAACCTAAGGATTTCACTAAAAAAAATTAGAACTGATAAAAAAATTCAGCAAAGTTGCAGGTTACAAAAATCAACCTACAAAAATCAGTAGTATTTCTATATGCCAGCAGTGAACAATCTGAAAACACTCATAGGTGGGAATTGAACAATGAGAGCACATGGACACAGGAAGGGGAACATCACACACCGGGGACTGTTGTGGGGTGGGGGGAGGGGGGAGGGATAGCGTTAGGAGATATACCTAATGCTAAATGACGGGTTGATGGGTGCAACACACCAGCATGGCACATGTATACATATGTAACAAACCTGCACGTTGTGCACATGTACCCTAAAACTTAAAGTATAATAATAATAAAATTTAAAAAAAGAAAGTAATTCAATTTATAATCACTGCAAATAAAATAAAATACCCAGGAATTAACCTTACTAAAGAAGTAAAAGATCTCTACAATGAAAACTATAAAAGATTGATGAAAGAAATGGAAGCAGACATAAAAAATAAAAATATATTCTATGTTAATGGATTATAAGAATCAATATTGTTAAAATTTCCATACTATCTAAAGCAGTCTACAGGTTCAATGAAATCTCTATCAAAATACTGATGACATTCTTCACAAAAATAGAAATAACTATCCTAAAATTTACATGGAATCACAAAAGATCCACAATAACCAAAGTTATTCTAAGTAAAATGAACAAAACTGGATGAATCATATTATCTGACTTCAAATTATACTACAGAACTATAGTAATCCAAACAGCATGGTACTGGCATAAAAACAGACACATAGAGCAATGGAACAGAATAGAGAACCTAGAAACAAATCCATATACCTACAGTGAACTCATCTTCAGCAAAATTGCCAAGAACATATATTGGGGAAAGGACAGTCTCTTCAATAAATGTTGAAGGGAAAACTGGATATCCATATGCAGGAGAATAAAACTAGACCCTTCCCTCTCACCATATACAAAAATCAAATCAAAATGGATTAAAGGACTACATGTAAGACCTCAAACAATGAAACTACTTAAAAAAAAATTGGGGAAACTCTCCAGGACACTGTACTAGGTAAAAATTTCTTGAGTAATACCCTATTTAGCAAAGGCAACCAAAGCAAAAATGGACAATTGGAATCACATTGAGTTAAAATGCACAGCAAAGGAAACAATCAACAAAGTTAAAAGACAACCCACAGAATGGAGTAAATATTTGCAAACTATCCATCTGACAAGGGATTAACAAGCAGAATATATATGGAGCTCAAACAACTCTATAGGAAAACATCTAATAATCCAATTAAAAATGGGCAAAAGATCTGAGTAGACATTTCTCAAAAGAAGACATACAAATGGTAAACAGGTATATGAAAAGGTGCTCAACATCATTGATCATCAGAAAAATGCAAATCAAAGCTATAATGAGACACCATCTCACCCCAGTTAAAAAGGCTCATATCCAAAAGACATTCAATAACAAATGCTGACAATGATATGCAGAAAAGGAAACCCTCATACACTGTTGATAAAAATGCAAATTAGTACAACCACCATGGAGAAGAGTTTGGAAGTTCCTCAGAAAACTAAAAACAGAGTTACCATATGATCCAGTAATCCCAGTGCTAGGTATGTACCCAAAAGAAAGGAAATCAGTGTATCAAACAGACACCTGCACTCCTTTGTTAGTTGCAGACCTGTTTACAATACCCAAGATTTGGAAGCAACCCTAGTGTCCATCAACAGATGAATGGATAAAGAAAATATGGTACGTATACACAATGGAGTACTATTCAGCCACAAAAAAATGAATGAGATTTGTCATTTGCAACAACATGAATGAAACTGGAGGTCATTATGTTAAGTGAAATAATCTAAGAAAGACAAACTTGGCACAGAAAGACATACTTGGCATGTTCTCATTTATTTGTGGGAGCCAAAAATTAAACAATTCATGGAGCTAGGGAGTAGAAAAATGGTTATCAGAGGTTGGGAAGGGTAGTGGTGGATGGTGGGGGTGGGCAGAGGGGGATGGTTAATGGGTACAAAAATAGAGTTAGAAAGAGTAAGATTTACTATTTGATAGCATAACAATGTGACTACAGTCAATAATACTTTATTATGCATTTTTAAATAACTAAAAGAGTATAATTGGATTGTTTGCAACACAAAGAAAGGACAAATGCTTAAGGGGATGGATACTCTATTTACCCTGGTGTGTTTATCATTTCATGCATGCCTGTATCAAAATGTGTCATGTGTCCCATAAATATACATACCTACTATGTACCCACAGAAATTAAAAATTAAAAAATGAAATAGTGAATGTTGTAAATGTGTTTTTGATTTTAAAAACCAACTTATTATTTGATGAGAGATTTTATTAAAGTGAAAAAAATATTGCAAATATTACTTAAAGGGAAGAGAAAGAGTAGGAAGCTGGGATTGAGAAGAAAGTCTTTTAAGCATGCTTCTTTCCCATATTATCTAGTGACAAGTCAAGAGGCGCATTTAGAATCAATGGAACAAGAAATTTATACATGAAAAAATTTTCCCACGTGGTTATGAAACACATCTATAGAGGACTTGAAATAGCATTATAGGTTTTGTAACTCAGAGTGAAGAGACGGAAGTGGGAGAAAATGTAAAGCAGCTAAATTTTGACCTTCGTAGTCGGTAGTCTGTGGACATTGACATATCAGCATGATATTAAAAAGTACATGAATAAGGCCAGGCACGGTGGCTCATGCCTATAATCCCAGCACTTTGGGAGGCCAAGGCGGGTGGATCACCTGAGGTCAGGAGTTCAAGACTAGCCTGGCCAACATCGCGAAACCCCGTCTCTATTAAAAATACAAAAGTTAGCCAGGTGTGGTGGTACACGTCTGTAATACCAGCTACCTGGGAGGCTGAGGCAGGAGAATCACTTGAATCCAGGAGGCAGAGGTTGTGGTGAGCTAGGATCATGCCATTGCACTCCAGCCTGGATGACAGAATGAGACTCTGTCTCAAAAAAAAAAAAAAAAAAAAAAAAAGCACATGAATAAATATCAGAAGACTTAAATCAGAAATGGTGGAAAGTGACAGTATCTAGGGACTGGTTGTAGAACTGACAGTATGAGAAAATAATTATAAAAGGATTATTATTGTTCATTTAATATTTCTTTTCTTTTCTTTTTCTTTTCTTTTTTTTTTTTTTTTTTTGAGATGGAATCTCACTCTGTCACCCAGGCTGGAGTGCAGTGGTATGATCTCGGCTCAGCCTCCCGGATTCAAGCAATTCTCCTGCCTCAGCCTCCCAAGTAGCTGGGATTACAGGCACGCGCCATGACGCCTGTCTAATTTTTGTATTTTTAGCAGATACGGAGACCAGGGTGGTCTCAAACACCTGACCTCAGGTGATCTGCCTGCCTCGGCCTCCCAAAGTGCTGAGATTACAGGATGAGCCACCATGCCCAGCCAATTTAATATATTTCTACTGTTTTTCTATTTATACATATTACTTGTTCAATAAAATTAATAAAATCATGTTCTGATCATAAACATATACTCATACCTGAATTGAGAGCCTGAATCGGTATGTGTCTTCATGATGTACCAACACCAAGGTCAGCTATTAATAATTTAACCTTCCCAAATGACTGGCTTGCTGTGTAAACACAGGTGTAGTGTGCTCCCAATAGGGAAATAATGGGTGGAACAATTCTTCACCCGATGCCTACGAGAATAGGCATGCTAAACCCAAAATACCTGTGACACGTAGCAAACACCTTTACACATTGTAAGGGGTTACTTAGTCTCAGAAATTATCATTATCTGTCACATACAATGTATATTTTTAATCTGAATTTCATTGGCTTCTTTTTTTTAATCTGCATTTCATCTCCCATCTCGACAAATTTAATAACATAGACTGTAAGTGGAGCTTAAATCTGTTTAATTGAATGTATGTAAAATAAGAAGAATTAAGTCAATACTGGAGATTCCTATTCCTCTTCCTCTCCTCTTCCTTCCTCTTTCTCTCAAATTTTGAAAAACATCAAAATACATCTCAATTTGAAAGAATTTCATTTCCTTTCTTTGTGGTGAAGATGGTAAAGAACCACCTTTTGAAACTCAGGGTTGTCCCCTAGAGAGCTGAGCTAGGAGCCCAGCATGGACTCCCATTGTGAATGGCAGGAAGGAGCAGACAGGGCAGTGCGTGGCACAGTTGTTGTCCAGTTCATGGTCTTCCAAGGGCTGGCACATGGCTTCTAAGCATTCTAGTTCTGATCTCTCCACAAGTGCATTCTTTTGCCTGCCTGTAAGACATGGCCACCGTAAAAGTGGCAATGCCATTTATCTCCCTTTATTTTAGCCTCCTGTGGCTGCTGTGACAAATGACCACAAACTTGATGGCTTCAAACAACAGAAGAGTATGCTCTCCCAGTTCTGGAGACTGGAAGTCTAAAATCAGCTTCACTGGGCCCAAATACAAGTGTCAGCAGGGCTGCACGCTCTTGGAGGTTCTGGGGAAGCATCTTGTATTAGTCCATTTTCATACTGCTATGAAGAAATACCTGAGACTGGGTAATTTATAAAGAAAAAGAGGTTTAATGAGCTCACAGTTCCACATGGCTGGGGAGGCCTCACAATCATGGTGGAAGGCAAAGGAGGAGCAAAGGCACATCTTACATGGCAGCAGGCAAGAGGGCATGTGCAGGGGAACTGCCTTTTATAAAACCATCAGGTCTCATGAGACTTATTCACTATCATGAGAATAGCACAAAAAACCCACCCCCATGATTCAATTACCTCCCACTGGGTCCCTCCCATGACATATGGGAATTATGGGAGCTACAATTCAAGATGAGATTTGGGTGAGGATACAGCCAAGCCATATCACATCTGTTCTTTGTCTCTTCCAGCCTCTGGGGGCTGCCAGTATTCCTGGGCTTGTGGCCACATCCCTCCCATCTCCACCTCTGTGGTCACTTTGCCATTTCCTCCTTCGTCTGTGTCAAATCTCCCTCTATTTCCTTCTTTTTTTTTTTTTTTATTATACTCTAAGTTTTAGGGTACATGTGCACATTGTGCAGGCTAGTTACATATGTATACATGTGCCATGCTGGTGCGCTGCACCCACTAATGTGTCATCTAGCATTAGGTATATCTCCCAATGCTATCCCTCCCCCCTCCCCCGACCCCACCACAGTCCCCAGAGTGTGATATTCCCCTTCCTGTGTCCATGTGATCTCATTGTTCAATTCCCACCTATGAGTGAGAATATGCGGTGTTTGGTTTTTTGTTCTTGCGATAGTTTACTGAGAATGATGGTTTCCAATTTCATCCATGTCCCTACAAAGGATATGAACTCATCATTTTTTATGGCTGCATAGTATTCCATGGTGTATATGTGCCACATTTTCTTAATCCAGTCTATCATTGTTGGACATTTGGGTTGGTTCCAAGTCTTTGCTATTGTGAATAGTGCCGCAATAAACATACGTGTGCATGTGTCTTTATAGCAGCATGATTTATAGTCCTTTGGGTATATACCCAGTAATGGGATGGCTGGGTCAAATGGTATTTCTAGTTCTAGATCCCTGAGGAATCGCCACACTGACTTCCACAATGGTTGAACTAGTTTACAGTCCCACCAACAGTGTAAAAGTGTTCCTATTTCTCCGCATCCTCTCCAGCACCTGTTGTTTCCTGACTTTTTAATGATTGCCATTCTAACTGGTGTGAGATGATATCTCATAGTGGTTTTGATTTGCATTTCTCTGATGGCCAGTGATGATGAGCATTTCTTCATGTGTTTTTTGGCTGCATAAATGTCTTCTTTTGAGAAGTGTCTGTTCATGTCCTTCGCCCACTTTTGACAAAATTCAACAACCCTTCATGCTAAAAACTCTCAATAAATTAGGTATTGATGGGACGTATTTCAAAATAATAAGAGCTATCTATGACAAACCCACAGCCAATATCATACTGAATGGGCAAAAACTGGAAGCATTCCCTTTGAAAACTGGCACAAGACAGGGATGCCCTCTCTCACCACTCCTATTCAACATAGTGTTGGAAGTTCTGGCCAGGGCAATCAGGCAGGAGAAGGAAATAAAGGGTATTCAATTAGGAAAAGAGGAAGTCAAATTGTCCCTGTTTGCAGACGACATGATTGTTTATCTAGAAAACCCCATCGTCTCAGCCCAAAATCTCCTTAAGCTGATAAGCAACTTCAGCAAAGTCTCAGGATACAAAATCAATGTACAAAAATCACAAGCATTCTTATTTCCTTCTTATAAGAACACATGTGATCACATTGAGGTTCCATTGGATAACTAAGGGTAATCCTCCATTTCAGATGCTTAATGTAGCCACAAAAGGCCCCCTTTTGGCCATAAAAGAAAACATTAACAGGATCCAAGGATTACAACTTGGACTTTTTTTTTGGTGGGGGGGGCGCATTTTTTAGCCTACCGCATCCTTCAAGGCCTTTCTCCCATTTCCAACCAACCCACCACTTTAGAAGGCATCCTCTGAGGCTGCAATGATCATACATTTACTGAATGAAAAAGAAAGACATGAAGAATCTGAGTAGGGGAAAAGCAAGAAAGAGACTGATTAAATGGGAGGTCCTGCAAATTATCACTTAACTGAACTTCTGGTGATTTTAATACCATACTTAAATGCACAGAGTCAATTTAGAATATCTGGGATTTGAGGATTATGAAGTAGCAATCTGAGAAAGTGCATGGATATACTGTTTCTGCAGAAGTGATCAATGGTTGTCCAAGCAGGGCTTAAGGTGAAGAGTTCAGAGAATTTGGAACCATTTCAATCTGGAATTTCATCTTCCTAGTTCCCCGACCTGCTTAGTTCATTTTACAGAATTGCTCTCCAGTTCTCCGATTTTATTATATCACAGCTTTCTGTGTTCCTGACCCTGACATGGTATGGTAACTCTGCTTAAACTCCTGAATTGCTGCCTTTGGTTCTGGACTGCCAGAGTCTTCACTAAACTAGCAACTAATATAGGAGCCAGCTGCTTGTAAAAATATGGTCCTTAAGGCCACCAAAATTAATTTGAAGCTGACCAGGAGGCACTCATCTATAGCAGGCAAGAGACTCCAGAGGAAACCAGGGTCCCAGCATAAGATTTACTCATTTTCATGGTTGCCTTTAAAATAGGATGCAAAATGCAGCAACACTTGAAAAGTGTCCATTTATAGATAAATATGTAGACCCATTTGCCTTAGCTTATAGTCTTAACACGAGTGTGAATAATAAGCATCTACTGCCATCCTTTAGAAAAATGGCTCTTTAGTGTAAGGACTCCATAAATAAGCGAGATGCACCTAGTAGTCCTTCTAGAATTAATGATGGGAAATCAAAAGAGAGACGGTTAAGATGGTCCCAGCGACCCACTTTTCAGTAGTTTGCAAGTTTGCAACTCACTATAGGGTTAGTAGCAATGTAACCTAATTATTTCTTCTATGAGAATCTGTCAGAACTCCCTCCTTTTGGAGGGAGAAGATTTGTTTCAATTTAAAGAATGACTCAAATTCACTGGTCATGTTCAAGGAATGTAGACCACATTCCTCAAGGATTTCACAAATCAAGGGGTCTTGCTCGTGGTGGTGGACACTGAAGGCTGCTTCCCCAAGAGCCAGTGCCTCTCTGCCTTCTTCTGACTCAGCAGAGCCTGACTCCTACAAATGGCGGGCTTTGCCAACCCCCTCCAGTGAAGGTAGCCATGCAATATGGTTACAGCAAATAAGCTGTCTCCTCGCAGCTCCGGGGAACCGAAAGGAACTACTCAGAAAACTATTTCCTCCATGACAGAGGAAGTGAGATGCACAAGCTAAGTTCTATGTGTCCATCCCTTCCTGTGCGTGTGGGCGAGTGAAGCATGAAGCCGTCACAACCATGTTGTCGACATACTGATGGCAGCAGAGAGATGGAGCCCACCTGGACTTTGACAATATCCACGAGCACTGAATCTGCCTTGGACTGGCTATGTCTAAACTTGTCTTGTGAAACAATACGGACACCTGCAATTGGAACAGTTTTAGTTGGCTGTTCTGTTACTCACAGACAAAAATATTTTGGCTGACAAACTTTAACACCTGGACCTTGGATAAACGCTCAAGCAGATCCCTGAGATGGCCCTGGGATGGACTGACTAGGTTTGCAAACGTTATATTAATACAACATATCCAAATGTTTATGTGCACACAATGCCCTTTCTTTCCTTCCAACGATAAGATGACTTACAGTTTTCATCAGATTCTGAAACTGGTTAGGACACTGGTGTAAACGGTATGAGAAGTTAGAGTTCAGTCTCAAATCCAGGCCCTGTGCGCTCCAGGCTCTCCCCATTGGCTACCATCCCTTTCCTTCTCCCTTAACTCTTGACCACACCTGGCCCCTCCACAACTTCCTGGCCAGACTGTCCTCTGTCCCCCGAGGGCTCATGGCTTTCCCTCTCAGTTTTCTTCCATCTCTACTGGATCTATCTTTTAAAGTCCCTAATTGCTCATTCTCCACGAAGCCTTCCAGGAATGTATCCTGTTCTCAATGGCCTCTCCCATGTTTTGGACCATCATAATGAATATCATCTGCAGCCTCTATTTATAGCACCCAGTCTCGATTAGTATTAACAAGTTAACTTTGGGCAGAAACATTAACAGTGGTAGCATCGGCAGCAGCCAAAACAACTCTGTGTTTCATGATCAGAGTAGACACCATCCCCAATCCAGTCAGTCCGCTGCAGATGGGTGTGAGCAGGCACGGAGGAGCCCAGGACTCACAGAGCAGATGCCCCAGGGCAAATGAACAATACCAGAACCCACTCAAGCCACCTGTGCTTCCCATGATGAAATGGGTTGGGCCATGGTCAGTGTTAGTAGATGGAATATAACAAGATTGAATTTGTGGAATGAATTTAATATAGGAGCCCTAACAGAGAGAAAATGCCCAAAAGATACGGAGCAAGCCATCTATTTCTACAAGACAAAAAAAAATTAGGAGGTATGCATTACTTTTTATGATACACACAAAAGCTATTAAATGACTGTTAAGCTATTTTGCAATTTTCATTGAGATTATGTGGGACTTTATGATAAGATAATCCAATATAGGTTAAAAATTGGGTAGCAGTACAATCTAAAATACAACTATGAATCTCACAAACATATAGAACAAAAGCAGGCATAAAAGTAGACATACCAGATGATTACATTTATGCCATAAATGCAAAGAATATAAAAACTCATAATACTACTCTGTGATGTCAGAAATGAGGTTGCCCTTGAGAGGATTAATGATAGGAAGGGCCTGGGGGGCTTTCCGGATGCTGGCTGCATTCTGCTTTTTTGGCCTGGATGCTGATTACAGAATCAAGTTTGGTTTTAAAATTCATCAAAATTCAACAATAGCTTACTCACATGTGTTTATATTTATATATTTAATATCTATATAATATTTATGTTAAATATATAATATATATCCTATATGTATATCCTTCTTCAATAAAATGTTTTGAAATTATTTGTTCAAGAATTTTAAAAAGATAAGGTGAGGGTTGGCAATGCGGTCACAGACATTAAACAGTGATGACATTTTAATTCCGTAAAAGTAATCTCTATGTTACGTTTCTACCCAAAAGACTGACGAGTCTTGTGTTCTGATAACCTGTGCTTGGCCTTAACCCAGAACCTCCATTCACTATGACTTTGAATTATTCAAGGCTTCTCATTGATGTACCACCTAAAAGTGTTCTAGTGTTTCCGGCATAAACCACTGTCCACCTGCTCTAATGTGAGATTCCATAAAAGCCAATTGTCAGGGATGTTTTCATGCAAATCCGATCCTGCTGGAGTTTCCGACCCCCACGTCAGCGATTGTGGCACCGGAGAAGGTCACGGTGTTTCCATCAGAATGCGGGAACTGTAGCTGCTAACAAAAGGCATACGCTGTGCATGGCCTATTGTAGACAGATACATATTTAATATTGAAAATAAAAAATGTAACGTTGAGCCTATTATTCCAAAGAGAAGAAATTTAGAAAAGAGCATGGACCAGCAAGGGAGATATGAATGACAACATTGAAAGGGACATATTCTCACTTGGTAAATCCCTTTGGAACTAAGATCACCTTGAACACTTTTAATTTGATTTCTAAAACATCAATTGTGCATAACTGGTGATAATTAGACTGTACTCCAGGACAAGATGCCTTGTTGTTCAGAGTGATTACCATGAGGCCCTTCCAGGTCTGCGTCATCAGGAGGGCACTCCACCATGCGCATGAGATTCTTCTCACAGGGGTGGCAAGGGGCCCCTGGGTACCAGGAACCACTTTCACAAAACGACTGAATCAAGTGAGTTCAGAATGGATTTTCTAATTAAGTAGAAAGCAGATACTGTACTCTGAGTTGCAATAAACCAGAATACAAGACTGGTAGTACTTGAAAAATACTATTTTTTTAAAAAAGCACATATTACAATTTCTAACTAAATCTACCAAAATGGAAGCAATGTTGGGTAGGAACGCACTCAACACTGTGTGCAAACATATGCGAAGTGTGACGGTTACGACTTGGATTCTCCACTGTTGAAGACTGACTGTCATCTTTCACTTTCACCGGTGGAAGCCACTCCTGCCTTGGCGAGGATCTCAGCCCTCTAGGTCAGCATTTCCACTATCTACACAACTCAACAGGCCTCCACCACACCCTGCCTTTGACTTTTATTTTTACTTAATGATAACACTACTGTGGAATTCTCCTTGCACATGCATTGTCTTTACGTGGACTCTAAGCTTCATGGGAAGTACTGGCATCTTCTCTTTCCACATTCTGTCTGGCACTTAGCATGGAGTTCTCAGCTCCTAGCCGGGATCATTCATGCTGGCTCTGTTGGCAGGCATTCTCTGTCGAGGTGACACTGCTCTGTACATTAGTGAATTTGACACTGCTCTGGAGCTAGTGGCAGGTTGAATGATTTGATACCTCCTCTGCCTGATGGAATTTTATGCCAAAACACAAGCCATTGCTGTATTGCAGGAGAGTGGATGCAGTCAGGCCTCGGTGCGGGAGCAGCGGTGCAACATTTGCTGTGCAGCCCTGTGGGAGAGGCCTAAACCTTGGACACCCCATCCCAGGGCAGCACAGCCCAGAGAAACAAACAGCACCCATGAAAGCCCAGCAGAACCAAAAGGTGAAGCAAGGCTCAGCTGCATGTGTATTGTGATGGAACAAGAAAAGCAAATTCCCCTCCAAAGCCTTCTCTGGAATTCAGCCATTCACTAGAGCTTCTCCAGGAGCAGTTGCCCCTGACAACTGGCCGTCAGCATGGAGGGAGAAGAGTTCCCAGCAACTGCATCCTCTGTTTACTGCAGAGGGGAGGCTGCTGTGGTTGCCTTGGCTGCAAAAGAACTGAATGTAGATGCTGGCAGGGTCAGCTGCTGTGCTGGAGGGAGGAGGCCTGCCGCCACTCCCTGTGCGTGGAGAAGACGCAGGGCTACTGCTTGCCAGGCCTGGAGTTGAGCTTGGAGGACAGGGTCCCAGGACCTGGTTCTCAACCCGCTTTGCTGCTGTGGACATTTCGGTGTAAGAAGCTCCGGGCAGCCATTTAATTCCACTTTTTTTTTTTTTTTTTTTGGTGAGACAGGCTCTTGCTCTGTTGCCAGGCTGGAGTGCAGTGGCGCGATCTCGGCTCACTGCAACCTCTGCCTCCTGGGTTCAAGCCATTCTCCTGCTCAGCCTCCTGAGTAGCTGAGATTACAGGCACCTGCCACCAAGCCCAGCTAATTTTTGTATTTTTAGTAGAGATGGGGTTTCACTGTGTTGGCCAGGCTGGTCTCGATCTCCTGACCTCGTGATCTGCCCACCTCGCCCTCCTAAAGTGCTGGGATTACAGGCATGAGCCACCACACCGGCCTTATTCCACTCTTGAGTGACACTCGTGACAGCCCTTGGACCGGGGTGACATGAAAGTTCACATGCACCTTGGAAGGTGGGAGTAACTGCAAACCCCTAGACACCACTGCTTTCAAGTCCCAAAGGGAGTGCCAGACAACCACAAGATCGAATCTGCAGTAATCATGTTCTTACACAAAGCACAATTCTGCTCAAAGAAAAGTAGAGGCAGAAACACATGCTCCACAGACCCTGAGGAAAACTTGACTTCCTCTATATTCGTTAGAAATATGTAGTGGTTAAAGTCCCCAGCTGTGTGAGATCATCAGCACCACCACCATAAAACAAAACAAGGATTGGCTTTGCAGTTCCTCCCCCAGCCCCTCTAAACCCTGGTCATCTGATTTCAGCAGGTGCAGGGATCTGTTTCCTGGGCATTGAAGCACTGGATTGAATCCTCAGCCTGATTGTTCCAGGCAACTGTGCTCCATTCACGAAGCTCGCTCACGCAGGAGACTGCAACGCTCTCTCTCCCGGAACTGCTCCTGAAGCCTCTTTGGAGTTACACAAGTTTTTAAGGCAATTTAGTATGTCTGGCACTTTTGTGGCCAGGTTACACTTTTCTCCCCCAACAGCTTTCCCATCTTTTTATCAAACTCATAGCTTAATAGAGATGAAATTCACATATCATAAAGTTCATCTTTTTAATGTATACAATTCAGTGTTTTTAAAATATATAATATTAACAGAGTCATACATGTATCACCACTATCAAATTCCAGAATAATTTCTTCATCCCCCTTCAAAGAAATTTCATACCTATTAGCAATCATTTCATTTTCTCCCTACCTCTACCTTACAGCAGCCACAAATCTATTTCCTATCTCTAGGGATCTGCCTATTCTGAAATCATACAATATGTGGCCTTTTATGCCAGCCTTCCTTCACTTAGTGTGAAGTTTCCAGGGTTAATTCATGTTACAGCATGGATCAGCTCTTCATTCCTTTTTACAGTGGAGGAGTATTCCATTGTATGGTTACATCACATTTATTTATTTATTTATTTATTTATTTATTTATTTATTTATTTATTTAGAGATGGAGTCTAGCTCTGTCACCCAGGCTGGAATGCAATGGCACGATCTCAACTCACTGCAACCTCCACCATCCCACGTTCAAGTGATTCTCCTGCCTCAGCCTCCCAAGTAGCTGGGACTACAGGCATGTGTTACCACTCCTGGCTAGTTTTTTTTTATTTTTAGTAGAGATGGGGTTTCAATGTGTTAGCCAGTATGGTCTCGGCTTCCTGACCTCATGATCCACCCTCCTTGGCCTCCCAAAGTGCTGGGATTATGGGTGTGAGCCACCGCGCCCCGCCACATCACATTTATTTATCCATTCTCTGGGAAATAGATATTTGGGTTGTTTTCACTTTTTTGGCTATTATCATTAATGCTGTTATGAACCTCATGTACTAGTTTCTATATGAACATATGTTTCCAGTTTTCGTGAGTCTATACCTAGGAGTAGAATTACTAGGTAATATGGTAACTCTGTGTTTAACTTTTAGGAGAACTACTGAACTATTTTCCACAGAGGCCACACAATTTATCTTTCTACTAGTAATGTAAGAAGGTTCCCATTTCTCTATATCCTGGGAATACTTACTATTTTCCATTTTTTGTTTGTGTTTGGTTCTTATAATCATCCTAGTGGATGTGAAGTGGTATTTCATTGTGATTTGATTTTCATTCACCCTGAGGCTGAATGATGTTGAGCATCTTTTCATATGCTTTTTGGCCATTTGTCTTTCTTTGGAGAAATGTCTCTTTAAATCCTTTGCCTATTTTTAAATTGAATTATTTGTTTTTTTGTTTGTTTGTTTTGAGAAGCAAGAGTTGTTGATATATTCTAGATACTAGACCTTTACTAGATACCTGATTTGCAAATATTTTCTCCCATTCGGTGGGTTGTCTTTTCACTTTCTTGATAGTGTTTTTGATACACAAAATGTTTTAAGTTTGATGAAGTCCAATTTATCTATTTTTTATTTGATTGCTTGCACTTTTGTTGTCACATGTAAGAAACCATTGCCTAATTCAAAGTCACAAAGATTTATCCCTATGTTTTCTTCTAAAAGTTTTATAGCTTTAGCTCTTATATTTTGGGTCTTTGGTCCACATTGAGTTCATCTTTGTATATGGTACGAGTTGGGGGTCCAACTGCACTCTTTTGCAGGTGAATATCTAGTTGTACCACCACCATTTGGTGGAAAGACTATTCTTTCCTCATTGAATGGTCTTGACTCCCTTGTCAAAAAATAATTGACTATAGATGTATGGGTTTATTTTTGAACTCTCAATTCTATTCCATTGATCCATATGTCTATACCTATCCTAGTACCATATTGTTTTGATTTCTGTAGCTTTACAGTAAGTTTTAAAATCAGGAGGTATAAGTCTTTGAATTGTTTTTTGAGATTGTTTTGACTATTATGAGTCCTTTGCATTTTCATATGAATTTCAGAATCAACTTGTAGTTTCTTTAAGAAAGAAAGAGGGATTTTGATAGAGATTTGGTTGAATCTGCACATCAGTTTAGGGAGTATTGTCATGTTAATGATATGAAGTCTTTCAATCAATTCATATAAGATATACTTCCATTTACTTAGGTCTTAATTTCTTTCCATTTTGTTTTGTAGTTTTAGTACACAAGTCTTATACTTCTTTATTTTGTTAAATTTATTCTTAAGTATCTTATTCCGTTTGAAACTATTTTAAGTGGAATCATTTTCTTAATTTTATTTTGGGATTGTTCATAGCTAGTGGCTAAAAATGCAAATGATTTTTGCATTTTGGTCTGAAATCTTCCTTCCTGCTGAACTCATTTATTATTATAATAGGTTTTTTTGTGGATTCCTTAAGATTTTCTATATACAACATTATGTCTTCTATGAATAGAGACAGGTTTACTTCTTTCTTTCCTATCTGGTTGTCCTTGTTTTTGTTTTTGTTTTTCCTACCTAATAGCCCTGGCTAGACCCTCCAATATAATGTTAAATAGCCATGCTGGGAATGAACATCCTTGTCTACCATCTCCTGGTCTTAGGCGGACTGATTTCAGTCTTCTGCTCTTCAGTATGATGCTAGCTATTGGGTTTTTCACAGATACTTGTCAAGTTGAAGATGTTTCTTCCTGTTCCTAGCTTGTTGAGTCTTTTGTCAGGAAATGGTTTTTGGATTTTGTCACATGCTTATTCTGTGTCTGTTCAGATGATCATGTGCTTTTTGCCCTTTATTCTATTAATGTAGGTATAATACATTGATTGATTTTCATACAAGCCAATTTGTTTTTCCTGGAATATATCCTATTTGGTCATGGTGTATAATCTTTCTACATGTAGTTAGATTCAGTTTGCTACTATTTTGTTGAAGAGTTTTATATCTATTTTCATAAGGGGTATTGGCATGTTGTTTCCTTGTGATATCTTTATCTAGTTTGGTATCAGGGTACAGATCGTCCTTTTCTCATTTAGATTTTGGGGTAATAGTTTAAGCCTGGATTATAATTTGCCCACATTTGTTGTACCTGTGGAAAAAGGTTTTATATTATAATATCTACTTTTTTTCATCTTAAGGTCTAATGCTTGTGTATGTATTTACTGAGAATTAAAACTTTTTTGCCTGCACAAATAGGCATCTACTATGATCATGAGAACGGATAAAACAGTTACATACTGTTTTATCTATGGCCACAATGTTTTTCTATGATAACTCCTATATTATCATTATTATTTTTTAGTTGGAGTCTTGCTCTGTTGCCCAGGCTGGAGTGCAATGGCGCAATCATGGCTCACTGCAACCTCTGCCTCCCAGGTTCAAGCGATTCTCCTGTCTCAGCCTCCTGAGTAGCTGGGATTACAGGCACTTGCCACCACGCCTGGCTAATTTTTGTATTTTTAGTAGAGACGAGGTTTCACCCTGTTGGCCAGGATGGTCTCGAACTCCTGATGTCAGGCGATCTACCCGCCTCAGTCCCCCAAAGTACTGGGATTACAGGCATAAGCCACCATGTCCAGCTCTATATTATTATTTTATAGGCAAAGGCTTTCTTCTCTCCCTAATCCTACCACTCTCTGGCTACTAAATTCCTACCATTACTCCATTAAGCCCACTTTACGTACTACCTTCTCCATGAACTTTCTTTTGAAAGATTTCTCTTTCTCCTCTCAACTCCAATAGCACTTCTCTTTGGCTTACTCAATAGTGCATGTATATATCTGTATTTGTTGTAGGTTTCTTCTGTGGATTTTAGTGTCTTTTCTTTCCTGAGAGATTTATGACACTGGTTTATACTTTATGTAATATTCAGTAGTACCTATTTAGCACCTTCTCCTTAGTTCACACTCAACATATGTTGTTTTAATAATTTTCTTAATTCACCCTTGATATAATGTCCAGGAATTCTATGAAATATATAAAATCATTATATTTATGCCACTGTCTTTAAGTTGATCAAGCATGAATAAGTGATTGTATAAGTAATTTTAATATATGCCAAGCATTTCCACGTAGTAAACAACTTTGTGAACAAATCCAAAACATATAAAATGAATTTTTAAAATTGAAACCATATTATATCATATGGCATAGTGAGAATTAGAACTTGGGAAAAATAAATTATGTAATAGGTAGTTACTTAGAAAAAAATTGCAAGGTAAAATTATGCTCTTTCTCTCTGACAGCGACTTGCTTTTCCAAGAATGAATACAGTACCTGGTGTCAGAAGTATGACCGAGGTGACGATCAAGGAGCAGATGACCAGAATGACAAGCAGTGCAATTGCTATTCCTTTCCAATTCCTCTGCGGAGGGTTACTCCCCACCAGCTCCTAAAAACAGCAACAACAAAGAAAACCCCAGTGAGTGAAATAAGGAAATAAAATAAGCCAAATAGACATATTTCATTTAAATCAAGAACCAAGATACAAAACAGTGAAAGAGGCATCTTCCCATTCTTGAAGCTACTATTAGTTCCCTTTTGTACCCTTCTGCACCCTTCTGCCTTCAGTGGCCCAAAGCCTTCGGCTGTCATTTTCCTGTACTATGGCCAAATGTTACCTCAAGAAAGAATCTGATATTATTATGTTTGCAGCTTTTGTGCAAACCTAATGCTCCTCCTCCCAATAAACCAGACTCTGCAGTATAGGGTCATCTTGGAGCTTTCCTTCTTCACAGCTAAATTCCTTACCCTCATTGAATCCAACCCAACTAGGATTAAACTTTTCAGCTCCAAGTCCTCTGTCATCATTCCCTTTTTTTTTTTTTACATCCATGTGATCAACTTCTATTTCAGGGTACCAAATTTAAATATTTATTTAGCACATGCTATGTGCCAATTTTCACCAACTTCTGCCCATCGCACTGCCTTCAGGCTTTTCTTTTTTCCATAGCTCCTCATTCAAGGTTTCAAGATTTTCCTGGTCTCTCTTCACTGGGCAACTCACCTATCCTTATTCTAGGTTTCAGTCCCTTCCAGAGAACCCTCTTGCACTGCAGCAAGAGTGGCAGGTGAGAGAGGGACTCTGGAGACACTGCTAAAGGGTGCTAAAGACTACATAAGTCTAGGAAATTCATCACGCGTACTGGCTGCTGAGACCAAGTTTTCAGTTCCGTGCAAATTAGAGGAATCATATAACTTTTAGTCGAAACTGTGATTCTTTGAGAGACAAAAAGGATCATATGAATGCTTGATAATAAGTAATAAATATAATAGTTACACATGGATTATTATTAATTATACAGGAACAAATAAGGACAGATGGTCACACTGCAAAGGGACCACTTCTGTCCATGTATAGTCTGGAGAATACACTCTTATAGTGCACATAACTGCAACTTAGTAACCAAGCCAAAATGAGGTAGAATGAAGACGGCCTTAAAAAGTAGACAATGCAATACATAAATATATTTTCATCAAAGATTAAAAGTTCTTTAGAATGTGTCAAATTGCTACAAACTAAAATAGACAATATGCAATATCATCCAAAATATTTAATATTGGCTATATTTGTTATTAAATTAAGAAAAATTCATGGGGCCATTATAGGCTTAGTAGGAAAGAGTTCTACAGTGGTTTAGAATTTCTACAAGTCTTCATATTTGCCATCTATAACTTAATTCATCTACAGAGAGTAGCTTTTTAGAACTTAAAAAGTAAGACTATCCGTGAGCAACAAAACAGCTACAGAAAGTTACACTGATTCAATCTCATTTCCTATTAGGTAGTATTTTCTTTGGGAGAAAATCACTGGCCAGGGCCAAGGATAAGTAATTAGATCTTGCTAATTCAGCAGCTTTTCATTTCACCTGAATTCAGAAAGAAAATAAGCCCTTTTCATCAAGTCTGTGACTAGCAGGAATCTTTCAGTGGTACTATTCATACAAGCAACCTAGTGCACGCAATTTCTCACAGCCCAGTTGACATTCCTCAAACGCTGTTAAGATGAAATTCCAAGGAAACCATTAAAAACAGAACATCAAGACCAAATCTTATTCATGAACCAGAATGATAAAATTAATGTTATCTTCATTAGCTCAAATAATTGATATCTTTTGAGTATTGTTTCTATTTCATTTTTAATTATTTTTATTTTTTTCCAGCCCAGGCTGGAGTACAGTGGTGCGATCTCGGCTCACTGCAAGCTCTGCCTCCCAGGTTCACGCCATTCTCCTGCCTCAGCCTCCAGAGTAGCTGGGACCACAGGCGCCCACAATCACACCTGGCTAATTTTTTTTTTTTTTGTCTATTTAGTAGAGACAGGGTTTCACCATGTTAGCCAGAATGGTCTTAATCTCCTGACCTTGCGATCCGCCCGCCTCGGCCTCCCAAAGTGCTGGGATTACAGGCGTGAGCCACCGCGCCTGGCCAAGCCTTTTTCATATTGTTTTCTATTTCTGGTCTATATGCACATTTAATTTTTAAATGGGTACAACCACAGCATAGATGCAGTTTTCAAGTTAGAATGCAAGCTAATATGTGCTTCTTTGAACATCTAATTTGGCTCCCCACATTCAGACTTCCTCCTAACTTGCAGGAGTTGAACTGTTGAAAATTCGAGTAGGATTGATTCTGCTTTCCATGAAAGTCAAGAGAAGTCACTAGGTTGTCCCCCGGCACACTGAGTGTCAGTAGTGCATTTCTCAGTAGAATGAGACATTTTTTGCCTAGCATGGTGAAAGTGAGGCTATAACATATTCCCTATTCCGTTACCACATGCATACTTTGGAGATCCATTAAAATGGAAAAGCATGTTCACAATTAACCATTTGCTCTAAGAAGAATAAGTTTTCTACCCAGTGATCCACATCCATCCATCCATCCACATTCGTCGACGTATCCATCCATCCATTCACCCATCCATCCACTCATCCATCCATCCATCTATTCATCCACATCCATCCATCCATCCACATTCATCGACATATCCATCCATCCATTCACCCATCCATCCACTCATCCATCCATCCATCTATTCATCCACATCCGTCCATCCATTCACTCATCCATCCATCCATCCATCCATCCATCCATCCATGTATCTGTCAATCCACATCCATCCATCCAACACATGTTTATCTAGGGCTTACTATGCCAGGTTAGGTTTTGAGAACCTTGAATACAAGAATGAATAAAACAGATACTGACACTGTTATCAACAGAAGTTGAATGGCTTTCATTTTTTTTTTCATTTTTTTTCTTGTAATCTAGTGCAGGAATGGGGGAAGGGACAAACAATAAGCAGATCAGCTCACTAAGAGAAGAGAAAAGCAGGACAATGGAGCTCTGGGAGCTGTTTGCATCAGAGAGATCTCTAGCAAAGTGACATCTGAATAGAACTGAAGGAATCTGCAGAGCTGACATCCGAGAAGACAATCCAGACAGAGGGAGTGGCAGGTGCCTGGCCTGTGAGACAGCATAGGCTTCAGTGGAGACAGCAAGGAGGCAGTGGCCAGAGTGGGAGAGCAAGGTGACTGTTCTGAGGAGTGGGGGCAGTAAGGGGCCAGGGAGTGCAGAGCCTGAGGGCCAGGTGCAGGCTTCGGCTTACCTCTGAGTGAAAGGGGTGTGAGCACAGCAGTGTGTAAATAAGGCTCCCACTAAGGAAGGTGGCCAGGGGAGCTGCTTAGAGGAAACACTTGCAGAAACCAGGGTGGGAACAGGAGCGGCCAACAAGGCACAGGGGTAATGGAGGTCTGTCCTGGGTGGCAGTGGTGGGTATGCTGGGAAGTAGCTGAATTCTGGGCATACAATAGAAAGATATTAGCCAACAGTGTTATTCTGAGAAGGTCATACAGACCTAGGTGTCGGGATATATTTATGTATCCCTTTTGCATGTAAAGCCCTCTCTGGGGCTCTAGCCTTCTGTTTTCAAGAAAAAAACACCCTTTGCCCCTGTGACATGGCAAGTCTGTCCTCTTTCTACCTCTAGGCCAAATCTAAGTTCTACCCTACTCCGCTCATACCCTATTGTTCCTGGAGCAAGTCATTCCCTTCCATGTCCCCTTTCCTCAACACGCCCTACAACTTTTCTGTTTCCTGGAATTTCCCTTCATCTTCATTTTGCCAGGCAAATCCCTTTGCATTCTTTACTTATCAGCTAAAATATCACCTCTGACATCGTAGGAAGTCTTGCCTGGTTTCACCGGCATTATTCTTTCCCCCTGGACACAATCACAACACTCTGTGAGTGCCTTTCTGTAACACTGTTCCACTATTAATTTATCTCTTTAATATATATTATCTTAGTATGAGTATTAATATATTATCATAATGCATGTGTCATTACCAGGGGGGCAAACTACTTAAGGACACAGTTACCTTACTGTGTTCAACGTCTCAATGTCTCGTACAAAACTTGGGACAACATAGTGCACAGAGACTGTGTTGAGTGGATGAATGGATGGATAAATGCCTTTAGAAGTAACAGAAAGGCAATCATTGATGGATGCAGAAAGCAAAGGGTTAATGCAAGCCCAGTTGCGTGAATGAGGCCATAAGCAGCAATGGATTCTGCAAGATGTAATGCAAACTGACACGCATAGTTGGCAATCCTGTCCTTTGCGACATCACTGCTGCTCATACTTATTTTTAACTCAGGCAAAAATAAAACAAACAACGAACTAAAACCAAGCTATACCTTTTCTGAGTCGTTTGGTCATTTTAAACATAAAATTCACCTTTATCCAATGTTATTATCTTAGTAACTTGTGATTACAGCTTGACTTTTGTGTGTGCCAATTTTGTATCTCGAGTGCAAGAAACCCAGATTAAGATAATAATTGTAGACACCACAATGTCTATGAACTGATTCAAGGAGGACCCTAATGCAGGCCGCTTTAATTTTCTCCCCAGCTACAGCTGATAGAGCCCACGCCTCTCTGTCAGGTTATGCATCCCTGTTCTCTCCTCTCTGTTAAAATCTGACACGTCTCATCTTGGCCTGAGCTTCGTATCTCTCATGGATTTGCCTTGCTTGCTACCTTTATCAGACTTTGTGCCTTATGAAGAGGAGAAGATTCAAATGAGAACTCTAAGTTGGAGACGATTTTTGAACGCTGCAAGGAGGAAAGGAGTGGGACACAAAAGGAACTGATTGCATAGGTGTTATCAGGATTAAATGTAAATGTATTTGAAAGCACACTATAATTTATAAAAATTATAGAAACACAAGATACTAATTTACTATTTATTGCTATCACCACCAAGTAATGTTTTAGCAACATATGATATGTAATAGAGAAAGAACTCGAAAGTGCATTGCATTTCCTACTCTTTATAAAGAAAGGGAAGGGGCTAGAGTGGTCACATTCCACTTGTGATCCTCCAACTTCTTGTTGCATCCTGAGCTTTAATGAGGGGAAATCAGAAATTTAATTTGTTTTGGGTCCTCAAAGCAGAGTGATCCAGGTTATTGGATCCATAATTGTGACTCCACAGTAAAGTGATGCATACCTCAAGCAGCCAATAACCACTGTGAATGTTCCGGGTACACATCCCATGACGTGTTTGTTTCATGTAATGTAAGTCTGGCCTTACGCAGCTAAAGGGACAGAAGGAGTCACCTCCAGCAGAAGTGAGATTGGAGGATGATTTCACGATCAACCAAAGCCTCCTCCTAAAGACACACCCCTGCAGGAGAAGACTGGAGCAATCGGGGGCAGCACAGCAGGGACCCCGGGGACAGCTGAGGTCCAGCCTTGCCAGCCACATTGGGGACAGCTGGCAATTGTGCATTCTATGTCCCTTAGCTAAAGGCAGAGGGGTCAACCAGATGGCCTTCTCACTAGGGAAGGAGGAAGTGAAGTAAATTATTTCTCTCATAACAATCTATCTTTAAACCAATCAATCTCTTCTTCTATCAGGCAGCCTGCAGAAGTATATTAAGACTAGAAGACAATGTCTCGCTCCCAAAATGGAAAGTGGCCTTTTCTACGATATAACTATACCCATGGTTAGGTAATTGATAGCTTTAAATAATTCCAGAGGATACATATAAATCAGCAGCTACTTGGGATTCACAATGCTGGCTGGAGGTGGAAACGCAAGCCAGTCTTGTTGGAGCAAGAGGACCCTAACTCATCGTCCAATAAAGCATTGCATGTACTTAGCAGGGGAAGCTTTCCCACTCCCCGAGATGCTCCTTTCCTTGTGACTGTCACTTTGTTTCTTGTGAGTACTTCCGGGGTGCTTTTGCTAGTAGTGGGGGTGAGGGAGGGATAATGGATATGGCCGCAAGGTATGAATTAATGCCGCCTCCATGTGAATAACTGCAGAGACTGCAGGCGTGGGCAGCTGAGCAGCCCTTTCAGAAAGACTGAAGCAACCAATGCGGGAATGGGATGTGGTGGTGGTGGAAGACGATGTCATCCCACCTTCCCCAACACCTCCGTTTATTTCATTAATTAGAAGTTAATTTTGGTTAACCTGCCCAACTTTCGAGGACTGGCAATTAATTATACATCATCATCATCATCTTAGTGGAAGCAGAGGAGCCAATGTTTCCGGTACATCCAGACACAAACCTGCGGGTGCCCCTCTTCCCCTGGGCAGTGTCCACCACGTCCTCCATGTGGAGAAGGGACGTCTCACTGCTCAGGCTCTCCCAGGGCTCTCCCACACCCTTTCCGTATGCGCCTCATGGACTCACCTGGGATCCACCCTACTTTTCTCAAATACATTTGGGAACTTCTGAAGTTGCCTATTTTACATAACATGACTTGATGTTGCTGCCTGAGGGCACAGCAGTTTGAAATCCTACCCACCACCCTTGCTAAAGCAGCTGTCAGCCCTCTACTTGAAGGTCAGCAAAACTGTGTTTTCAGAATTAACTTCTGCCCTATCAATCCTTCTAGAAAACAAACAGGCAAATTATTGATGCAATAGCTATCTGTTAACATTTCTTCTTGATTATTTTTACCTGCAAATTCCAACATCAGGTTCAAATTATTTTAGGCTCTTCAGTTTAATTGACTGGGTCTGATAGATTCTTTTATGAAATTAGTTCAAAATGTAAGTTAGTCTTGCTTTCTGGGCTCAGTCTACTTTGGTTCTATTTTGATATAATGTTTTAAAGGTATCAAGTTGTTCTATATATTTCCAAAAGCAGCAGCACTGTGACCTGATCATCCACAGAAAAAAATGTCACAACACATCAGGCCCAAGAGAAATCCCTTTCAGTGAAAAGATGGCTATGAAGTAAGCTGCAGAATTTAAAATTGAGCATTTGTATCTTTCACCTTGCTGTGTATGATAACAGCGTCTTAAAGCATGTTTAGATAATGGCTGTTTTTGCATAGACTCTCTGAAACCCACAGGCGATTTTGAGATGAGTTTTCTATACTGGGTAGATTTTTGGCACGCTCAACACATCACTTCTCAATGTCAAAAATCCCTGCAGGCACTCAATAAATATTAAGTAACTAACAAACTAGCCTCAAAGGCAAGAACCACCAGCAATTGAATGGCAGAGACTAAAGTAATTGGAGCTCACTTTTTAAAAAGGGCTTGCCACCCTGGTACAATGTTCCAGCACGGTACAGAGGCATTGTGAAGAGCATCCCAGTCAGAATGATCGGAGCTGCCCTCCTCCTCCACCCATGGGCCCTGGAAGCCACATTTCTAGTCTGTGAGCCCCCTCCTCTCCTCCTCAGCCAGAGACAATTAATTGGCCTAACCTAGGTCAAAAGTCTGCTCCAGGATTTGTGGTGTGAGATTAAAATATTCCAAGTCGTTCTTGGCTGCTGTCACAAACCATGAGAACGGAAGGTGGGGAGGGAAGTTAAGTGCCTGCTGCCATATGGTGTAAAGATTCCAAAGGAAATAAAGCAGATTTACAGAATGAGAGGAATGAAGTAGAGAGGTTCAGAACCAAAGAGAATGAAAAGCAAAGAGACAAAGGCAAAAAGGTAAGAAGCTCAAAGAGACAGAATGAGCTCCTCTTGGCTTTCCATTTTTGATGTACTTTTCCTCCTGAGGCCTGGATGCATTTTTCCCTTGGATTTAATAATGCACTCCTGTTACTTTAGGAGATATTTCTTTTTTTCTTTTCTTTTTTTTTTTTTTTTTTTTTTTTTTTTGAGTTGGAGTCTCACTCTGTCACCCAGGCTGGAGTGCAGTGGTGCTATCTCGACTCACTGCAAGCTCCGCCTCCTGGGTTCACGCCGTTCTCCTGACTCAGCCTCCTGAGTAGCTGGGACTACAGGCTCCCGCCACCACGCCCGGCTAATTTTTTTGTATTTTTTTAGTCGAGACGGGGTTTCACCGTGTCAGCCAGGATGGTCTCGATCTCCTGACCTTGTGATCCACCCTCCTTGGCCTCCCAAAGTTCTGGGATTACAGGCATTTGCCACAGTGCCCAGCCTTTAGGAGATATTTCATTTTCCATTTTACTTAAACTAATTTGAGTGGGTTTCTGAAACTCAAAAACAAAAGCCGAATGTACAGCAAGCATTGATGCTTCATCCAGCGCCTGCTCCCTGGTTCCTGAGGGGTATGCTCCTGTGTCTGCGGCATATTCTAGCTACACTTACACTCGAAGACTAGGTGGAAATTCCAACAACACTCTTGGTTTACAATTTAATTTAGTTTTATTTTATTTTTATGTTATTTTTTCAGATGGAGTCTCACTGTCATCCAGGCTGGAGTGCAGTGGCGTGATCTTGGCTCACTACAATCTCTGCCTCCTGGGTTCAAACATTTCTCCCTGCCTCAGCCTCCCAAGTAACACGGATTACAGGCGTCCACCACCGTGTCCAGCTAATTTTTGTATTTTTAGCAGAGACTGGGTTTCGCCATGTTGGCCAGGCTGATCTTGAACTCCTGGACTCAAGGGATCCGCCCACCTCAGCCTCTCAAAGTGCTGGAATTACAGGCATGAACCACCACACCTGGCCTTTGGTTTACAATTTTAAAATAACTAATTTGCTAATTTGATGTATACATTTTCTTTGAAAAGGCTGGTGATTCTACTAGCAGGTAGAGTTATTTTCCCAGGGAAACTGAGTGGAATTTTGCAATTACCTTAACAGATTTTCAAGAATCAAATTTGTCATCATCCACCAGCCTTGTAGTATGGGCCCCTCTGTGACAGGAGGAAGCTAATTTAAGGGGAAGCAAATGCCAGCCAAGACAGTTGGCACGGCAGAATGTTCACGGGTCTCAAAGAGGATGGGCTCTTCCTGAGGTCTTCACTATTTTAGGTATCAAATTACTCAAAAAGAAAGCTGTAGTATTTTTAAACTATAGCTGGCCTAGAATGGAATCTATTCATTAGATCCATGTTAAACAGCTATTAGCCTAGTATCAGAATTTTCACATAATCCAGTATAATGGAAAAACAAATAGCATCAGAGAAATGATTGGCTGCAGAGAGGCAATTGATGAGTAATCTTACTATCTTTATTCACCTGTAACCTTAGTCTCCTTTGTCAGGGAAGCTAACATAGTCACAGGTACCAGGGAATGGGATACGGACATCTTCATGGGGTGTCATTGGTCTGTCTACCAGAGTGGTGTATTCCATGTAACAGAATGCCATATAGCCATGCAAATCACAACCTCTGACTACATGCACAGCATGAATGAACCTCACAAATATAATTTTAAGTGACATAGATCAGACAGTAAAGAATATAAGATGAATATTTCTTTTTGTAAAAAGTTCCACAGTGGGCAAACTACACTAAGTGAGTGGTTCACACGTAAGTTCATGAAGACAAGCCAGAAAGACATTTCCATGAAATCCAGGATGCTGCATAACTCAACGGGGAGAGAGAAGTTGCCACTGGAAAGAGGAAGTCAAGGTACAGGAGCTGCGGGGTACTGGCTGTCCTCTGTTTCTAGACCTGAATGGGCTATTTCACATTAGGAAATTCAGGTTACACTCACCCATTAAGCTGTGAGTTTACATGTTCCATAGTTTTTGCATTATAATATTTCACAATAGCAATGGTTAACCACGTGTACTGGATACCAATGTTGTGACAGTGAGCATTGGCCTAACGTGCTGAACTGAAGAGACATCCCTACACTTGCACGCGGTGGGAGAGACCTCAGGCAAACCCAGTGACACTGTGAGGTGGGGCAGTGGGCAGGAATTCCATGTGTCAAGAGGGCGTATAATGATGGGGCATGTGCTGATTTTTACTGAGGTGTTGGGGCAAGCAAGGGTGCTCTGAGGAAGAGAATTTGAGCTGAGAGTTGAAGAGTATACAGGAAGGAGGTGGTGACCAGCTGGGGCAGGTTTCCCATGCAATGGAGCGGTTGTAACCTGGTGCATGTGTGGCTACATGTCAGGAGTGAGGCGTGAAGCATCCGAGATGAAGCTGGACAGACAGGCACAAAGAAAACCAGGCCCAGCCTCGTGGACCGTGCCACTGGTCTTGCCTTTTATCCAAAACACAATAGGAAGCCAGGGGAGGATTCTGTAAGCCACCTCAAATAAGTTCCAGAAGAAGTCAGATATTAATTATTCAGTTCATCTACTGACATCAGAAAAGTGCCTAGAGAAAGGTCAGGATTGGTTCCTTCTCCCACTGTGCCTTAAAATATGTCAAATATCAGGCCAATGTGGAATTGAGCACCGTAAAAAGTAAGATATTCACACAGCTACTATAAAAAATATTGGGAGAAAATAAACGACACATACATGACTGCAGGATCTCCCATTACACTGCTTCCTTCTATTGTCTAAATGTATTTTCTTCCTAATATTTATTCACTGTGAAAAGCTCTGACATAAATTTCTTTTATGTATCATGGACCATTTACTATAAGTAGAAGGTAGCAACAAATTACAAAATCAATGGTGCACATATCTCAGGATGGTAAAACAGCCTTCTAATCATTGTATTTCCATATTCAGGAGGACAGCAAATGATGATAGGATGGCAAGAACAAGTTTTAAATAACATTTAGCAGCTGACACGTGTCCGTCAATAATCATCCAGGAGCCTGGGGGGTGCACATCCCCGTCTCTGTTTCACTGGCTCATTTACTCAGTCTTCATTATTGGTGGCTCTTCTCTTTCCACAAAGGTGATAAAAGCCAACACAGATCATAATTAACACAAGGACTTAGGGGTAGATGGAGGAAAATGCAGGACTCTGCATGGTTCCAACCTCACAGAAGATGGCAAAGAGGATCCGATGAGGTCATCTCCACTAGTGAAACTGGTGGGAAAGCGTTGGCCCAGTGCAGCGTGTGGCAGCAACTCACAGGAACGTGCAATGAATTTGGTGTGATCTCTCAGTACCCCCTCCCATTCCTCCCTCTTTCTTTCTCTCTCGTCCTCCTTCTCCTTGTTCTCTCTCTGTCTCTCTGTCCCTGTTGCTCTTTCAATGTCCCTCTGCCACTCTCTCTCACACAAACATAATTAATGCCTAGTAATCCACAATTTAAATGAAATTCTCAGCCAGGAATGGTGGCTCATGCCTGTAATTCCAGCACTTTGGGAGGCTGAGACAGGTGGATCACCTGAGGTCAGGAGTTCAACACCAGCCTGGCCAACATGGTGAAACACTATCTCTACTAAAAATACAAAAAGTAATGGGGCATAAGGGCGTGTGCCTGTAATCCCAGCTACTTGGGAGGCTGAGGCAGGAGAATTGCTTGAGAACCTGGGAGGCAGAGGTTGCAGTGAGCCGAGATTGCACCACTGCACTTTAGCCTGGGTGACCAGAGCGAGACTCCATCTCAAAAAATAAAAATAAAAATAGAATAAAATAAATTCTCTCTGCTTGGGAACAGCCATGAACATAAAAGCAACAACAACAAACAAGAAATGTCTGAGTATGAGCAGGCCCTGATCAAAAACGTGGAAGAGACTCAACTGTCTAGAGAGTCATTAATTCAGTCATTTCTGTGATGGGTTATTTTGCTGATCAGAAGATAAGAGCACTTTGATTGGAAAATGCTGATGATCCCAGTTGCACTCCCACAGCTCAGGTGAGCAGCTCAGAAACAAAGGTGGGAGAAGAGAAGGAATATGAAGACAAGAATTTACCATGATGGACTGGGAGAAAAATGGAAGAGCACGTCAGATGCAGGAGAGTGGGAAGCAGATCCCAACCCCAAAGCCAGCAGCAAGCAGAGAGGGAAGGGTGAAGCGGCGGCTGAAGAGTCCAGCAGTCTGGACCTTCAGGGTGAAAGCCAGCAGCCACATGCTTCTAAAGGCCCTGCAGGCACGATATCTGTGTGGAAACTATAACTCTGCAGTGTCACAAAAGGAGAAAATACGGGCTTAGGGTGGCTTTTTGTTTGTTTTACAGCAGCATGGTACATTTCCAAATAATTTCTACCTGAAACTATAGAAACATAGTCTGCACTTTAAGTAGCGAAACTTGGGTTTTCATGAAGTCGCACATACCAGGAACAAGAGGGCTAAGTTTCTATCTTAAACAAAATTCAGACTGTTAATGTTTTATTTTAATTGTATCAGTCCAGGTTAAACATTATTTTATGACCCAATGTCTTTAAATTGTTACAGGTTTAAAAAGCCTGAAGACGCCTTTATTGTTCTTATAGGTAAAATGGATTTTAAAGAAATAACCACAGTTTAAGATAGACTGAGACCTGAGGCATGTGTTTTAGTCACAACATGTACAACATGAAAGGAAAGACAGAAATCTTTGTTTTACTTCAGACATTGTGTAACAGAGGAAAAGAACGTGTAGGCCTAAAGGAAAGCAAACAGTGATGATTTTGTTGGAAAGTTGGACCTGTAAGGAAACGCGAAGGTAATCAGTGTACTTATCTGGAGAAAAGTGGGCCAGGCCAGAGCTTAATTACTGCCTCCAGATATAATGCATTTGTATAATCCAAAGGATTTTGGACAAAAGAAATAATAATTATCTAGTTCCTAGGACAGAAGGAGAAGACTAATTGACATTATGAGGAGTGTTTGAAATAGCTTCATGTATTTCTCAAAATGATGGTACAAAAATAGCCTTAGAACCCCCGGGTGTGCACGTCAAATGCAGATTCCTGGACCCTCTGAACTGGAGTCTCTGGGGACAGGGTGGGAGAACGTTTGTGTTTCACAATGTGCCCAGTACACGCTTATAAACAATGAAGTATGAGGCCGGGCGAGGGGGCTCATGCCTGTAATCACAGCACTTCGGGAGGCTGAGGCGGCCGGATCACCTGAGGTCAGGAGTTCAAGACCAGCCTGGCCAATAGGTTGAAACCCCATCTCTACTAAAAAAACAAAAACAAAAAAAATGCAAAAATTAGTCAGGCACGGTGGCATGCACCTGTAGTCCCTGTCTCAGCTACTTGGGAGGCTGAGACAGGAGAATTGCTTGAACCTGGGAGGCAGAGGTTGCAGTGGGCTGAGATTGTGCCACTGCACTCCAGCCTGGGCAACAGAGTGAGACTCTGTCTCAAAAAAAAAAAAAAAAAAAAAAAAAAACTTGCAGTCTAGTATGAGAGCCATTACCTACAGGAACTTGTTATATCTGTAACCTGGATAAGTCAGTTTGGTAAAGCCCCTTGCAACTGGTTTAAGAATGGAAGGCTCAAGAGTTTGTGATGGCAATTTTCCAAATGCAAAATTCTGTCCATTAGCACATCATAGACCAGTTTAGAAACATGCCCATTTAGAAACAAGATTCTGATTGGCTGTCTTACAGCCCTTGACTGGACTTATTTAACTACCATATGAGTACACATTATATGAGGGCAGCTTTTCCTAAGTACAATTTTTCTTTTACCAAGTCAAAAGCAACATGGGTGACCAGTGACATCATTATCGAACAGAACTCATGACCTGTGATGCCCACTTCCGTGTCTTGAATGTTTCAAAAAAACTCAAAATTTGAAACCCACGCTCAGCATGCATAAGCTTTGTGGCTAGCACCATAATGAATAAATAAACTGGTAAAAACAATAATGACAATAACCAAACCCAATGCATTATAAAATCCAGTGCAGGTGTTGAAAGCCTGTTCATCTACGTGTGACAGAACACACGGACAAGAGCAGTTTCGGTCCCGATGGAGAAGGGGGTGTGTGTTTCCCCCCGAAAACCCCTAGATCATTGTTAAGAGAAAAGAATCTCTCTATTAAAAGGCTATCTCATTGTCCCACACTGGCCTCTTTTTGTCCAAAATGTTCAGACATGTATCAAGCAACAGATCTCAGGGTACTTAGGGCCATAAATATTTGTACTGATTAATTGTGACTATTATTATTAAATAAGTGACAGCAACATACACATTCCATACCAGAATGCGTGAAAACCATGTTCTTGTAACATAGCAGCATGATATAAGCAATTTTCAAGAGAATCTTCAAATAACATGTATTAGAAAACAGCCAGGCAACTTAGTACATGGAATTCATTAGAGCCTAAATACTTAAAACTAGCTTTACTTAATATTATGGCAGATTAACTGAGGAAAAGCTAAACTACTTGTACTGTGATTTTTGCTCTTCATTTCTTTGAATTATTTTGGACCCGGAAACTGCTTTACTCAGAGCACCTCCTTACCGTTACCCCCATTTTTTCTTCCAAGGGAAGTGGAGGGTGGAGAGGCCAAGGAGCTGGGCCAGGCTGAGATCAGGGCACAGGAACAGATGCACCCAGCCTGAAACCACAGAGCCCAGGGCTACCAGGAGCTGAGCGCTGTCCTGGATCACTGGGCAGATACCAGGAGAAAAGGAAGGTCCTGAATACCAATTCCAAGGAAGTCGGGTAAGAAAGGGAGAAGGAAAGGCTGGGTGCGGTGGCTCTCGCCTGTAATCCCAGCACTTTGGGAGGCTGAGGTGGGCGGATCACGAGGTCAGGAGTTTGAGACCAGCCTGACCAACATGGAGAAACCCTGTCTCTACTAAAAATACAAAAATTAGCCAGGCGTGGTGGCATGCACCTGTCATCCCAGCTACTCGGGAAGCTGAGGCAGGAAAATTGCTTGAGCTTGGGAGGTAGAGGTTGTGGTGAACTGAGATCATGCCACTGTACTCCAGCCTGGGCAACAAGAGCAAGATTCCATCTCAAAAAAAAAAAAAAAAAGAAAGAAAGAAAGAAATAATAAAAGAAAGAAAAGAAAAGAAAAGAAAAGAAAAGAAAAGAAAAGAAAAGAAAAGAAAAGAAAAGAAAAGAAAGGAAAGAAAAACAGAGCCTGACATGAGGTTTTGACGACAGCGGCTATCTGAGCCTTTGGAGCTGGGGGCCTGGAGTGTTCTTCCACTGTCCGCCTGCCTTTTGTGGGTGGTGTGGAGCAGGCCCTGGGGAGTGGCGCAGGGAAGCAGGGTGGGTCTAGGCTTGCTGGAGCAGCCCTGAGCTGGTGCTGCTCAGTGATGATGTAACTGCATCTTGAAAGACGGCCTTGGCGCTTCCCCCTGGTGGCCTGTGGCTCCCAGCGAGCATCCTTGGCAGCTGTTCTCAGGGCACCACGGTGTTCTGAACACAGGCCTTTGCGTTCCTCCTTCCTCTGAGGACTTCACCAACACTTCCCTTGAGGTGCACTGTCTCTCATCTGAACACAACCAGTGTTGCTCATGTCTTCTCTCTGGGTGCCAATCAAAGTAAGCGCCGTGAGCACAGGACATCATCAGGATCCACCTCTCTAGCACCGTGGAGCCTAGTGACATTTTCACACGTTGAACTTGCAATATTGGTTTCCTGAATGGAAGACTTAACTTAACGAAAGAAACATTCGAATGAGTCAGACATCCCTGGGTTTGCCTCCACCATGTGCCAGCTGAGCTTCCATCCATTAAACTCCTGGAAGCTCATATGTCAGCTGGGAATAACACAGCCCTTGCAGCACTGAAGTGAGGATTAAAGACAACATAAAGAGCCTCTAGCAGAGCGTCAAGCACAGAGTGGGCAGTCAACACACGGTGGCTATCAGCAGCCATGACCTATGCAAACACCACCAAAGGGCACCTGTGTTGCACGGCTGGGGAAGTGCTATGGGCTGAATGTTTGTGTCTCCCCAGATTCATACAATGAAATCCTAACTCCCCAATGTGACAGCACTAGGAGGGGGGCCTTCAGGAGGTAATTAGGTCATGAGGGTGAATGGGCTTAGTGCCCTTCTAAGGAGACTCAAGAGCCTGCTCTGTGCTCTCTGCCATGTGAGGATACAAGAAAATAGCCATCTACAAACCAGACCTGACCACGCCAGCACACTGACTTCAGATTCCCCAGCCTCCAGAATCATAAGGAATACATTGCTGCTGCTTAAGCTGTGCAGTCTGTGGTATTCTGCTACAACAGCCTGAATTGACTGATGCAAGAAGTTAAAGTAAACATACAAAGGGTATCTCTATAGCAGCAAGGCTCCCCAGTTGACTTGCATCATTAAACTAACCCCGTGCCTTAGTGCTGTCTACTCACAGGGAAACGAAAGCCTTGGTCCAGAGATGAGAGGCAGCAGCGTGTTTAAGCATCTAAGGCCGTCGAGGAGCCTGGGGAATGGAGGCGAGCGCAACAGTGCCAAACCCTGAGATTCTGACAGCGGCCCCTAGAAGAGGAGCTTCTCACCTTCAAAGGCTGAGAACTGGGAGGGTGGATGGAAACTTGCCGTCTGACTCTTTGAGGGTGGGAGGCAGGCTTTAGAATATCAGGAAGGATGGCCTGTATTCCAGAAACCAGACAGCACCAGGCCAGGAACGCTCTGTGCTGGTGGTGACCATAATAAATGCCAGGACTGGAATATAATACCCAGCTCCATCTGAAATGTCTGTGACGAGCGCGACCTGCATTGCTGATGTGACATAAGACACGTGGTACTGCTGTGTTTCACCGGCCTCGCTGCACCTCATTCAAGCCCTGCCTAACCCCGGTACTCCAGGGAGGAACGTGGTCTCCACATTAGCCTTGGGTCCTCCTTGACTTGGGTAGCCATTCCGAGGCGGGCACCTGTTTCTCCATATTCAACCATGACAGTGACACATCTTCCTGATAACACTCAAATAAACAGCGTTTGTGTTGTCACACAGCTGTAAGCCTGCCCAGATTGCCTCCCGAGTTCACGAAGCCTCTTGAGTGTGTTACCCAAGAGGGTTATTTTATGTGGCTGTTAAAAGCGATGCTCTGTCGTAGTGAACCACAATGCTGAGAGACCCAACTCCAACAATCAAGAAAGAGAGGCACTAGAGGCACTGTGCTTTCCAATACATGAGAAGTTTTCTTCCCTTGAAAGGTGAATGGAAAGGCTGGGACTTGGCAGACGTGGGTTGGGTTGTAGGTCTGGCTGCCCACCCATCTGTGAAGCTAGGTGGTCAGAGGAGCGTCAGCAAATTCGTTAGGCCTTGCTGTGCTCGCACGTGGATTCCACTGACCAGCTGGATGGATTTCCCAGAACTCATTCATTTGATCAAAACAAGGATAAGACAAATTATGCTTTTTTTTTTTTTAACAGATTAAGAAGCAGAAGCTCAGAGAGGTTAAGAGACTTGCCCAAGGTCACACAGATGTAAAGTAGCAGAATCAGACCTGAGGCCAGGCCTTTAGATTCTAAATCAGTGGTGCTTTGACTATAAAACCTAAGGAAGTAGGCTATATATTCTCTTTATTTTGTTTTATGTTTTATTTTATTTTAATAGCTTTTGAGGTACAAGTGGTTTTTGGTTACGTGGATGAAGCGTACAGTGCTGAAGTCTGAGCGTTTAGTGCACCCATCATCTTAACACTGTACGTTGTACCCAATATGTGTCTTTTTATCCCTCATACCCCTTCCGCTCTCCCCACTTGCGAGTCTCCAAATCTATTATACCACTCTGTATGCCTTGCATACCCATAGCTTAGCTGCCACTTGTAAGTGAGAACATAACAATATTAGGTTTTCCATTCCTGAGTTATATCACTTAGGACAATGGCCTCCAGCTCCATCCAAGTTGCTGCAAAAGACATTATTTCGTTATTTTTATGGCTGAGTAGTATTCCATGGTGCATATATACCACATCTTCCTTATCCACTCATTGGTTGATGGACACTTAGGTCGATTCCATATCTTTGCAGTTGTGAATTTTTTTTGCAGTAAGCCTATGCGTGCAGGTGTGTTTTTGATATAACGACTTCTCTTCCTTTGGGTAGATACCAAATAGTGGGGTTGCTGGATTGAATGGCAGGTATCCTTTTAGTTCTTTTAAGAAATCTGCATACTGTTTTCCACATTTACTCTTAAATGTTCTTTATAGCTTTAAAATGCAATCTTCCTCTGAATACTTCAATCACTCTATATTAGTGGAATATCTGTTTTAGGTGTATTATGCTAAAAAAGAAGACATCCAGGATAAATAAAATTTAAATGAATTTTTCTATGCCTAGAAGTCAATTATTCTAACTGATTTCTGACTTTTCAAGGTTTTTTAAAAATAAGAGTATTGAAATATTTTATGAAAGTCTGTGAAGAATTCATACTTCCCAATTTTCAACAAAAATCTCTCAACAGAAGTTATGTCACATTCTGAATTGCCTTTTTCATCTGGCAGATCACTGTTTTCTTATTCAGAAGAATTTAGAACATAGAACTATCAATTTACCTAGGTTTCTTTTAAACAAAGTTACTCAGCCAGTGTATTAATATAAAGCTCAAAATGACGATAATTTAGATTAAAAGAAACAGCAACTGATTCAGTGCTTCCATACCACTCACACAAAAGCCTTGCTTAATAAAATGTTCTGCTGGTTTGATTTTGGGCAAGGCAGTGCAAATTAACTCTTTAGGAATTAACCTGAAAATAATTAGCTACCCTTGGCTATCCTATTTATTCCAATGCTGAATGCATGCCTAGTGTCTGAAGGCTGCTATTGAAGGCCCTGCAATGGTTACAGAGGCAACAGAAAAGTGGCTTCCTTCCATGAACAGCTTGCAAATGAAGACACTAGGCATTCATCTATGAATCACCCAGAAGAAACAAAAAACAAACTGAATTGATATTCATGAGGGCTAAAGAAGAAAAATAGGCTTTATATCTATTCAGTTATTGGTGAAAATCAATGTCTAAATACCAAGTGCAAATATTTAAATGTTTATGATAACTTCTGTTAAGATTCATGTGCAATATTCAGTTAGGAGGCCACATTTCAGTCAAGTTCAGCCTCTTCTGACAGTTGAAGGTTATTTTCAAATCACTGTACTTTTGAGTAAAGTATTATTTAACTACTGAATGTGACTTCATTTCTAAGGAAAAAGAAAGCCTACAGAATAAAGAGAATACATGCATCAATATGTCAACCACATCTAAACCAAAGAGATAAAGCGTAAATTTGTCCCACAAAAACTATGGTTAAAAACATACAAATTTCACTTAATCTCAAGCTTTTTCAAAACTATTTTGTGAATACAAAACAATACAGAATGCACTTAATCCTAATTTTTAAGATATTAGAGACAAAAATACTTGTGCCTCTCTCGACACCATGCATTTATGTGAGAGAAGCAGAAAACTAAAAACATCAAATGAAAATGTGATTATAAGATAAAACTGCTTTCAACAATAAAATATTAATGATCTTAGTAGCTATTTCTGTGTGCATAGACACGCTCACCAAAATTATTTCTGATTAAAAGAAAAACCTACTAGCACTGATGCACAAATAAAGGGCATTGTTAAAGGAATTGGTAATCCTGGGGGCGGGGTAAGAAACTCTTACACATTATTCTAAACAAACACTTTTGACTCCTAGGGTAGGAAACAAATAATTCTCTTGGAATTTTGTGTTCTGTGCATACAAACTTTTTTGAATATTTATGGCTCAGTTTTTTTTTTTTTTTTTTTTTTTAAGGCAGAGTACCAAATAACTTACTCGGCTGATGTTTTTCCAAAACCATCATCTCATGGTTTGCTATGTCATTCCAACACATCCTCTCAACAGTGACCAAGTAACCAGAGCAGCAAGTCCTTAATTCTAAAATAGTCTTGGATGGTTTGCCCCTCTGGAGAATAATACATTAAGGCTATGTCTCACCGATATGGGAACCAGACATTAAAGAAACCTTCCACTTGTATGTCCCAATCACAACGTTCTAATGAGATGCACCCCACTGAAAGCACTACGGTCAACAAGGAAGAAGACCAATACAGGATTTTCTACACGTGTCTGTCTCTACTACGGAACTGCAAACTCCTCTGAAGTCATCTCACGTCATATTCATTACCATAGCTCACCAAATTCCCACATGATTATTTGTATTTAGTACGTCCTCAACCAAATAAGTTACCAAAAGATTGTGCTATAAAAGTTCTTTCGAATGTAGACCCTAGTAGTCCTATCATTGGCTAATTTCCCATTCCCTACTCAATACTACAATAAAAAGCCAAAATGTTAAATTCTTAAATATATTTTTATTGTACCAAAGTGTTTTGCCAAACTTCTGGCTTGAATAACATTCAACTGGCAAACAGTATGCTGGGTAAAGAGCTGGAGTAACAAGACAACTGCAGCGGCTGTGTTGGCAAGATGACATGAAGAATCAAATCTCGCATCATAAATCAAGCAATCTATAGTCTCTATAGCAGGAAGAAAGTTGAATCCAATTCTAAAAGAGCCTCCAAGTTCTTTTTGTAGTAAAATCTCATCTTTTGTTTTAGCCCTGTAACCCTCAAACTTAATGCCAACCAGTGCTTAAAAATATGCACAATATTTTTGGCTAGGCACAGTGGCTCACACCTGTAATTCCAGGACTTTGGGAGATTGAGGTGGGAGGATCACTTGAGACCAAGAGTTCAAAATCAGCCTGGGCAACATAGAGAGACCCCATCTCTACAAAACATTTAAAAATTAGCCAGGCATAGTGGTGTGTGCCTGTAGGCCCAGCTACTTGGGAGGCTGAGGTGGGAGGATTGCTTGAGCCCAGAAGGTCAAGGCTGCAGTGAGCTATGATCATGCCACTGCACTCCAGCCTAGGATTCAGAATGAGACTCCATCTCAGTAAACACACACACACACACACACACACACACACACACCCACACACACACACACATTTTTTTCCCCAAACTAACCTATAAACAGAAGAAAGAAATTCCATTCCCCTGAGGCCACCACACTCCTGCATGTATCAACTAACTAGCAAGCTCACATAGGGACAAAGCCAGTGCTTTCAAAACATGAGCGATGGCCCACTGAGCAGAGACCACAGTAGTGATTAGAATTGTACAGCTAAGCTCCAGAGGGGAGAAATGTTAGGGCTGCACAAATTACCTACAAAGAGAAGACACTAAACCTTAGTTATGCTTCGATATTTACAGCTAATTTTACTGGTTCAAATCCACTTTAGGAGTATCTAATTTCTATGCAGTGTTGTTGGGTGTTTCCTATGAAAAATAAAAGCAGTTTAGAATCAGTTTCTGGAAGGCATCCAAGATGACTGTAATCTGTTAAAATCCATACCCAATCCTGTCAGGAAGACCATGAGTTAATCTAAGACGACTCAATACCTCCTTTCCAGAGAGAGCAGAAAAGCTGCTGCTGAGTGAGTCTGTTCTTCTTTTGGAAAGAATAAGTTATCCGTCTGACACTTTACACTGGGACTCATCTACATTTAATTATATAATGAAGAAATAATTAACTTTAAATGTGCATAAGACTTCATGGGTATCCAATCCAAAAAATCAATCAACGAGAATGCAATAACCACGGCAAAGCAAATTACACTTCATGACCTTCACCTTTGATCAAAAGGATTCCTCAAACTTGGAGGGCTCTGAAAGAGATGGCAGAGGTTACCTAACACAGTGCCTTCAACTTGCAAATGAGAAGAGCCAGGGAAGCATTTAAGTGTCAGGAGATTTACCTAAAGTCACGCAGTTGTCAAGTGGCAACTTCTAGATCTAGAATCTGCAGCAGATGGAAATTGCTTCATTGTAATGAACAAGGCCGCCCAAAGACATCTAAATCCTAATTCCCAGAACCTGTGGCTACGTTACGTGAACTGGGCAGCAGATGGAGTTAGTATTCCTAATTGGTTGGCTTGAAAACAGGAGATTATCCTGAATTATCCACGTGGGCTCAATTTTAATTATAAGGGTACTTAAATGTGGAAGAGGGAGGGAGAAGAGTCGGTGTCAAGTAATATGATATTAGAAAAACACAGGCAGCGATTGCTGGCTCTGAAGGCGGAGGAAAGAGCCGTGAGCCAAGACATGTAGAAGCCTCTAGAAGCAGGAAACAGATTCCCTGCTGGAGCCTCCAGAAGGAATTAGCCCTGCAGACACTTTGATTTGAGCTACTTGAAGCCCATTTCAGACTTTGGATCTCATATGATAATAAATTTATGTTGTTTTAAGTCACTAAGTTTGTGGTAATTTGTAACAGCAATAAGCGAAAACAAATACATCACCTAGCAGGTTTTCTTTGAACACTTTTCTTTCTTTACAGACAACACCCTAATCTGCAACAAATATCTGCGTATGTGAGTTGAGATAAACAGTGCGTAGCTGACATTGCAAGGTTTCTAGGCCTATGGTACACTTGCACCTCATCTCTCTAATGGCGTGCAAAAACAGGAGAGGATAGTATCATTTTTACAAATGATTGGGAAGAGTCAAAAAATTTTCATATATGTGTCCACATTGGTGGGAAAACTGGCAATTATTTTTTCCATAGGAGGAACATTGAAAACAAAGGCCGTGAAACAAGCTCTTTATAGAGTCTATGGCAGTAGGGGAACAGACCATCCTCTATGTTTCTTTGCCTCTGTGAGTTTCCGGCTTTAACTTGCACTCAATAGTTCTTTCCAAAATTTGCTTTAAACAATGAAATCAAAATTTTCAGCTGTGCTGCAAAACTCAACTCATTTAGAAAAGTGATTAATAGAGGCATCTTATAACTTTCCAATTCATTAATCATCACTGAGATACATTTTGACAATAAAACTGTTCCTTGACAACATAGTTTGCTTATTCCTTTTTGTCTGTATTCTCTGTTTGGGTATTCAGAGATATCTAAATGCCTAAAGAATAACAATTGGCAAGGACTCTCTCTTTGACCAAACTTGAGTCAGATTTCTCTGAATCCTTTTTTAACTAGGCCTTAAGCTCGGTCTATAAAGACTTGAACAAACACTAGCACAGTTTCTAACAGAACAAGGTCACATTCCTAGGATGGCCCTGGCTGTCCCCCAACCAGAAGTGCCTGCCAGAGAAAAGTCACACCTGCCAAAAGAGCTTATGACTTGTTCCAGCTGACACCTGAGGACAGAGCCTCTGTGTCTGGTCTCTGTGGGAGGATGGAATCCTAACTTCCATAATTGCCAGTTCGCAGACACCACCGACATTATCACATGACTAACCCTCGGAGTTTTTCACCTCCCTGACTCTACTAAATCCTGCTTAACTCTCTCCACTCCTTCCTTCTCCTTTTATAAATGCCCAGTCACTGCTGTACAAATGGAAGTTGAATTTAGTTCACGTTGTATTCTTTTCCCTATTGCAATAGTTGTTGCTGATTAAAATCTGTTCTTACCACCTTGTGTCATGCCTTGTTTATCTTTGACACAGGTTAGAAAGAGGGCGCAGATTTTCTGTAATCACACTAACAACAACACACACTCTTAGGATGTGAACTTTCAACAAGCCGAGAACCATCAGCAGGTAATACCTCCCCCTGAGATGGGGGGCTTCAACACAGCTAGATATTTCCTGGTCATTAAAACCAAGCACATTGAACGTTTTTGACAAAATTACGAAAAAGTAATTTATTTATTGCAAGCCAGCTGGGAGACCCTGCTCTGGATCTGTCTTTTCTGGCTAAATGTTGTTGCCTGGCCGATACTCTATGTTACCATTGCTATGCTTTTAAAGGTAGCAATCCTAACTTAGCCAAGCCACCCACCTCCCACCCACCCATCCACTCAACCTTTCATCCACTCACCCATCCATCTACCCACCCACTCACCATCCATCCATCCACCCATCCACCCACCCATCCACCTACCCATTCACCTATCCATCTACCACCTCCTCCTCATCCATCCATCCATCCAACCATCCATCTACCCATTGACCCATTCAACCATCCATCCATCTAAAATGTGCTGATCAGACCTGGCATTAACTAGCGAAAATTGTGTGTTTTTTGAAGGTGATCATTGCCCTTATTAGCCTATTAATTTTATTAGTAGAAAAAATACATCTCAGACCAAAATATGCAGTTATTGCTTTTACCTGTAATAAAAGCATCCCCAAACAAATAAAATATCCTAGTTCCCACCCACATACACAAATTTGCTTCTATGGGAAGCTTCTTTAGAGTGCTGTATGTTCTTCACTTGTCCCTGCAGATCCTTTTTGCTCCCTTTTCCATCTGCTCTTTGTCTAGGAAGAGTGACCTCTGCAGACCAGCCTCAACCTGATTTCCTTGTGCTCCAGCTTTTAGTTAGGTTTGGCCAATAGATTTGAGGCTTGACCAAGAGATCAAAAAGTCAGGAGAGAATTCAGGTATTTATTCCCACAGATCCTGTCCTTCCTCTTTCTCTGTAACTACAGACATTTGCTGAGTTTCACTAACTGCTCCCTTGGGCCAAAGGGTGGTAGCAACTTCTTGCGATTCTAATCCCAGAATGTTTCACCACGTTTTCCTGCTTTCCTGACCCTGTCCATTCTTTACTAAGTTGTTACTTCATTACATCTTCTCAACTGTTTCAAATGTGCTTTCTATGTCCTGTAGCTCTGACTGATGCTTTTCAATCATTAAATAAATGTCTCCTGAGTGCCTACAACATGCTGGGCACTGGGGCCACTGTAATAAACCAGGCACATGCCAGTGTTTAATTTAAATAGCTGGTTCCGTTCTCCACTAATGACTTGTTTGACTCAACTGACTGGGTTCAGCAAAAGCTTTTGGTGTCATTTGGATCTATTATGTTACTTTACAACTCATACACATCAAAGTCTTAGACCACCCTCCCCATAGATCATCCAGTCTCCAATCCCCTCTTTCTAAGGCATAGAAACTGACACTCAAAGGCCAGGCGCAGTGGCTCATGCCCGTAATCCCAGCGTTTTGGGAGGCCGAGGTGGGCAGATCACCTGAGGTCAGGAGTTCAAGACCAGCCTGGCCAACATGGTGAAACCCTGTCTCTACTAAAAACACAAAAAGTTAGCTGGGCGTGGTGGTGCACGCCTGTAATCCCAGCTACTGAGGAGGATGATGCAAGAGAATTGGTTGAACCTGGGAGGCGGAGGTTGCAGTGAGCTGAGATTGTACCATTGCATTCCAGCCTGGGTAAGAAGAGCAACACCCCATCTCAAAAAAAGGAAAAAAAAAAAAAAAGAAACTGACATGCAAATTATTTGTCTAAAATCACATAGCTTACAAGGGCCAAAGACAGTATGGCAGTCACACAACAGTAGCTACAAGTTTCTGGTTACTGCCCCATGCAAGACCCTGCGGCAGGATCTATACTTCTTGTAATGATGCTGAAAATTAGGCATTGTTATATTCACTTACAGATGTAGAACTGAGTGTCAGACGTGACGTGGGTGCCCAAAGTCACACACTTAGTAATTGGGAGACTCAGACTTCGAATCCTGGTATGCTTAGTTCCAGAGCTCACGAACATTTTTTTTTAAACTTTGCCTTATTTTATTATTTTTATTTTTTAAAGTTTTATTGTGGTAAGAACACTTCATATAAGATCATCTCTCTTAACAGATTTAAGTGCAAAATGCCAGCATTGTTATCTATAGGCACAATGTTGTAGAGCAGATTTGTAGAACTTACTCATTTTGCATAATGATTTTTTGGAAAAAAAATTGACAAATAGTAAATGAATATGCTTACGGGCTACAGTGGAATGTTTTGATGGATGTATACATTGTGGAATGATTAAACCAAGCTGATTAACATATTCATCATCTCATACTTATTTTTTGTTGTGAGAACATTTAAAATCTACTCTTTTAGCAATTTTGAAATACACATTATTATTAACTATAGTTACCATGCCGTGCAATAGATCTCCAAAACTTATTCCTCCTGTCAAATGGAAACTTTGCATTTTTTGACTGTATTTCCTCATGCCCTACCCACCCCCATCGCTGAAATTTTATACCTGTTCATTAATAACTCCTCATTTCCCTCCTCCCAGTGCCTGGCAACCACAATTCTATTCTCTCCTTCCATGAGTCTGACTACTTTAGATACCTCCTATGAGTGGAATCACACGGTATTTGTCCCTCCGTGACTGGCTTATTTGACTTAGCATTACATTTTCCAGATTCATCCATGTTGTCACAAGTGGCAGGATCTCCTTCTCTCTTCTAGCTGTTGTTGCCCAGGCTGGAGTGCAGTGGCTCCATCTCGGCTGACTACAACCTCCGCCTCTTGGGTTCAAGCAATTCTCTGCCTCAGCATCCCGAGTAGCTGGGATTACAGGTGCCCGCCACCACGCCCAGCTAATTTTTGTGCTTTTAGTAGAGACAGGGTTTCACCATTTTGGCCAGGCTAGTCTCAAACTCCTGACCTCAGGTGGTCCGCCTGCCTCAGCCTCCCAAAGTGTTGGGATTACAGGCAAAAGCCACCGTGCCGGCCTTCTCCTTCTCTTGTAAGGCTGAATAATATTCCATTGTATGTACATAACACATTTTCTTTACCCAACCATCCGTCAAAGGCATTTACATTGTTTCCACATTTCAATGGACGTTTACATTGTTTCCACACCTCGGCTGCCGTGAATGGTGCTGCAGATGGGCATGGGGGTGCTGGTGTCTCTTTGACATCCTGATTTCACTTATTTTGGAAACACCCTGGAGCACACTGCTGGTGGGAATTCAAAACGGTGCTGCTGTTATGAGAAAAAGAGTATAGAGGTTCCTCAAAAAACTAAAAATAGAACTATCAGATGATCCAGAGCCCATAAACTCTTACACAAACTGCGCTTCAAAATTCGAGGGCTGTTCTCTCTATCCAGACAGCGTTCACCAGTTTTATAGACTGGTTTCCTTCAGGCTTCGGGCTGTAACCCCTTCAAGAGAAGGAAAGAAAAAGGAAGACAAGCCCAGGGCAGAACCAAGGGTGTGGGAGGTCGCTGGTGAAGTGCACAACAGCAGGCACGCCTCTCCCCGCAAATGCAAATGTGGGAGAAAGGAGAACGCATTCTGCACAGGACTTGTCCTTTCCTAAGGACGCTCTGTTCTCAAGCAGCCAAGAGAGATGGAAAACGCAAACATATCCAGAACTAAGCTGTGAGCACTATTTTAAAAAATAGTCAATGTGAATTTAACTCCTGGAAGGATGACTATCTGTAAATAAAGCATACCCATCATGTCTAAAATGATAAGCCTCTACTCTTCATTTAATACCAATGTATGATCACTTTCACACGAATAATGAGCTGGCATTTTAAGAAGGTAACCTTCCAGCGTGTTGAAACATGCAAACGCCCATTCAAGGAAAGAGGAATGAGCCACAGTCTCTTCATTGCTTTGCCTTTAATACTAAAATGACAAAAGCCTGTGGATGAAGCCATAAGCTTTTCTGAGGATCATTATTAATTCCTGGAACATTAATTCTTGTATTCCATTTCCAGCAGTCACTGATCCAATTCCCTAAATGCTTGGTAAATATTAGTCATTGCCTATGATTGCTAATATCATTTCCATTAACTCACAATTGCCTAAAACACAGGTCAAGTGCCTGACGCCATAGCCCTGGAGGGTCTGGAATGCACAGCCTTGCCCTGGTTGGCCTTCCTGGCTGGTGGTACTTGAACACGCTTGTCCTGAAACATGAGACCCTCACTTCTTAAGAAGGGTCCATGGTGCTTATTTTAGTTGATGGTAGAGATACTTGTTTGATGGGTTCTCAATCTCATGTTTTTATAGGAACTGTCTTTCAGATATAAAGGTCATTACAAATTGCAGAAAAATAACATTTAACATAGCATTTCCCAAGGAGGGCAGAAGTAATATAATCTGGTTGTAAAGTAGGGAGCAGGGAGAGGAATGGTTTCTTATGAGGTCACTGTTATTTCCTACCCTCTAGGACTCACAGATAGAGCTGTGTTTCAGGTACATTTGACATCAGCTATTCCAGCCGTCCCCTGTCCACTCTCTTTCATTATTTCATTATGGGATTTCCTTTCATCTTTCACACTTTCCTTTCGCACAATCTAAGAAAAAACACTCAAGAAACGCTTGCATTCAATTGATAAATGGATTAAATATTTATTAAGCACCTACTGTAAACAAGGTTCTTTGCTGGCTGACTTAGGAGAAACAAAGATTAATAAAACAAAGTTTTTGTAATTCAAAATTTACAATCTTGTAAGAAGAACTTAAGTGAACAACACTAACAGAACAAAAGGATGCTACCAAAGCCAGAGCTAGTGGCAGGCAAGGTGGGGCAGGTTTTCCTGATTTGGAACAGGGCTGGTGGAATTGGGGTTGGCTTCCTGCAGAAAGTGAAATTGACACAGAAGTTTAGAAGGGAAGCAGACTTTTTAGGTTCTGCTATGGCATGCTGGAGGAGGAGATGGTTTCTGGCTGAAGGAAAATTAGGAGACAAAGACTCCTGCAAATGCAGGTCCTATCTACTAAAGGATACATTTCCCAGTATGGTTGGATTATAGGCTATGAGCAGGTGGTAATTGTTTATCAAAGTGATCTCTTGTGAAAGGGTTTTGGCCATGGAGAGACACAAATGATTTTGAGGAAGGGTAATAATATTCTGTCAATGTATTGTAATGGCCCTTTGGCAAAACAGTGAAGAATGAATTACAAAAGCAAATAAGAGGTCGCTTTTGCACTGGTTTGAAGAGTTTAGGCAAGAGGCGATGAGGGTGGCACAGAGTAGCTGGCACAGAGTAGCCATGAAGATGGGGAGGACTAAATGCAGATGGGAAACATGACACAGCCATCATGCACATGATCACCATCCAAAGGACAGAGTAACTGACTTGTGGTGGGAGTGAGGAAATAAGATGAATGAACTGTCCGACTTGAGAGAGTGTGAAGATGTTGGAGCCACTGCCCAAGGCAGGGAGTAAAGAAGGTGAAGCCATCTCTTCGCTTCTGGGAGCGGGGTGGGAGGTGGGGAGGGAAAAACCCAAGGGAGAAGTCATGAAATCAGGTCAGGGCCTAGCCCACCTCAGGTGCCTAGGGAGCCTTCACAGGCTGGGGCTTACGGGAATGGCCTGAGCTACAGATAGGACTTCCGTTTAGAAAGTCTCAGGCATTATTTTTCTAGGGGCTTGTGCATTTAAATACCTCCAGTGCTTGGTACGTGGACTAGCAGCATGGGGGGCCATCACCCCAAACCTACTGCAACAAAAACTACATTTTAAGATTTCTGGGAGAGTTTCATGTAGATGAAAATTGGAAAAGCATTGCAACCACAGACAGAAACCATTCCAGATAAGGAATTTCCATGTCAGCGAGTCAGTCTTGAAAGTAATTGGTGGGGAGATGTTCCCTGAGATCACCCGAAAGTCAAGTAGCCCAGACACCTCAGACTTGCTTCATTCACCTCCTGGGTGATAGGCTGAGTATCCTGAAGCTGTGCATAGAAAACGATCATTGAAATCAGACTCCAGTGATTTGAATAATATCACAGCTTGACATGGGTTGTAATAGACTTTTTGTCTAGAACCAAAAAGGCCTTGGTAAGCAAGGTGAAACTGTAAACATGATTTCACGGAGCCTATGAGCCCCTTTTAGACAGGAATTGCTCAAGAGATTTTGCATGTGAATGGTTTGCATACAGAGGGAGCCAGCTAGCCACAGGCCTCCTAGAAGCTGGATCTAGAAACGTTTCCTGAGTTGTCCACTGAGGTCAATGTTTGCACTTGAAAGCAGGAAAACCGCATTTCTATAATTCGTTTTTACTCATATTTATTCAAATTCGTAAACACTAAGTATCCTGACAGACTAGAATTTAGCAGAGAATTACAATTGCTCCCCTGATCCTTGGTGGGGGAGAATACACGCCAAGGGGATGCCCCCAGTGGATGCCTGAAACTGCAGATGTCACTGAACCTGATATGTGCTGTTTTTCCTATACATACATAGCTATGATACAGTGTCATTTATAAGTGAGGCACAGTAAGAGATTTTATTTTTAGAATTAATAATAAAATAGAACATGTATAACAATGTACTGCAATGCAAGTTATGTGACTGTGGTTTCTCTCTCTCTCACTGTCACAAAATATCTTCCTGTACTGTACTCACCTTTCTTCTTGTGATGATCTGAGATGATACAATGCCTATATGAGATGAAGTCTGGGGAATGACACAGGCATCGTGTTGTGTTAGCTTACTACTGACCTTCTGACAATAGGTTAGAAGCAGGATCATCTGCTTGGGTGATCCTGAATCATCGGCATGATGATGTCCATGGTTGGCTGTCAGAAGATGATGTTGCTGACTAATGGGAGGGTGGTGTACACAGCCTGAGATGCTGGACACAGGACTGATTCATGTCCCAGAACAGGACGGAGCAGGATGGAGCAGGACGGTGTGAGATTTCATAATGCTACTCAGAACAGTGTGCAATTTAAAACCTATGAATTGTTTATCTCTGGAATTTTCTATTTAATACTTTTGGATCTCAGTTGACCACAGGTAATTGAGACTGCAGAAAGTGAAACTGAGGATAAGTGGGGACTACTATAACTCTCTGGCATGGTTCTCCCAGAAGTTATGCAACTCCAACACAAGGGTTGTAGCAGGGAGGGTGAGAAGCTGCAGGTTCAAGTTCAAGTCCATCGAGTACAATTCTAGCCTTGCTTCATCTGAAATCCCTGTCATTTTTGGATGCCTCAAAGGAGGTGTCCAACTCAATCTGTAACGGGGAAAATGACTCAGCTTTCCAGTACTGAAAATGCACTTCTCCAGCCTGGCCAGAAAATGGGGCATTCTAGATGACAGAGTACTGCCCAACGCTACTATCAATAGATTTATTCTTCTAAAAGAGTTCAACTGCTGGGTCAAAATTTAACCTACATCATACTGAGCCCAAGTTAATCCCTTTTGCTTATTCAGAAGGGAGCCCAAGATAGCTCAGGGACCCACAGGCACCTTTAAACAGGATCTTAATGTCTCATTAGTCTCACATAGCCACTTGTACCGCAGAGCTCACAACCTAGAGAATTTGTAATAGGAAATTCTCCACAAAACTCTGCAAAGTTGCCACAGACCTACTACTCACACCAAATTTAAGCATGCTTGAGGAAGGCAAGTTAACTTTAGCCAAAGCCACACAGTGTTGAAGGAATTGAATATATTATATGCGGCATATTTTACCTTCTTAATTCTGAGTAGTGGTCATTAGGGAATCTCTGTTCATACCACCATATGGAAGGTAATCTTTTAAGAGCTGGAACCTTGAGTGATTTATCTAGAGTGTCACTCAACCAGGGATGAGTCTTCTACATGTGAATATAACATGTACCACCTGCTTGGTCTAGATAGTATGTGCTAAAGGGTTTCAGGTGTGTGGTGAGTTGCTTCAATCTAGAGTGGGTCAGGAAGGCTCCTAGAGGAAGAAGGATCTATCAGGGTGTGGAAGGAAGCATGCAGAGATGGGCCAGGGTGAGCTTTGTTGGTATGGACAAAGGCCCTGCAGTGGCCAGCCTTCAAGATGACCCTTGGGACCCAGGCCTCTTGCTACTCACTCCCTTCCAAACTCCATCAGGGCTGGCTACAAGTGGCCTGCAGAACATACTGGAAGTGACAGTGTGTGACTTCAGAGGCTGGATTACCAAAGCCACCAGAGCTTCAGATTTGGACTCGTGTATCTCTATGGAAGACACCAGGCACCATGCCGTGAGCACCCTTCGGCAACCTGTGTGGGGCCAGCACTAACTTGACAGCCACACAAGGGGGACAGTTAGGTGGAGGCTCCTCCAGCCCTATCCAGCCCTATCCTTCAGAAGACACAGCCCCAGCCGACACCTGATGGCAACCTCACAGAAAGGTCAAGTCAGGACTGGTCTGACAGCAGATCTGTTTTGTAACCACAGATAAAAACGCAGCTCTGAGGAATGACTGAGTAAGGCTTGGGGTATAACATGTAGGTTATTTGGAATAGAATATGTGTAAAGGAAAGTAGAGAGAGAGATGATAAAAAGAAGTGATAAGGGAGATGGGATTCAGCTTAAGAAGCTTTAGATATCAAGATGGGGAATTTTGATTGTATCCTATAAGAGATCAAGAACCACTAAAAGGATTATAAAGGTGATTAATTTAGGTAAAGGAAGACTGTACGATTGATTGATTGATTCACACTATGTATCTTGAAAGAATGTTTCCTTTTTAATTTAAATTAAACCCCATGATTGATAGGGAAGAGGAAACTCAAAAGCTGAAAAGATCTTTGTGCTAGACAGGCTCTTCTCTTTTTGTGGAGCATTTGAATTTTGTTGGTCGGAGTAGTAACATTCATGAGCCAAATTCATATTAGTACACAAAAATTGGAAGCCAATATTCCCGTAATGATGGCCGATTGAAGAGCAAAAGTTTAGAATGGCCCTTTGGCAAGTTGTGGGAAGTTATAACACAATAGAGTCTAAGATGTCAAGTGGAGATATCAGAACATTATTCTCTCACTAAAAATGATGGACACGATGGCTTCAAAAACAGGCAATTTACAGGTTCCATGCTTCACTTATTCTCAATGATATCTTTTTTTAAAGTTCAATACTACAGAAATGATAAAAGAACATGTTCAGGAAAGCATTTTGTGATTGTTAAAATAATCATCACTACTTTTCATGAAAAAGCAAATTGCTTTTATTTGACTCATTATCATTCATTATTGGTAGAAAGGAAATAACAAACTTGCCATATACTCACTGGGAATTTTGATTCTCATTTAATTTCCAATTATTATAAATAATTGGTTACTGAATTTTTCAAGCAGTTACAAAGAAAGAATTTGACTCACACATCTTATTTACACTTCTAAAAGTCCAATGATAAACAATGAAAAAATACCAAACAGGGGAGGGGTTGCTATTTGAAGCCTTTATTTAGCAAACATTTTGTGTGTTCAATACGAAATAAATGTCCCAAACTAAATGTTGTTAAAACGTAGCTTTGAGAAAATGGATTCAGATAATATCCTATATATTCGCTCTAGAAAAATCAAAATGGCATATGAATAAAAGATGGTGAAATGGAACAAAAATTACCATAAAGCCTTTAGTACACGCCACCATACTCTCTTTGCATGTCAGCCTTTTGATTCAGCACAAATTACCTCACTATCAAAAAGATTCCTGCAATATGCAAAGATCCATAGAAACAGCCTGTGATCTCTGCATAACTGCATAAAAACCCAGTAGGTGCAGAAACATCAGATATAGTGTTTGAGGGAAATGAGTCCCTGGAGAAAAAGTGTGACTTGATTTATTTAAACTAAGTAGAAGAGACTGGAAAAGAATTTAAGATAGCCCAAGGAATTGGATGACTGGGGTGGGCAGCTGCCTTGAATCTATACCGAGGACCACTTTAGGGCAGCGTGTCTCTCACTTTCCTAAGCCTGGAGGTCAGTGGGGGAATCTCAAGAAGTGCAGGTTCTCCCTCAGGAGGGCTGGGATGGGGGTCTGAGCTGCATTTCTCATGAACTCCCAGGGGATGCTGATGCCTCTTGGACCACATGTGGAATCTTCTAAAAGAGCAACACAAGGTATTTCCCTAAGAAAGGTGTTTCTCATGAGGAGGCTTTGTGAGACACCAGACCAGGTCATGGAACATCTCAGGCAAAAAGCACGCCCAGAACACCCAGGCATCTGCCTTGTGTGCCCATGCACAAGCACTCACCTGCCACAGTGTGTGCCCTGGGCAGGGCAGAGGCCAGGGAATAGTCAGGTGAGGTCGTCGAGTGAGATGAAGTCACTCGGATTGGGCGGCATTGAATAAGTGCTGTATAACAATGCAAAACTTCAAAAGATTTCTAAAGTTGAAAAAAAAAGATATTGCTTCTCTGGATTGTGGGAAATTAGAAAGTAAAGCATTTCCATTTCCAGAGATAACCAAAAACCTACAGTTATGGACAGAATTGTGTCTCCAAAATTCATATGCTGAAGCACTAGCCCCCACTGCCATTGTGATTGCATTAGAGATGGGGCCTCTAAGAAGGCAATTAAGGTTAAATGAGGTGGGGAGGCCTGATCCAATAGGGCACTGTTCTTAAAAGAAGAGGAAGAGACCCCAAAAGAGTGCGTGCATTCAGAAAGGACAGGTGAGGACCCAGCCAGAAGCTGGCCTCTGCAAGCCAAGCAGAGAAGCTTTGCTGGAGATTAGCCCTGCTGGGTTCATTTGCCTTTGGACTTTGACTTTGCTGGCACCTGGCTTTGGACTTGCAGCCCCTGAACTGTATTCTGTCCCAGCAGCCTGCTATGGGCAAATGTTTTTGTTTCCCACGTGTCAAAATCCTAACCCCCAAGATTAGGAGGTGGGGCCTTTGGGAGGTGATGAGGGCATGAGGGCAGAACCCTCCTGAATGGGATGAGTGCCCTGATAAAAGAGACCCCACAGAGCTCTCTCACCCCTTCCACTATTCGAGGACTTGACAAGGAGGTGCTATTGAAGTTGGAGAGTGACCCCTCAGCAGACACCAAATACATTTTCATCTTGGACTTCTCGGTCTCCAGAATGGTGAGAAGTCAAGTTCTGCTGTTTCTAAGCCACACCCTGCTTGGGGTATTTTGTGATAGCTGCTTGAATAGGCTAGGAAATCCACTTTCCTGAAACGAAGAGGATGAACTAGATGAATTACCTAGCCCGAGACTACTTCAGGATGCTCTTGCAATAAGTATTATTAGCGCCCAAATCATAGAGTTAAAATTACTCGAATGCAGATTTATTTCCACACAAGCAATACCAGGTACTTCAAAATTAATAACGGCCTATAAACAAAAGTTAAAAATATGCCAAGAAGTATCGTTGAGCCTAAAAGAAAACAGAGTTCATAAATGTCTTCATGTATACAGTTGACTCTGTCTTGTGGGGTAGAATTTCTGGAAGATTAGTTATCATATAGATTTGGGTTTGCAACTGATATTCAGAAAGAATCATAAATATTCTAGGGAGATAAAAATTGAGGCCAAGCACTGTGGCTCATGCCTGTAATCTCCGCACTTAGAGAGGCCAAGAAGGGCAGACTGCTTAAACCTAGGAGTTTGAGACCAGCCTTGGCCACATAGTGAGATCCCTTCTCTACTAAAAATATAAAAAATTAGCTGGGCATGGTGGTGTATGCCTGTGGTCCCAGCTACTTGGGAGGGTGAGGTGGGAGGGTCACCTGAACCCAGGAGGTCAAGTGCCATGATCACGACACTGTACTTCAGCCTGGGCAATGGGAGTGAGATCCTGTCTTGAAATTTAGAAAATTGACTATAATTTTTAACAATTGAAGAGGAGGATGAATGCAATGAGAGTTACGAAAAATCTGAGCAGACATTTAAAGATGCTAATATATGTCTACTTCTGTGACATCTCTACTAAACATTAAAGAGTCTTTTCTTTATAAAGATCACTTAGGTTTAAGCAAAGGTGGAGACGGATGTCCTTTGTGATCTTCCAAGGGAATATACAATCCTAGAAGTATCTGATGTAATGGAAATTTTTCACGGAGTTGGGGCAGGGAACATTCTTGGCCCAAACCTACTTGTAGATACATGTGTCTTAATTTCTAAGAGTCAGCTAAAAGAATTCATGTATTTTTCAGGGAACCAAACTGTACTTTTTTCTTTATAAAGAACTGCAACAATCAATATGTTTTTCCATGTGTTAAACAATGATTTTAAATGCTTTTTAATCTAGCAAATCAATCAAGCTCTAAGGGAAAACACCAAATTTAATTCTTTAAAAGGGAAGAAACAAAATATTGCATGCTGTGGGACTTTAATGCTTATTAACAGTAAAATTAAAAATCTACTGCAGCAATAATGCAGAATCCATTTTGCTCTTAACATCCTTCGATGAAAGATCCTTAGTGAAAACTAATGTGTGATTATTTAATTATAACAAGCACTACCTCCTCCACCTATCTCCACAGATCAGCATGTTAGAGAAATGTAGAAAAAAAGTATTGCATATCATAATATTGGTTATCCAAGGAGGTGTACTATCAAATGCATGCACAGAATCAAAAAGATCTCAATGTTTCATCTGCCTCATAAATGAAATGTGGATGAAAAACCACATTTATACCTGATGAAATACTGAATCGGAAATATTTTAATCCCAGCAGAGTTTAAGCCAGTTTGCATCTGTTTATCAGCAGAATTAGAAGAAAATTCTGTAAACCTTTTTATTGCTTTTTCCAGAATCCACTAATCTCGCCTGTCAGGAAATGCACATATCTAAATAAACCCTTCAAGTCACAGCTTTAGCACATTTTCTCTTGAACTGTCATCCCTAAGACACGATGTTAGGAAAATCTGAAGTTATGTAAGCTCTGTTTCCACGTATCTTATTGAATTTTCTCCTTAAAGAGGCTCACTTGTCCTCTTCAAGAAATGGATTTGCAAAGAGACAGGCACTACTTCTTAAATTCTAACATTTCTAAATTTCTTTAACTCATGTAATATATCTTCCTTCTTTTATTAGCATCATAAATGTGAAAAGAACAGAGAATGACTGTACCTGTGCTTAAATGTTATGTTCTTGTCTATTTTCTCCTCTGTCTTTCCTGGCACACAATAAAGAAAAGCCTTTCAAAATCAGGACCTTGGAGAGCGACTGGGCTTCCAAACTGAAGGCCATGCTTAACAGGCAAGAATTAAGCCTCCCAGCCAGCACTGCTACAGAACCATGGTATGTTGAAAGTGGTGCCACAGGTCAGGGATCAAAACCTGGTACCATAGGTCTTGGTTTTTTAATGCCATTCACAAGTAAAAGGAACCTCACTCTTTGGAGAAATAACTGATTTTAGCGCCAGGGCAAGGAAAAAACAAAACAAACCTGGAACATCTTGTAGTATCAGAAAAGTGCCCAAAAATCACAAGTGTAGGTACATGCTAAGAGGACAGAGGAACCAACATGAGAGGGAGACCACGTCAAAGCTGGAATCATTTGAGCCACGATATAAACAACATAGAATTGGATTGTAATGAAAAGTTCAAAGATGACTTATATGAGTCCATACTTGAATTAGTTTCTAAGGCTACCATAATAAATTCCACAGACTTGGAGACTTAAACAACAGTAATTTACCTCCTCACAGTTCTAGGGACTAGAAGTCCAAGATGAAGGTGTCAGCAGGACTCTTTTCATCTGCGGCCTCTGCCCTTGGCTTATAGATGGTGGCCTCTCCCTCTATACTTTCATGGTCTTTTCTCTGTGCATGGCTGTGTCCTAATCTCTTCCTATAAGGACACCAGTCATATGGAATTAGGGTCCATTCATATGACCTCATTTTAATTTAATTATCTCTTTAAAGGACCAATCTTTAAATACAGTCACATTCTGAGGTATTGGGAATTTTAACATATAAATTGGCAGGGTCTCACTCTGTCACCCAGACTAGAGTGTAGTGGTGCAATCTCAGCTCACCACAACCTCCCCCTCCCAGGCTCAAGTGATTCTCTTGCCTCAGCCTTCCGAGCAGCTGGGATTACAGGCATGCACCACTACCACCTGGCTAATTTTTTTACTTTTTTAGTACAGATGTGGTTTCACCATGTTGGTCAGGCTGGTCTTGAACTCCTGACCTCAAATAGTCCACCAGCCTCGGCCTCCCAAAGTGCTGGGATTACAGGCATCAGCCACCAGGCCCGGCCTTAACATATAAATTTGAGTTGGGGGGAATACAATTCAATCCATAAAAATGTTGATATAAATAAATGATTCAAGGTCAGAAAAAAAAAAAACAGGGGAAGACTGAGAAACTGTCATAGACCAGAGGAGACTGGAAAGATAGGACACGCAAATGCAATGGGGAACTCAGCATTAGGGTCTGGAACAGAGAGAAAATATTCATGGGAAAACTGGTGAAATCCAAAGAAAGTCTATAGTTGAGTTAATAGCCGTGTATCAATGCCAGTTTCTTAGTTTTGACTAATGTGCCACAGAAAAGTAAAATGTTAATAACAAGAGATAAATTGTGTAAGGGGTAAATAAGAACCGTCTGTACTATCATTGAAACTTTTCTGTAAATCTAACATTATTCCAATATAAAAATATATATTGAAAAGATTTAAAAAAACAATAACCACATAAAACTGATAGTAGGATTTGGATAAAAGAAATCAAGAATGAACCCACTTTTCTAACTTGAATTTAATGAAGCAACATAAATCAAGCAGGTAATCAGTGACATTAGCTGACATCTTAAGTTATAGTCTCCTTGAGACCAAAACACTGTATTTACACATTGAATACAGGAACATTCTTTATTTTTGAAAATAAATGTGTCCCATTTTTCTTGGAACATGTAACTTTCCTAATTCATATTTCATTTTTCTACCTTGAAACATTAGTAAATACTATTACTACAACTGCCAACCTTCCCCTCCAACTAGAATTACTTCCCACATTTGAATTTCCTACTATTACTACTATTTCTAACAATAATTATGACAACAACAGCAAATACCTCTTGCGCACTCAGTAAGTGCCAGGTTGGTTTTAAGGACTTTATTAACTCATGATAACAACATTATGAGTTAGGTATCATTACTGTTCCCAAAGTTAAATATCTTGCACAAGGTTGCTTAGATAAAGCTAGTAAGTTGCAAAGCCAATGCTAGAAACCTGGCAGTCCTGATGGAGAATCCTCTCCAATCTAAGAAAATCAGTACTACAGGCAGGTAATAATCCAGAACTCAATCTCCATATTGGACACGGTATATTAGGAAGTGCTGAGAACCATGGCAGCCTGGAATTCACATGCTCCTCAAAGGGGCATAAACTTTCATCAACTCCTATAAAAATGCAGACTTAGGGTCTAAGTCTTCTTTTATTTTAAAGAAAGCCATAAGTTTTATTTCTATTTTTTAAAAATCCAAAATTTTAAATTGGGATTCAAAAGGAAAATGAACTGTAAGGGCCAACCAAACCAAACACATCTTTCATGATCCAAGGAACTGCAGAAAGGGGACCAAGGGTGAATATCTTTAAACACATCCTGGCAAAATCGTTGTAGCGAAAATCTACATCTACATTAAAGGCATCAAAGAAAACACTATAACTTCTTGTGGTGAGACAGTGGCTAGGCACTGAAAGATACAAAGGCATGTGAGATGTAGTTCTTCCTCTCAAAACTTTTTCAATAACATTTGGGCAGTTAAGATATTACATGCATAAAATGATTTTCATGAAGGGAACCATGATGAACCAAATGATAGCTGCAGAAGAGTTATACATGGTTCAGAACAGGGAAGACTTGGAGGAATCTTCTCAAAGAATCTTGAAATTAAATTGGAAATTTAAACATGGGGAGGAATTCTAGTTGGAAGAGGAGGTTGGCAGCACAATTATAAATATCAGAGGCATGAGATGGGGTCTGCTACCCAGAGATTCTGTTATCTCCCTGGAGTGTGTGGAGAAAATTAACAGGACAATGGATTTGACAAGTAGGCTGGGGCAATGAAGTACTGTCACTAAGATGAGAGGCAAGAATAATGACTGATTTGTGTACTGATGGAAAAGCTGATGTTTGCCTGAGCTATTAGTGGATGATCAGGTGACACTGATTAGGAGTGCATTGATGCATCCTGTTGGCACAATTCCTTTTTGCTGGGAACAGATGTGTGGTCATGATCCAAAGAACACCATATCAGGTGTTCTATATACTCTATCTTGGCATTCATCCTGCTCTTTATTTGATCACCATGAGCTAAAACAGAATGGTGTTTTGCAAAGGTAGTAAGGAATAACTGACCTATCCAGGGTTTTTGACTCAGTCTGGAATGGGTCCTCAGAATTTGCCTAAGAAGTTCCAGGAGAAGGCTGATGGTGCTGGTCTGAAGACTGCACTTTGAGAACCATTGACCTAGAGGTCTACTCATGATTCATTGTATTTATGAAACCATAAATGTGGTTGAACTGTTAGCATTGGATGTCAAGTCAGCATGCAAACCCACGTGTGTGTGCAGGTGCGTGTGTGTGTGCATTTGTGCGTGGATGTGTGTGCATGTATGTGTGCATGTGTGTGTGTGTATGCGTGTGCGTGTGCATGTGCATGTGTGCGTGTGTGTGTGTGTGTGTGCATGCGTGTGTGCATCCCCCGGCTACTCCTAATTTTTCCCAAAGGTTGATTTCACAGCCAGTTCTCAGTGTTGTAAAATTATTATGAAATAATTTAAGAAAACATTGGTCCACAAACCATGACTAAATTGAGAAGTGTGTTTAATAAAAGAGAATGTTTATCTGCTTTTGAAAACCGTATGAAAAGCACACTGTAGACTTACCTTTTCAAAATTTAAAGGTTGGCTGGCAAACTTCTGGTTTCCTTTTTTAGAAGGGTGAGACTACCTATACTAATAATACATGACATTTGACAAGAATCTTCTCCATGAGCATCCAGATTTTGCATAGACTTTACAGCATGCCTCCCGGTTTGCCTTTAGCTAGCATTAATATAAGATTTATTTATATTTATTTCTTAGAAAACTTAATGTACCAGTATCTAAGTTAACTTCAGTTGAAAGGTCATTTATGTTACGCATCGCATTTCAAATAATTCTTCCTTCTGTATCAGAGTATTCACCATAGGATTCCTTAAACTGCTGCATGCTTTTGTACACATAAATATGAGTCCATTCACAAAGTACAAATCTTCACATTACTTTCCCAAAATGTCTTTGGCAGGTAAAAGGAAAACCTTTACATATTCATTTTGCGATGGAGGAGGATGAACAGAGTTGTGGGAAGCCAGTCCTGCAGATCTGAGAGCAGTTTGAGAGCCTCTGAGTCCTGCCTGCCGGGGGCCTTCCCAGGTTCCCTTCTCTGTCCACCCCCTGAGCAGAGTGCCCAGCTCCAGTCCCCTCACACTGCCTGGCCCTGTTCAGCCACTGCACTGGGGAGCTGAGCCTCCAGAGCCCCAGTGGGAAATACCACTCCCTACACTTCAGCTTACTCACAAATGCAATTTGCTTGTTAATAGACTCCTTTCTCAGTCTGCTTAGAAAATGCTTTTTTTAAGAGACGACAAACAAGGGGGGGAAAGCAGCTCCTAAAGGAATATGTAATACTTTTATAGTAACAAGGAAAATATCCTTATTTTCATGTGTAGCTAGAAGGAAAAACAAGCAAAACACCAGTACATGCACGTCACAAAACATTATTTAAACCTGAACATCTTTACCTAGTATTGGGAAACTTTTATCCAAAAACAAACCACAGGGATTTCCACCTAGTATCATTTCCTTTTCACTGGATCTGGACCTGAAGATCTGGAGGAAGCGCTATGTAATTTAATGGGTGTATGATTGTTGCTTGAGCTAATAAACTCTCCAAGTCATAGTTTCTTCATCTACAAACTGGGATAATAATGGGTCTTACTTTATAGGGTTGGTGAAAAATCAAATGAAAAAAAATTCACATACATAGAAATGTACACATACATATAAATATATGCATTTGCATACGTATATGTGTACACACACATATTTATGTAGGTATGACGCTTGGCACACATAGGCACAAAACACATTTGTTATTATTACTAAACTTATTCTAAGCATAATTTTTAATGGATGTCTTTTTCTATTTTTACAACCTAAAAAATTGCTATCATAAACATACTGGTGCATTTTTTTTTGTAATTGGGTCTGTACATAATGTTACTTAGAATAAATTTCTAGACGTGGAATTTCTGTATCAGAGCATATCAACATTTTTACTGCTCTTGCAACATAAGGTTGATTTCCTCTCCAGAACACTTTTATCCAATTACAGCCATACCAAGTATTGAGAGGAGTCCATTTTATCGAATCACAACTATTGAAATAGGTACTGATTTTATAAGCAAACTGTCTCCTTTTAGCCTTAATTTGAATTTCCATCATTACTGGTTAAGTTGAATGTTTCTGGTCGACCTGGTCATCATTCCTATTTTCTCTTTCTTCCATTCATCTCTTCATGTCCTTGGCTGTTTATGCATTTGGCCTTTGTAATTTTCTTCTTATTGATTCATATGGGCACTCCCGTAGCTCAAAGATGGTAATCCTTCTTATTTGTGGTAAATATTTTCTCTAGGCTCTTTTCTGATTTTCTGTGTGGTATTTTATAAAGTCTAATGTTGTTGTCTTCAAGGAACATTTATGGATCTTTCTTTTATGATTTCTTCCACTGCTTTTGAGCACAATAGTCCCTCCTCTGCGTAGCTTCTGATCATTATTCTTATTTACATGATACATGCTGCTAATATTTGCCTTATGAGATCTTTGATTTAGTGTTCTCCTTGAGTACCAATTACAGTCCTATGCAGAGGGAGGAGTGAAGTGTGATTAGACAGCGGCTTTGATTTCTGTTTCTATCTGGAGTCCAGTGAGAGTGGTCACCCATCACTTCCAAGTCCATCACTAAAAGCTCAGCTTCCTCTCTGCAATAATTACTTTGTTGAATAAAACCTATAATGAGCTAATCTCTGGGGTGTGTTTGTGAAGGACAATAAATAACATCCATACAATATCCTCCTGTGGCCCTTTGGAAAACAAGATTAACTTTTTTCAACAAAAGACAAAGGTGAATGTGAGTTTAATGAGCTTAAAATCAGTGGCCTTCCGAGCACTTCAGCTCCAAATTTTCTAGAAAAGGAAATGAAATGCTTCCAAAGAAAGAGAAGTAGGAAGACAGTGGTGGATATTCACAGCCAAATAAAGAGCTGTCCTTTACACCCCGAGGTATTGAGAACCAAAAGACCAGAAGTGTAAAACAGGAAGGGGAACTCAGCTACCAGCTCCTGCACCCCTGAATGGACTGTCACGGCATGAACGCAACCTGCAGATTGCTGCCTCCCTGGCACTCTGGCCCACTCTTCACGTGCCCCAAACAGGTTCCATGAAATGCTTTCATTTTCGCCACGTGCAGACAGCAGAGAAAGGCGTGATTGCCCAGTGCTCTTTGCTTTCCCAGCCCAGAGTTGGATGCACAGGAGCTTCCGCAGCAGGTGGAGATGAGAGGCTCCAGGAGAGAAAGCTGCATTAGCGCCCCCCAGCCTGTCTTCATGCATGGCTGCCCCCATTTCCCCTCTCTGCCATTCTGGATCCTTCGGACTCTTCAACACCCAGGAGGCATCTACCGCAACTCCAGTCCTCACCATGTCCCTTTTCCTCCTAAGGTACCTGAATCGCCACTTGGCATTTGGACAGCGGTGGGCGGTGTCCTGATTCCCCCGCACTCTATCACACAGCAACCTCCTGCATAGTCAGAGGCAGACATTCTGAGGCCAGCAGCACATCGCCAGTGATGGACCCAAATGCTGGGGCCTCACGGTGGCGACCTGCTGAGTCCAGGGAACTAACGTGGGTGACACGTTAGAACCACAAAGAAAAGAGACAGTCATTCTCTGGTGCTCTTACTTACTGATGGACAGTGTTGAGCATTTTCAGGCAGGTACCTGACACAGTCATATAAATAACTCTGATAATTAGCTATTAGCATCTCTGTTTTACACATCATAATCTTGGGCAAATGCCTAAATCCCTCTGAGACTAAGAACTATAGTTGTTCCTTGAACAAAATGTATGTGCTTTTAAAGTTTCTCTGCTTCCAGTTTTGTCACATGCAAATCTTTTCTACTTTATTTAAGGGTCTTTCCTTTTATTCAGCCTTATTGCTTTCCCAATAACAGTATTGGGAAACTATCACTGAGTCTGTCTTTTGGATCCCAGAGTTTTATTTTTATTTTTATTTTTATTTTTTTCTTTTTTTTAAATTTATTAGTATTATACTTTAAGTTTTAGGGTACATGTGCACATTGTGCAGGTTAGTTACATATGTATACATGTGCCATGCTGGTGCGCTGCACCCACTAACTCGTCATCTAGCATTAGGTATATCTCCCAATGCTATCCCTCCCCCCTCCCCCCAACCCACAACAGTCCCCAGAGTGTGATGTTCCCCTTCCTGTGTCCATGTGTTCTCATTGTTCAATTCCCACCTATGAGTGAGAATATGCGGTGTTTGGTTTTTTGTTCTTGCGATAGTTTACTGAGAATGATGATTTCCAAATTCATCCATGTCCCTACAAAGGACATGAACTCATCATTTTTTATGGCTGCATAGTATTCCATGGTGTATATGTGCCACATTTTCTTAATCCAGTCTATCATTGTTGGACATTTGGGTTGGTTCCAAGTCTTTGCTATTGTGAATAATGCCTCAATAAACATACGTGTGCATGTGTCTTTATAGCAGCATGATTTATAGTCGTCTGGGTATATACCCAGTAATGGGATGGCTGGGTCAAATGGTATTTCTAGTTCTAGATCCCTGAGGAATCGCCACACTGACTTCCACAATGGTTGAACTAGTTTACAGTCCCACCAACAGTGTAAAAGTGTTCCTATTTCTCCACATCCTCTCCAGCACCTGTTGTTTCCTGACTTTTTAATGATTGCCATTCTAACTGGTGTGAGATGGCATCTCATTGTGGTTTTGATTTGCATTTCTCTGATGGCCAGTGATGGTGAGCATTTTCTCATGTGTTTTTTGGCTGCATAAATGTCTTCTTCTGAGAAGTGTCTGTTCATGTCCTTTGCCCAATTTTTGATGGGGTTGTTTGTTTTTTTCTTGTAAATTTGTTTGAGTTCATTGTAGATTCTGGATATTAGCCCTTTGTCAGATGAGTAGGCTGCGAAAATTTTCTCCCATTTTGTAGGCTGCCTGTTCACTCCGATGGTAGTTTCTTTTGCTGTGCAGAAGCTCTTTAGTTTAATTAGATCCCATTTGTCAATTTTGGCTTTGGTTGCCATTGCTTTTGGTGTTTTAGACATGAAGTCCTTGCCCATGCCTATGTCCTGAATGGTAATGCCTAGGTTTTCTTCTAGGGTTTTTATAGTTTTAGGTTTAACGTTTAAGTCTTTAATCCATCTTGAATTGATTTTTGTATAAGGTGTAAGGAAGGGGATCCCAGAGTTTTAAAGACGACTATTGGCTCAGCAGAAAGGATCTCTACCACTTTCATACCCTATGTGGCTCCCAGGAGGAGAGGGGAAGGGGAGGGATTTCTACATCTTTTCTCTGCATCTGCATCTTTTCTCAGGGTCAAAAAATCATAAATCAATAATTTGGGGTTGTACTGAACAAAGTTAAGCCACGGGATTCTGGGTGCTATTTTCCAAAGTTGTCATTATTTTAAAATGTCTCTATTTCTTCTCTAAGGCATCCTTCAATTTTCTATTCTTAGAATCAGGCACAGTAAATTTGGTGTACTGTTTCCAAAGGGGGCAGCCAGTAATACCTGTTTTTTTTTTGTTTTTGTTTTTGTTTTTTCTGAGATGGAGTCTCACCCTATCACCCAGGCTGTAGTGCAGTGGCATGACCTTGGCTCACTGCACCCTACACCTCCCAGGTTCGAGTGATTCTCCTGCCTCAGCCTCCCGAGTAGCTGGGATTACAGGTGCATGCCACCACACCTAATCTTTGCATTTTTAGTAGAGACGAGGTTTTGCCATGTTGGCCAGGCTGGTCTCAAGCTCCTGACCTCGTGATCTGCCCTCCTCAGCCTCCCAAAGTGCTGGTATTACAGGTGTGAGCCACTGCGCCCAGCCAGTAATACATTTAAATTAGCTGTGCAATTCATCTTACACTACACCAAATGCTAAATAAATATCTTTAGGATAATAACAGTGAAGACAAGAAAGGTCTTCATTAAGAGGAATTCATGGTTCTTTTCTGTTATAATAAAATGTCATACAATGAGAAATTTAAAATTTTACAAAATATATGGAAAAATTTTGTTTCAAAACAATTACCTGCAAATATCTATCTCCAAAGGTGTATTTTGTATGTGTATGTGTGATTCCATGCTTGCCTATCTGGCTAAGAGTTAGTTTTCTTATTCTAAACCAAACTCATATCAGCTACTAATGGGAGATCTGAACTGGATAAAATGATTCTCTGGTTGGCACCAAATAAAAAGAATAACATAGTCAATCATGGCATCTGGTGGGCAGCCGCTAAAATGGCCCCAGTGGGAAATCCAAGGAGCCTTTCCTCATGATCTCATTCATGATCATAATTTCAGAGATCACCTAAAAAGATTCTTGGGTCCAAACCTACTTCCTAAAGCTTGAATTGACCTTTCATTGTCCCTCATAAGTCACTGCCTCACCTGTGCTCAAAACATGGCGTGGAGCCATGTCCTCCCTCAGAGGAACTCCACGCCATCTCTGGGGAGATGTGGCACTTAGGGCTGTGTTTATGCTTCCAGCCAGCAAACCTACCTCTCTTTGCTGTGGCCAGTGAGAGTCAGGAGGCGTCTCCCGCAAGGAGAGCCCTCAGGCCTTGGCTTCTCCAGGGCATGCAGACCACACTCCACTGCTTCCTGCACAGACAAACTGCTCCCTGGTCTCTCTTACCTCCAGGACACACCAAATAATTTCCAGCAGTATTCAAATGCCCCTGGAGGTCTCTGTCCAGCAAGACTCTATGCTCCTCCCACACACACCTGCACTCCCTCCAAGGTGCACCTCTCAGCCTTCCCCCAACACACCTAGACTTCTCGGCCTGTTTGACCTTGGCAAACTCTCTTCCCTTGAAGGATATTTTCATATATACATATTTCAGTAAATTGTATCTATTATTCAAGACTAAGTTAAAATTCAGTCTCTTCCATGAAGCACCCCTACCCTCCACCTGAATAGAAATGATATCCTTTCTTAGCCATTTAAAGTGCACACCCCAAATGGGGCAGAACAGAAGGCACCAACTGATGGGTCCCTCCCCCACCCCTGCGTTCTCCCATGCATCCACCTCTCTGCAGTAACTCTCATGCCCTATCAGGTAATTTACGTGCAGAGACAGACTTCTTTTCCATGGCAAGATGCACACAGTTCTTTTCTCAGAGGATGTTCTCAATATAACTGCTCAAAACAATTACCCAGAATTTTTTTTGACTACAAGAAAGATGTAAAGAAACTAACACCTGGCATTGGAGTTTAGGAGGTTCCAATTTCTAATCCATATATGACTGCCTCATTTCATCTTTCCAACAATTCTGCGAGGTTAACCGTGTAGGTAAGATTATCTTCATTTTATAGAAATAATAATGGAGTCTTTGAAAAATTGCATGAGTTATCCAATATAAATACAAAAATTAAGAAAAGTGTTACAGGCATGATCTAGATGTCTGGATTCTGGGGCCATTTTACCACACAGTTGCATTTGAACATAAAGACTCTGTTTAAACGAAATCAGTAATAGGTCACAAAGATCACGGTTACCTGGGAAGCAAACTTTCCTTTGGAGAGGGGAACCTTCCCTCTTTCTTTAAAAAAGGAAGGTGGTGACTCTAGAGATAGTGTGGCTTCTCCTGAGTTTCCAGAATCTAAAGATTCATTGTCATTGTTGCTTTGGTCTCTCTCGCCTCAGATACTGCCATAAGAATCAACACTGGGTTGACGTTTTAAATATGCTATTCATTGTGAATTATTAACACAGCTGCTTATCAATTAAGAGCCCTGCTCCAACAGCTTACATAAAGGCGTCATTGGAAAGAGTCAAGCCCTCAGAAATATTTTACCCTGGAGAAACAATATCTTTCCTTCTGAAGAAAGTATTTTTCAAATTTGTTTTTCTAAGCAATCAAGTGTGTCCCATGGAAATGACCTTCAGTGTGCCTGAGTCTTGCTTCTTTTAAGAAAAGAACGTCTGAGATAGATAGAAGTGATAAATGAACAAGGTCTGCAAAACATAATTTCCCCCCTCAAGAGAATCACGCCTCTGAGACACCAGAGTCTGGTACTCTGGGAGACAAGTGATGTGTGAATGCACCTGGCACACCTCATTTTCTGCTAGTTGTGTGTGTTTCACTTTGCAAAATGAAAACAGCATAACCAGGAGAGAGAGAGAGAGAAAATATGAAGGATGTCCCTCTACTTGAAATGGAGAAAAAAATATGACCATAAAATAGAAAGGAAAAAGAAATAGGATGATGGCAGATAACGTTTTCTTCTTATGATCACATTGGTGCCCAAATACAAGGGTGTTCAGATTGGTCACGAAGTCTTTGATGTGCAAATGAACAAAGGCGATACTATCACTGCATACAACCTACAAATGAATCTCAAAGGTAAATCTGGCAGTGTGATGGTGTAGCATGCTAATGCTTAGAGTTAAGATCATCTTGGATTGAATCCAAATTCTGTTACTAATTAGTTGAGAGATCTTAGGCAATTATTTAAATTATCTGCCCCTCGGTTTCCTCATTTTTAGGGATGGGCTTAAAAATGAGTACCTCACAGAGGTATTGGCAAAACTAACAAGCTACATATGCACAACATCTGGTGACTGCCTGTGCCTCACAGATGCTCAATATACTGTCTCAATATAGTGTCATTAACACCCTCAACCTCACACCCTGACGCATTATGTACATCTAGGGTTGGTGCTCTGATTCTTCCTAACAGTTTTACCATGCCCAGAATTCTGCCATATTTTACGGCATCACAGTGGTTGGGTAAAAATCTAGAAATGTATTTTTAGGGAAAATTAAATTGACACGAATAAACACCTGGAAACCATTTTATTTAAAAGATTGACTGAAAGGCTCAAAGGCACCAAGACCTAGAAAGATTTGGAGATCTAGAAGGGGAAAGAGTGGTGTTTATTAGAGAAGACACCTTTGCTGCTTTCTTTCCTCCCAGTACAGCACAGCGCAAACAAATGTATCACACACCTGCTGGTCAGCTTCTTCATCCACATCTCAGGAGTGTTTAAAAGTGAACAAACATATTAGAACTCATCCCAAATGCTGCAACATCAACATTTCCATCGGAATTTGAGTAGCTTCCCCATCAGAAGTGAATTAACAGCATGAAGTGTTAACAGCATGAAGTATTAACAGCATGAAGTGTTAACAGCATGAAGTGGAGGCATATGATTTATTGTGGGTCATTCACTGATAATTTATTCTACTGAAATCATGTCACACACAACATGGATAATATTTTATTCAATAGTGCAGGTGTGACTTCATAACAAAGACATTGCATTTGGGGAAATACATTATTTTCTATCAATTGGACGATTCTAGAATACTCTCTCGTTTCTAAAGGAGGTTTATCAATGAGAAATTAAAACTAAAATGTGATTCTTCTATTCCTTTCTCAGGCAGATTGTCTCTTCCATTACCATTTTCATAAGATATAGATTAAAATTGAACATGTGCAGTCTTTTTATAATTCTGGTAAGCCACTTTATACTAGAGTTCAGTTGGTGCGCACTGCTTAATGCTCATGAAAAAAAACATCAGAAGTGCCTTCATTTTGACCTTATTTTATATTATTTAAAATAATCTTATTAGATTTATCTTATAAATCTAATTTATATTATAAATTTATCTTATAATTTTACATTTATCTTCTAAATTTATCTTATAAATCTAATTTATCTTACTAGATTATTTAAAATAATCTATTTCATTAGATTATTCCAAAAGCAGGTCCCATTTCATTCTGTTTCATAGATTTCATCATTTATTATAATGTTCTTCCTCTGCAAAAAAAGAGTACTTTTTTTGTTTTTGAGATGGAGTGTTGCTCTGTCGCCCAGGCTGGAGCGCAGTGGCGCGATCCCAGCTCACTGCAACCTCCGCCTCCTAGGTTCAAGTGATTCTCCTACCTTGGCCTCCTGAGTAGCTGGCATTATAGGTGCATGCCACCACACCCAGATAATTTTTTGTGTTTTTAGTAGAAACAAGGTTTCGGCATGTTGGCCAGGCTAGTCTTGAACTCCTGACCTCAGGTGATTCACCCACCTTGGCCTCCCAAAGTGAGCCACTGTGCCTGGCCGAGAATACACTTTGTGTGTGCTCTAACACGTAATAACTCTGTGTAATGAAAAATATCAGGGAAACCAAAGTTGTGCTCCAGGCTCCTTTAATCTTCATTACAATCCTTCACCGATTGTCTTTTTATCTTTCTTTCAATATGAGCACGAGATAGCATTCCCTTGGTTCAGGAAGGTGCTAGCTGGACAATTACTCTCTCTGAAGTTATAGGAAAAGAGGATCATTATACTTATTTCCCTCCCTCCCTTTCTTCCTTCCTTTCCACTCCACAGTATTAGAATAAGGGTCCTGTCCACACGTGTAGCACAGCTCTCACAAGTGCAGGCACAGGAGTTAAATAGAGTTTAAATCACAGTCCCACTATTTCCTGGCCTGGTGGCTTGGACATGTTACTGAACATCTCTCAGCCCTGGTTTCTCATCTGTAGAATGGAAAGAATAGCAGTACCTACCTAGGAGGTATTTTGAGTAGTAACTACATAATGAACATGAATTGTTTTGCACAGTGTCATGCACATAGTAAGCACATAATCATTGTTATAATTTTTATTTGTGCCATTATTTGAGTGACTGGAGAGTTAAATCAGGTCAATTCAAAAATAACAATTCGTAAGTATATTCTCTTCCGAAGTCATAAGGACTTTAAAAAAAGCAATCAATGTAATAATCTCAATTGATGCAGAAAAAGCATTTGACAGAATTCAACAGCGCTTTATGATTAAAAAAAAAAAAAACTCAAGAAATTAGAAATAGAAGAGAACTACCTCAAAATAAATAAAATCCATACAAAAACCCAGAGTGAACATCATACTCAATGACAAAAGACTGAAATATTTTCCTTTAAAATAGAGAACAACGTAAGGATGCCAACTTTTACCACTTATTTGATTCAACAGAATATTAGAAGTTCTAGCCAGAACAATTAGACCAAAAATAAAAAAAGAAAGAAAAGTAATTTAAATCAGAAAAAAAAGTAAAATGATCTGTTTACACATGATACAATTTTATATATAAAAACCTTAAGGATCCCATTTTTTAAAATCCTGTTAAAACTAATCAGTACATTCTGCAAAATTTCAAAGTCCATGCACAATATTCAGTTGAATTTCTCTATGCTAACAATGAACAATCTGAAAAGGAAATGATAAAAACAACTCCATTTACAACAGCATCAAAAAGAATAAAATACTTAGGAATTAACTTAGCCGCGGAGGTGAACAACTTGTAAAATGAAAACTACAAAGCCTTGCTGAAAGAAATTAAAGAAGACATAATTAAATGGAAACACATCCCATGTTCATGGATGGGAAGACTTAATGTTGTTAAGATGTCAATGCTACCCGCTACAATATGAAAGTTTGTTTCCCCCCAAAATTTGTATGTTGAAACCTAACCTCCAACCTGATGGTATTAAGAGGTGAGGGACTTTGGGAGTTGATTAGGTCAAGAAGGCAGAATGTTCACGGATAAGATTAGAGACCTTACAAAAGGCCTGAAAGAGCCTGTTTGTCCCTTTCATCATTTGAGGACACAGAGAGAAGGCACCATCTATGATAAACACACCCTCATCAGATGTGAAATCTGCCAGTGCCTTAATCTTAGACTTTTCAGACTCCAGAATGGTGAGAAATAAATGTCTGTTGTTTAGAGGCTACCTAGTCCATGGTATTACGTCATAGCAGCCCAAATGAAGTAAGGCACCACACAAAGTGATATACAGACTCAACACCATCTCTATCGCAATCCCAATGCATTAAGTAGAGAGCCAAGAAACTTGCATATATGGACAAATGACTTTTGTTAAAAGTCCTAAAATCATTCAGTGAGGAAATGTCAGTTCTTTCAACAAATGATTAGGAAAAGTGGATATTGGCATACAAAAGAATAAAGCTAGACCCTTACCTTACACTATATACAAAAATTAACTCAAAATGGATCAAAGACCTAAATGTAAGATCTAAAACTATGAAACTCTTAAAAGAAAAGACAGGGCAAAACTTCATGACATTTGGTTTGTCCATGATTTCTTGGCATTGATTTATTGTCACCAAAGGCATAGGCAACCAGGAAAAATAAACAAATAGGACTTCGAGAAATTGTTTAAAATTTTGCATAAAAGACAATATTAATAGAATAAAAAGGCAACCCACAGGAGAGGAAATAATATTTGCAATTCATATATATATATGTAATAAGGAATTAACAAATAGAGAACTTCTAAAACTCAAAAAATACAACAAAACAACTCAATTCAATAATGGGCAGAACTTTTAAATAGACAGTTCTCCAAAAAAGGTACACAAATGGCCAAATAGCATATGAAATGATGCTCAACACCACTAATCATTAGGGAAATGCAAATCAAAACCACAATGAGATCCTCTTTAGTAGGATGGCTACTGTTAAAAACAAACAAACAAACAAACAGAAAATAAGTTAGTGAGGATGTGGAGAAACTGAACCCTTGTGCACTGTTGGTGAGAGTGTAAAACGATAGAGATGCTGTGGCAAACAGTATGATGGTTCCTCAAAATATTAAAAATGAAATAACCATATGATCCAGCAATTCCACTTCTGGTATACAGCATTATTCATAATACCTAAAACATGGATGGAAACCAAGAGTCTATCAACTGATAAATGGATGAGCAAAATGTAACATACACATACAATGGAATACTATTCAGACTAAAAATTGAGGGAAATTCAGACACATGCTACAACATGGAGGCACCTTGAGGACTTATATTAAGTGAAACAAGGCAGTCCAGAAAGAAAAATGCTTGATGATTCCTCTTATACAAGGTACTTAAGAGTAGTCAAAATCATGGAGACAGAACATTGGATGGTGGTTGCTAGCGATTGGGGGAGGGAGGAATGAAGAGATTGTTTAGTAAGTACAGAGTTTCAGCTACACAAAATGAAAAGAGTTGCAGAGATAGATGGTGGTAATCATCATACAACATTATTAATGCATTTAATACCACCAAATTATACACCTCAAAATGGTTAAGATGGACAATTTTATGTTATATATATTTTACCATAATTTTAAAAATTGGAGAAAAAAGTAGTCAATAAAAATCCCAAAGTTACTGGGTCTGAGAGGACAAAAAAAAAAAAAAATTGAACAATCTCCATTGTGTGGGCCAACTCCAAAGCTTATCCACAGCCTACTCCCCTCTTTTAAGTCCCAAGTCCCAGAAAAACAAGTCTGAAGACAATTATAACCAAATTTGTTTTGATAATACTTTCCCTGAGTAACTTATGCTTAAAGAAAAGTCATAAACAGTACTTGGTCCACATACCAGGCTCAGTTTGCACTAGGCTCGTCCAAGGCAATGCTACTATACAAATTCTAATAGTTTCTCCTGCTATGCTTTAAGCTTTAGCACAGAGCATTCAGATTGCAATTTGCTTCCAGAAAAGGAGGTCCTCCATTTGGGGGCAGTTAAAGCTTCATTTTAAGTCCAAAAATGATCTACATTCCTCAGCCGTTTAGACTCTTAGCCACTCAAGAGTCTACATTGTTCTGCACTCTGTACATTTCTAAATAAGTCTAGTCCAAATACTTAAAAGGACTACAGAAAATGGTAAATATTTGGAAGAAGAAAAAGTTTAAGACTTTAAATGCAAATTAAAAGCATCAAGCCAGTCTAATTCCAGGGTTTAAATCTAGATGTATTTTCTTCTGATGAATGGTGGAAGACAATACTTTGATCTCCTGAATTCTCTTTTAAGTAGCTCTTGACCCACAGCTGATGTCTCCCGAGTAGGCAGCCTCTGGCCCAGCCCCGCGTGCTCACCAAGCAATGCCTTTGCCATGGGACTTTGGGGAGGGCCCCCTGCCTTGAAATTTTGCAAATTACCTGCCATTCCTTCTTCCCTAGATTCTCTAATTCTACACAATTATAACCTTGTGCCTCCTGGGGCCTTCTCTAATCCAAATACAGTAAGACATCAATTACCCAGAAAGCTCTGGGAATGAGGATTGTAGTTAATTTAATTTTCTAATTAACTGAGGACTAACAAGAAATGCTGCTTTGCTTCAACTCCCGATTCAAAAACCTTCCTACGAGGTATTGGTCCAACATCTACCCTAAGTCAAATAAACAAAATCCAACTTGGATGACTGAAGATCTCACAGACTCAAAGCCCACAACCACCTCTCACTGAACACCGGTCTCAGAGCTGGAGGATGTGGTGAATCCACTCTCCACCTGCATGAAATAACCTCCAGGGGCTGCGGTATTGTCATGTACTTCTTCTTAAAGTGGGTTTAAAAAGAAAAGAAAAAGTTCATCAACTGAGGTTTCTGCTGAGATGGGTTCAGGTTAAATCACTTACACCCACCCATTTCTTAGTTGAATATCTATTAAAATAGCACAGTTGTTTGTTTGTTTGTTTGAGTCAGAGTCTCTCTTTTGTCACCCAGGCTGGAGTGCAGTGGTGCCATCTCAGCTCACTGCAACCTCCGCCTCCCAGGTTCAAGCGATTCTCCTGTCTCAGCCTTCCGAGTAGCTGAAATTACAGGTGTGTGCCACACACCCAGCTAATTTTTGTATTTTTAGTAGAGACAGGGTTTCACCATGTTGGCCAGGCTGGTCTCGAACTCCTGAGCTCAACTGATCTGCCTGCCTCAGCCTCCCAAAGTGCTGGGACTATAGGTGTGAGCCGCCGCGCCCGGCCAGAATAGCACATTTTCTGACATGGAATCTCCAGTGCTTTAAAAAACAACCTCTCTTCTTTCTTCTGGTAATATGGTCATACTAGTATGACCACTGTCATTAGGAGAGGTCACTGCTGGTTGCTGTTCTCTTGGTGCACTGATCTCCGAGACCTAAAGCAACCTTGTGCTAGAGGGGAATCCTAAACATTGTGTTTTACCCAGAGAACCCTACATCAGGTCACTATCCTGCCTTCATCAGCACCCACACTTTATCCTCACCATTGGGAAGAACCAACATCTTTGCTGATAAGCATCTATAGCCAAGATGAACAAGAGGAGCTGGTGAGAGGCTAGAAGCAGGGGCTTCATCAGGACAGAGGGGATGAAATCTGAGAGAAGAGGAACCACAGGGGAGGGTTATTGACCGAAGCTGCCCAAATGATGGACTAAGGGAGGCAGTGTTCCCTGTAACCTGAATTAAGGAGAAATAGGTTTTAAGAGGAGTACAGTTTAAGACGAGCTGAATTTGGGTCTGGAAAGACGCACATTCAGAGATGTGCCTACCAATGATGAGGAACGCCAAGTAGGGGATTAGGAGAGTCTAAAACTACCAACATAAATTTAGCAGACATGAACCCAGAAGTGACACCTGAAGCCATGCAGACTGGGAAGACTGGGGATGGAGGAGGTACAGGGGCATCGGTGGAAATTACCGATCAACTGCCAACACACAGAAAACAAAATGCTGACACCCCAAAAGGACTGAGTAAAACACAGCAAATTCTAAGATGCGGCGGCTGCTCTTGGTATTTTCTGACTGAGAACCGCCCCCACGCGTGGCACTGTGTATGAATCAAGGGCATACGGATGCCGCGCGGCGGACAGTGATGGTAATCTGTGATATTTCCAGAACGCCCGCTGCAGCCCAGGGATGGCACTGACAGCTTTATGCACATCACCTCATTTAATCCCAAACAGTAGGTGGGCTGATCCGCCCCATTTTACAGACAAGGACATTGAGGTGCGGAGAAGTAAAGCAACCGCCCAGGTCACATGGTTAGAAACGGTGGGACCCTTCTGACGACTGTACGATCTGATGATAAATCATGTGTTTGAGACTCGGGGCCTGCAAGTGATCCAACAAATGGCATGGCAACGGGCACAGGAGTAGTCGGGAGGGTCTCTCAGAAGAGGACCGTGTGGAACCTGGATGATACAGGATGGGGGTCATGAATGCTAGGAAAGGCTTTTCTCTGAACGGAAAACACAGGGGCAGTGCCAGAGAAGACGGCGGCGATGGCCCAGCTAAGCCCCGTTCCTCCTTGCTGCTTCTTCCACCTGCGTTTCTCTTTGAAGGGTCCAGGTTCCACACTCTGCCTGGCGTTTGCTCATGTGAAGTCCTACAAGCAGTCTCACCCCTGAAAATGATTGCTTCTTACCCATGTCTTACAGTTTTACAATTTACAGAGACATCTATTTAAAACATCTGCAGATCTTACAGTTTTTCTGCTTGAAACTCTCCAACACCTTCCAATCTCACTCAATACCTCCAATCTCACAGAATAAAACCCAGCACCTTCCAATCTCAAAGAATAAAAAAAACTCAAACTCTCCAACACCTTCCAATCTCACTCAGAACAAAACTCAAAGCCTCCCTGTGGCCTGCAGGTGCTGCTTGAGCACACTCTGCCCCCAGGTAATCCATGGTCAACCTACCTCACTTAAGTGAGAGCCCTCCCTGATCCCCAGTGGAATACTGAACCTGTCTTACTTTAACCCTCCACCCTACCTTCCTTTATTTCTCTACATGACAGATATTTCCTTGTTGATTATTACCTTCCCCCACTTGCATCTGAGCCCCTAATAAGCTAACTGGCATGCAGTAGATGACCAATCAATTGTTCAATTAATGAATAAACAGGAAAAATACCAGCTCCTTTCCACACTCATACCATTGTACTACCAATTAAAGCTGTCATGGAGGACACCCACTTGAATGCATACATTCTGGCAGGTAGTAAGAACAAATTAGACCACTTTAGAATTGAACATTGCAAACCCGCATATTTGTAGTAACAGCTATTCTTACAAGGCTGCTTATAATGTCACTGACTAGAAATTAGGTCAATTGTATTAATCTGGCTTTTGTAATAATCACCCATCCAACTTCAAAGCTTAGGTATTTAATCCTTTTAGGAATAATTCAATTGCTATGTATGAAAGTTATCGTGTGAGTTTTAATTAAATGGGCTTTTGTCTAAGAATAAACTTGCCTATTACATTTTGAGGACTGCCAGAATGCAAGGAAAATTAGTATACTATGTTGTACATCTTCAAGACATTATCTAGCTCATAAATTTGAAAATAAAAAACCCTGCCTTTGTTTTATAAATATTTAGGCACTAAAATAAATCATAAAATGCTATCGAATATATTATTGTTTGACATGAATTCAAAACACAAATGGTCAGTTCTCAGATGCAAAGCCATAGTGAAATAATTACAGGCTACTTCATAAAATTATCAAGACACTGATTTTTTTCAGCAGTGAAAAAAAAAATTTAAGGAAAACTTCTTGAAATCAGAAGCACTTGTTGAGCTGATGAAATCATCTCCTTTTTATTAATTTCTAATTTACTGTTTTCAGCCTGAAATGAAAATATCTAGATTTCAAGGCACGATTAATCTTTCAGAAGGCAGCACCATCCATTAAACTTCCTTATCTTATCATTGTGTGAGGTTCCTGGGCCACACAGGAGAGTGGCCGACATCGCCTGTGACTTTCAAAATCTTCACTCTGCTTTCCTCCCAGGTGCTCTGGGATTGCTGATATCAGCAAGAATGCCCTCCTAACTAATTTATCGACGTTTCTACATAAATCAGATACATAAGGTGAGGGAGCCGTGAACTTTCTGGAGACTGGGTGCTCACTGCGGGGACGGTAATCCATCAAGGTGAACGACAGCTTTCCCAACCAGCTTAAACTACAGCAGGTCTACTGCTCGAAAGAAAAATCAAAACGCTCAGGGGACTGAAATGGGCTCTTGGAATGTCATTTGTAGTAGCAAGTATATTTGAGAAGGAAAGAGATCACTGGGAAATAAGACATACATCTTTGACAAATGGAAAAGTCTATTAAATTATCTCAGACCTATGATTCTAACTTTACTTAAATGACAACGGATATGTTTTCTGCACCTGAAATCTACTTTCCTTTATCATTACCAGGCATAAACCCACAGTTCTCTTAAAAGCCTGGTCAACGCTCCACCCCAAACCACCCCCATTCACATCTTCCCTGTGATGTGAACAGTAGCGTCCCACCCTCATGCCCTCCAGCTCCTGTTAGACATAAGCCAGGCAGCCAGAGCACGCTGGCCTGGGCATCAGGGCAGGTTCTCCCCAGCAGACCCTGGCAGAGATAATGCACTCATTATCTCTGGTCTACTCTCTCCTTTGCAAAATGGTCCCAATGCCTGGATTATATCTGAATCAAAACCAAAATCTCAGAGTCGCATATCCTGAAGTAACTACTCCAAGAGTTTTGGGGGGAAGACTTGGGCATTTTTAAAAAGTGCTCCAAGTAATTCTGATGATTAAATTTGGAAACTACTGGATTTGAAAGTCAATGTCTTCAAAGTCTCAAAAGAACATAAACAATGTTTAGATAATTGTTTAAACCATTTAGCAGTATAACTCATTCATTCAATCACTATATATTTTTTGACAGGGTCTCTCACTCTGTTGCCCAGGCTGGAGTGGTGTGATTACAGCTCGACCTTTCAGGCTCAAGCAATCCTCCTACTTCGAGCTCCCAAGTAGCTGGGACTACAGGTGTGCACCACCACATCCAGCTAGTTTTTTGTATTTTTAATAGAGATGGGGTTCCGTCATGTTGCCCAGGCTGGTCTTGAACTTCTGGGCTCAAGTGAAACTCCCCCCTTGGTCTTCCAAAGTGATGGGATTACAGGCTGAGCCTTTGCACTCAGCACAATCACTGTGTTTTGAGCACCCACTGCATGCCATGTACTCTTCTAGGTGCTGAGTGTACAACAGTTGAAAAAAAAAAGTAGGCAATTCCTGACCTCATGGAGCTGACCTTCCAGACACATGAGATGTCAGATTGTGAAACAAGAAACAGAAAAAATAAGCAGAAGAGAAAGTCGGGGAAGGTATGGCGTACAAAGAGCTACCAACTGTGGTTAGTCACCAGCTTCTCCTGGTGACTGACATAAAAGGGGGTGAAGAACGTGGGATTAGTCCAGAATGTCCCAAAGCCTACAGTAATCCCTTTGGCAGCAGGGGCTGTGGGGCTCGGTTGGGGGGAGGCTGTAGAGGACTGGATGAAAACAGTACATGATAATGTGGGGGCTGGTGAAGGAGACAGCTTCACTCATATGAGAAAATAAATGGTAGGGACCCTACATGGTAAAAGCAAACAACATAGATGAGAGTCTGGGTGGATCACATGATCCTCCTGGAGATGCTATGTCCATGGCCTGGGCCCACCCACCTGCTGGGCTCCTGCTCTTTCAGCCTTGGCTTGGATGTCTCCTCTTCCAGGAAGCCTTCCTGAATTCTCCCAAGACTTGGCTAGAAAACCCACCTATAGTCTCCTAGCATCTCATTGCCATCTTGCAGCAACTATGGCCTTTGAATTTATGGACATGACTCCCTCCCCTCCTAGTCTTTCAGTTCCCTGAGGGCAAGGACTGTGTGTCACTGTGTTCCAGGCTTAGTCTGGGACCAGCACATATCAAGAAAGCCTTCCCTGCTTGCTGGAATGAATGGTAGCCTCCTTCTGCCTCTATGAATGATGTAGGTCACTTCAGAATTTGTCCGGAGCTCAGAGACCAAGAATGACCTAGTTCTAGAGCAATGATGCTGTTACTTGAAGTCTATATAGCTTCATTTTCTCTTCTTTCCACACTCTTTCGCCCCTTGCCTATGTTCTCTTCCAGGTCCACATGCTGTCCTGCCTCACTTGATCTTTCTGTAACCTCACTCTGGAAAAGCCCCTTCTCACAGCTGTGGTTTCTGCACCCTGCACGCTTGCTCACCTGCCCACCCATGCTCAAGCCCTCCTCTGCTTTGCCATTTACTATTTCCGTCATCCACAGCCTGGCTCCATGCACTTTTATTTCCAGGCTCACCCACGGGGTGCTTCATCTCTGTGAGAAGTGGCTTCAACCAGTATTGCACGAGCTCAGTGGACACTCCAACAAATGGCATATGTCTCCAGCTAACGCTACTTTTGTTCTCCTCAGCTTTCTCTAAGTAGATGGGGTTTTTGCATCTCCTGTTCCGAGTTAACCTAACTTTTACATATGAAACAGGGTAATCCAGTGGAGAGCTAGAATCCCTTTGCTTAAAAAAGTTGCCTTCCTGTTGGATCCTCCTGGTGGACTGGTCTTCATGATATTCATGAAGTGAGCTGACATGGCAGTAGTCCGATTTCTAGATCTCGTTCTCATCAACCTGTGAGCCAGTCTTAGTGTCTCATCAAGACACCACCCTAAGCCTCTTCCTTCTCTGTATCTCAGCACCCCACTGCAAGGAATGCCCCCTCTTGCACACCCCCCAAATCCTTTCCCTTCAAGCATCTCTCCAAGTTCAGTCTCCTCCTGCAAATCTTTTCTGAATGTTCTCGATCCAAGTGACCTCCTCCTACTCATGGAGAAGACAGACAGAAGCATGGTGGGGGTGGGGGGCAGGAGGAACACAAACGGATGCCTAGATGGTGCTCCTGGTCAATATGGGGGCACTGGAAATGCGAGAGGATGGAAACAGTTGCAACAAGATAAAACCTACATGGATACAGATTAAACCTCATAATACCGATTTCAGAGTTTAAATATGTGATGTGATCCTGTTTGTCACTTTAGGGAAAATAAGGCAGCGATGTCCACACCTGAGGGCCACAGAAATGGAAAGAGGAATCTTGGCACTAGCAGCATTTTTCCTGAGCACACCTTGTACTTTTGCAAGAAAGGGTTGGCTTTCTGGAAGAATGATATCATGAAGACCAGACTACCAGCAGGGGAAAAAATCAACAAAAACTGTGATTCCATAGTGCTTCTTGCTTTTTACAGGAAAGCACCTGTTCATCAATCAAAGTTCTGGCTGTTCAAAGGCTGTGAGGGGCTGCAGAGACCACCCCTCAGCCTGCCTAGCAATGACCCCTCAGGACTCACTTATTGAGTAATCAAATACCATCCTTCTTGCTTTCTCTGTGAATACTCGCTGAGACCAGTGAGTACGTAAGATTCTGATACTGTTTTGAGGAATTCATCCGTACACAGGTGCCATCAACTGGGAGTTAAATGTCAGTGATTAATCCCAGCTGGGCAGGTACATTGCTGGAAGTGTCATGGCCTGTGCCAGCCAGGGTTGCAGCTGAACCTCATGACAACCCACGAGGGAATATTTAGCATCTCATATGATCACACCACTCTGGATAACACAACAAGGGCCAGTCTCTAAATAAATAAATAAATAAAATTTAGCATCTTGATTGACAGATGAGGGACTTTAGTCTCACAGAGATGAATGGGCTTCCTCCCACCACCCAGCACTGTGGAGGCGGAATCTGATCACAGATGCACAGAACTCAAGTCCCACCCCTGTCAGCTTGTCTTCTCTCCCTGAAGAACTTGATTCACAACCCCACGGGTGGCGGAGTGACCCAAGAGCATGTGTCGCTGTGAAGTGGGGTCTTCATGGTAGAAGGCACGAAGCCAAGCATTTGATGAAAAATGCATAATGCAAGAAAGAAAAAAAATTGGGAGGCCGAGGCGGGCGGATCATGAGGTCAGGAGATCAAGACCATCCTGGCTAACACGGTGAAACCCTGTCTCTACTAAAAATATAAAAAATTAGCCAGGCATGGTGGCGGGCACCTGTAGTCCCAGCTACCGGGAGGCTGAGGCAGGAGAATGGCGTGAACCTGGGAGGCAGAGCTTGCCGTGAGCCGAGATCGCACCACTGCACTCCTGGGCGACAGAGCGAGACTCCCTCTCAAAATAAATAAATAAATAAAATTTAAAAAACTATATAATACTTTCTAATTTACCTTGTTCACTGAAGAATATAGTATAGACAATTTCCTTTAGAGCTATATCATCATCTGTAACAGTTTCAGAGTATCCCACTGTCTATATGTACCCTAATTTAATCATTCCACTACTGATGAACACTCATATTTCAAACTTTTGCTATTGTGAGAAATGTCACCTGGGCGACAGAGCGAGACTCTGTCTCAAAAAAAAATAAAAGAAAGAAAGAAAGAAAGAAAAAAAGAACTTAGACATGAGCCAAAGTGTTACTGCAGAACGTTACTAGAGCTTTCCATTTTTTTGGAAATAAAATTCAGTGAACTCACTTATCTGGTTCTCACTGTGTTTTTCACTAAAAAACTGTTAGTATAGAGAGGCAGTGTGACAACAGACAGATTTCGAGATCTCACCCTCATCGGCCTGTGAGCTGGTCTTAGTGCCTCATCAAGACACCACCCTGCACCTCTTCTTTCTCTGAATCTCAGCACCCCACTGCAGGGAATGCCTGCTCCTTCCACTCCCCACATCCTTTTCATTCAAGTGTCTGCCCAAGTTCAGCCTCCTCCCACAAATCTTTTCTGAATGTTCTCAATCCCAGTGACCTCCTTCTCCCAGAGGCATTTAAGATGCCATTGGATGCCACAATGCCTTGACTTGTCCTTTCCTGATTCAGGTCTTTACACCGCACTTCCTCAAATAAACAATAATCTTCCTGAGGGACAGGGGATGCCACCTTCCTCATTACTGGAGGGCAGAGTCCTTGTCTCACAGACACCTGAGCTTGGGTCCCACCAGTGTGCACCAACGCTCTTAGCGCTCCAGTCTCGACCATCAAATGAGGATGATGGTGCACCTGCCAGGGAGCACCCGGGAGACTGAATGGGGTGAGCGTGCAGAGTCCCAGGTGCAAAGCAGCTGCTCCCTGAGCAAGAGGGACCATGGAGGCCATCACCGTGATGCTGGGCAGACTCAGGCTCTTGCAGAGGAGTTTAAAGAATCCTTTCATGAATCGAAGAGATGGGTATTATTTTAAAGAATTCATTAACACTTTTTTTTTTTTTTTTTTGGAGACAGAGTCTCACTCTGTCACCCAGGCTGGAGTGCAGTGGCACAATCTTGGCTCACTGCAACCTCTGCCTCCTGGGCTCAAGCGATTCTCATGCCTCAGCCTCCCAAGTAGCTGGGATTACAGGCACGCACCACCATGCCTGGCTAATTTTTGTATTTTTTGTAGAGACTGGGTTTCACCATGTTGGCCAGGCTGGTCTCGAACTCCTGACCTCAGGTGATCTGCCCACCTCAGCCTCCCAAAATGCTGGGATTACAGGCGTGAGCCACTGTGCCCAGCCCACTAACACATGTTTAAAACTGTTGAGTCATTAATCAGAGAAAAAAATCTTCCACCATATTTTTTCATGTAATTATTGACAATGCATGTTACTTTCTTATATTAAATTTGACTAGAATGTTTTACACCTAGGAATAATCAACATGCCCTCGACGGTGAAAATATTCTCATATTAAACAATGTTTTGCAAATCGATGCGAACTCAAATGCAAGTGTTTCCATTAATTAGAGGAGCCAGAAGAAATAGGAGATGTGAAGAGGCTGCAAAGTGGAAAACAGGAAATTGTATTTTATGAGTTGCGAAGTACTCAGTTCAGAAGGGCAGAGGAACAGTTAGTGTAAATACTATAGGAATTCCAAGTATTGGCTCATTCACATTTCCACTTCAGCCTGTTATATATTAATAGTTTTCTGATTGTGCACCCTGGGCCTTGCCAGAAATAGTCACACATTAATAACAGCTGTAGTCTGTGAATTATGTTCCACCTTGTCAGCAGGTTCATTTTGATATACTGAATCTGATGAGCTAATAATTCTCCCTCCTGTATGTTTTGGCAGGTTTGAGATTTTAAAAGGAATATTGGCCAGGCACAGTGGCTCAAGCCTGTAATCCCAGCATTTTGGGAGGCCAAGGCGGGCGGACTACCTGAGGTCAGGAGTTCAAGACCAGCCTGGTTAACATGGTGAAACCCCATTTCTACTAAAAATACAAAAAATTAGCTGGGCGTGGTGGTGCGTGCCTGTAAACCCAGCTACTTGGGAGGCTGAGGCAGGAGAATCGCTTGAACCCAGGAGGCAGAGGTGAGCTGAGACCGCACCATTGCACTACAGCTTGGGTAACAACAGCAAAACTCTGTCTCAAAAACAAACAAACAAAAAGGAATACTAAAATATATACCACCAACCACATGTGAACAAGGAAGAAAAATTATGGCAGAAGAAGGCAACTAGTGAGCTCATTCATTCCCTAACAAATAAAGGAGAAAAAACACATGAAGAGCGCTGAGCGCTGAGCGCAGCACAGAGTAAACATTTGTTAGCTATTAGCTATTTTTATTGTTACCATCCCATGGATTGGAAAATGATGAAGGACAAATCCTTGAACTTGAAAGAATAAAAATTCCTACCAGAATAGGCGTATCTCCCAGGCTGCCTCAATGGTTAATTAAGATTCAACTGACATCTTGACAACAAGTTCTAAAGTTTGCACACCATCCGTCAGCAATCCTCATTTCAAAAGGGGGAAGCTTGAAATACAGGATGCCCTGTGGTGGCGCAAGCTTGTGGTCCCAGCTACTTGGGAGGCTGAAGCAGAATTGCTTGAACCTGGGAGGTGGAGGCTGCAGTGAGCCAAGATTGCAGCACTGCACTCCAGCCTGGGTGACAGAGTGAGACCCTGTCTCAGAAGAAGAAAAAAAATGCGGACGATTTTGAGCAGAGGGAGTCACTCGCAAGCAAACCTGCATCTGCGGCTCACTTCAAATTTGAGCCCCATGCTGCTGCTTCTGCAGAGATCATTGAAAAAAAAAAAAAAAGGAAAAAAAAAGGGGGGTTTCTGAAAGAAAAAAGCCCCACTCAAGAGGACAGGAAAACCTGGTTTGCATGTAATTTCCCTGGGCGCAAGCTGTCCTCCAGATTTACCTGCAGCACAGGGCCTCTCTGTGTCATCCCATGACCCCTCTGGAGAAATAGCACAGAAGCTCGGACACCAATGACAAATGTCCCTCCACAGTTTTTGAAGGGCCCGGCCCAGGAGAGGACAGAAACAAGTCACAATGGCAGCAGACCCACAGTTGCCCTGCACCATTGCAAAGATAAATGGAAATACACACACATGCAGACACATACATGGATACATACAAATACTCTCATGTAATAATACACACACATCAGACAGAATTGGTTTCCTAACCCTGTTCTATAATTATCTTTTTATGTTTTCCGTGTTGCTGAAACCAGCATTTTTCGGATCATAAGTAGCCTAAACCAGTAACAAGCAGCGCATTAAGAAATACTGATTTACTAATGCTTTGATGTTAGTAAACATCAAAGTGTGAGCGTACGGATGGTCTGATGAAACTTTTGTCATACATTATAGATGTGTATACACACATACACACATATGTCTATAGATCCTCTCACACAGCTATACATACCGATATGTACACACAGACCCATATAGAGGCATTACATGTGTAGGTGTATATGAGTTGATCAAACAGATTTCTTATTATGGGATATTGCCAAAATTCTGAGAATACTGACAACACTAACTGTTAGTTCCTTCTCTTCCTTCAAAATGCTTTGTACACAACGGAGTAAAAGGCACCCCCTAAGGCGAGTCAGACGGGGCCAGGAGGCTGCCTGGCATGGAGCGGCAAGGGTCCTTGGGCTGGCTTCATGGCTTTTAAGACCACAGAGTCCGGCAGTGACATGTATGAAAGTACAACGAGATCCCACTGGAAATGTCTGTATCTGGTGCCCACGCCCACCTTTGCCACATCACCTGTGATACACTCACAGCACCAGGATCCCCCTCATGGCAGAGAAGCCCCACGCCCAGGGCAGGATGTCCCTAGAGGCCTGCACACTGAGATGAGACAGTCCAGATGGCATCTGCCATCCACCCTGGACAGCAGTGTCATTTCTGGAAGCCTCCAGCTTTGACAGTTGATGATAACACCATCTCTCCTCACCCACTCACCCCATGAGGAAGCTCAGATAAGCTATGCATTCCTGGCAAACACAGGCAAGTTGTGCCCAGAACTGGGGAAACAGGGATGAACCAAGGAGATGGCCTCTGGCATGCACTCACAGGACTAGCAACCAGTCTCCCACTTCTCACCAAACCCCTCTTCTGACCATGAGGGATCTGCAGCCCAGACACTGGACTGTGTTCCCTGCCAGCAAAAAGGTACCAGGGGAATGTGTGAAGAAGGAAAAGCATGAATGGATGTCCCCCGTCTGCACCCCATAGCACTGGAGCAAAGAGAAGGATGCTCTAGCAGAGACACATATGTCCCCAGGACTCACCTGCCGTTTCCCAACTGGGATTCACCTGGTGTGCACAGGTATGATCTCCTCCCACCTGCCCCATGCTACCTATGCTAAAGAATTGCAAATTCCAGGAGAAGCTGAATGGAGAACACAATGAACACCTGTCTGCACTTCATGTAGATGTCGCCAATGTTAGCATTTTACTACAATTATGCCTCCACTCTCTCCCTCTATATGCACATATATGTACACATTTGTGTGTACACACACACTCTTTTTGCTAAGCCATTTGAAAATAATTTGCAAACACCACCCCAAAATACTTCAGCGTGTGTTTCCCAATGTGGACCTTCTTTTATTCTAACACAACCCTACTCTTACCCCTCTTTTACCACACCTAATACATTCAACACAGGTGTTCAGCCCCAATTCAAATTCCCCAATTTTTTCAAAATGTCTTTTGCATCTATTTTTTTAATCAATGAAACAATTAAGGTTAATGTTGTGTGTGTTTTTTCAATTTAGTATATTCTCCCCTCAACCTCATTACTTTTTGGTTGGTTTCTTTTTGCTTATATGACATTGTTTTTTAATTTTGTTTTGATGTTAAGAATCAGGCCAGTTATCTTGTAGAAGGGCCCACATCTGGATTTCTCTGCTTGTTTCCTCATGATTAGATTCACTTAAACATTTTGGGCAGTAATTGTACATAAGTGGCATTTTGGGTGGCAGATGGCTTCATATCAGGAAGCGCATATTTTGACCCAATATTGGCAATGCTTAGTTTGGCTATTGGCTTAAGTTGTGTCCACTAGACCTCTCCATTAGACAGGTAATATTTTCATGTTAAACTAATAAGAATCTGTGAAATTACACATGAATATTCTATGGATATCTTATCCCCAATAATCTATGACAATAATTTTTAGCATTCACTAATTTTTGGTTTAATCAATTATGATATTGGGAATTGCATAATCATGCTTTTCTATATCCACAATGCTTTCTATATTTATTAGGGAGCATTCTTCTGTAAAGACAAGCTTTCTATTCTCTTTACATCTCCCACATTTTTGTGGGGTAAATTCTTTTTTTAAAAAATTATTATACTTTTAAGTTCTAGGGTACATGTGCACAATGTGCAGGTTTGATACATATGTATACATGTGCCATGTTGGTTTGCTGCACCCATCAACTCATCATTTAAATTAGGTATTTCTCCTAATGCTATCCCTCCCCCAGCCCCCCACCACCTGACAGGCCCTGGTGTGTGATGTTCCCTGCCCTGTGTCCAAGTGATCCCATTGATCAATTTTTGTGGGGTAAATTCTTACAGCAACATTTTAGATGTAAAATTAATTGCTGCAACCCTGGAGTTCTGCAATAGAACTCTAGGCAGCTCTGTTCTTGGGGTCTCTGTGACCTTTTATGGAGGCACCTCTTGGAACCGAGTTGTAATTATCAACACATGTGTTATGGACTGAATGTTGTGTCCCCCAACAAAATTCATATGTTTAAATCATAACACCCAATGTGATGTTAGTAGGAGGTGGAGCCTTTGAGAGGTGAATCGTTTTGGCTCTGTGTTCCCACCCAAATATCATCTGGAACTGTAATCCCCACACGTTGAGGGAGGGACTTGGTGGGAGGTGATTGGATCATGGAAGTGGTTTCCCCCATGCTGTTCTTGTGATAGTGAGTGAGTTTTCACAAGATCTGATGGTTTACAATTGTGTGGCAGTTTCCCCTCACTCGCTCTCTTTCCTGCCTCCTTGCGAAGAAGTTGCCTGGTTCTCCTTTGCCTTCTGCCTTGATTGTAAGTTTCCTGAGGCTTCCCCAGCCATGCGGAACTGTGAGTCAACTAAACCTCTTTTCTTCAAAAATTATCCAGTCTCAGGTAGTTCTTTATGACAGTGTGAAAACAGACTAATACAAAAGGTAATTGGGTCATGAGGGTAGAGGCTTCATGAATGAGATTAGTGTCCTTATGAGACAGGAGAGTTTTCTCTTCTCTCTCTCTTTCTGACATGTAAGGCTACAACAAGAAGGCAGCCATCTGCAAACCAGGAAGGGAGCCCTCCTCTCCAGTGCCAGGTCTGTGGGCACCTTGATCTTGAACTTCCCATCCACCAGAATTGTATGAAATAAATTTTCTCAACTTTTTGATGTTTAAGCTATCCAGTCTATGGTCATTTGTCATAGCAGCCAAAGCTAAGACAATGTGTTTTTAAGAGGGCCTTAAATCAATTACTTTTTGATGGTAGTTTATATCTAATTTTACACAGCTACCTCCCATTTCCTCACTTCTCCCTCTGAAATCATACAATGGCTTATTCTACTTTCTGCTTTCATGTATAGAGTAAGATATGGAGACAGCAAATGTCTGGCAATAGGTGAAAAATGATGTATAAACTCTCACAGCTTCCAAAAAAATGGCATGTATTCATTCAAAAACATTTGAGTGGCCCCACCATTGTGCTGGGTCCTGAGAATGAAAGAGAAGACCTAGCATCTATCCTCAAAAAGAGCTCACCAGGCACTGTTTCTATATGCCAGTAAGTTTATTTACAATTATGGACACAGGACACACTTCTATTATGTCCAGAAGAGACAGTCCCTAAGATTTCAACTTAGGATGAAGACAAGGCTCCCCTTTGCATAACAACTGACAGTGGGGTTGACATCTTCCCCGGCTCACCCAAATCCATGCAGTGCCCAAGTGGCTCACACAGCCTGGTCTAGCATGCTATAATACAAATGTATGTTTTAGAAGCTATATTGAATAGTGATTGTATCAGCCCATTTTCATACTGCTATGAAGAGCTAACTGAGGCTGGGTAATTTATTTAAAAAGAGAAGAGATTTTATTAACTCACGTTTCACACGGCTGGGGAGGCCTCAGGAAACTTACAATCATGGTGGAAGGTGAAGGGGAAGCAAGGCACGTCTTACCACAGTGAAGCAGGAGGGTGAGAGAGAGCGAAGGGGGAAACAGCACACTTTAAAACCATCAGATCTTATGAGAACTCATTCACTATCAGGAGAACAGCAAGAAGGAAACTGCCCTCATGATCCAATCACCTCCAACCTGGTCCTTCCTGGAACACTAGGGATTACAATTCAACATGAGATTTGGGTGGAGACACAGAGCCAAATCATATCAATGATCAAGAGTCTGGACTCCAAATTAGACTGCTTGGGCTTTTATCTTAGCACTGGTACGATACTGGTCCTGCCTCACTCCATTTCCTACCGCTCTGTGTGGGCCAACATCCTCTCACCATTGTGGTCCACTTCCTGCCCTTGGGATGTGCCAGGCTTATTGCCACTCAAGGATTCTAGAATTTGCTCTTCCCTCTTCTTGGAACATTTCCTCCGGCACTGTTCATGACTCACTGCCCCATTTCACGCTTTTTAAATGAAGCTTAATCACTCTGGGCCTCAGTTTCTTCGTATGCAACATGTGGATAAGAATACCTGCCTTAGAGAGTTGTTGTGGGCATTATGAGTTCATGCAAGAAAATGGCTCAGAACTCTTCTTAAGCACGCAGTAGTCAACAACTGTTAGGTTTTTTATTATTATTATTAATTTGACTTGTTTGTCACTAAAAGTGTTTGCTGTAAGATACCCAAAACAACTTAAGAATCCCTCCAGAGGTAAGGAACAGGATACAGAATCCCTGACTTTCTCCAAGAGCCAAATGCTGGGAAACTATATGATTTCTACTGTACCAAACAATTTCTCCTCTTATTAGACGAGAAAAATTCCCCAGTTAGGAGCCAAATTACCTCATACTAATACAGAGGATTACAGCCTATTGTATGGGCAGAAGTTCTTTGACTTAATGAGGCCCAGGCTGCAAGCTATTAACTGGAGAGATTAGCTTTAGAGGCAGTGGGTAGACAGATCTGCTGTAGCCAGAACTACTGCTGGATACCTGAAACTACCATTGCAAGTCAATTAACCAGGAGGGGTCATTGTGTGTATAAAGAGCTGAATCTAAGTTTCTGCTCTAGGACACAAATGTGTTTCTCATTCGGTTCACATATTCACAGGCATTGCTATATGCAATTTTAGCAGAGCTTCTAGATTTCAAATCTCATAAGACTTAGTCTTGATCCACTGAGAAAAACAACTCTTCTCACTTTTACCCACACGATGACTGAGAGACTATGTATTTCTAAACACCAGGAATACTTGTTAAAACACAGGGGTAGGAAAATGGCACTTACTGGGAGTCTGATATTTCTTTGCTAATGCTGCCTTGTATAATGAATTATGTCCTGCTAAAAGTATTTTTTAAGTAGAACCAAAGTACGGAGCAACCATCAGTGGCTTCAGTCCTTCCAGCACAATTACAGCTGGTCACATGTTGGTGCTATTAATGACCACCATCTGCTCAGGTCCTCAGCCCAGCAGCCCTTCCCCGCACATGGGAATCTCCACATGGCCAGCAAATTACCCAATGCTGCAGATTCTTGAAAGTACCATATGAGCAAATAAGCCTCTCACCGTGTGCTGTCTGGCTAAGTGCAAATGCACACGGTTTCCGGGAAGGCTGGTGGGGCCCAGGCAGCTACCAGTGGTGGGGTCAGTGGGGGTAATGTGAAATGCACCAACCTTGCCTCTCCTGGCACTGACCTAGCTGGGCCCCTCGAGGTGGGCCAGCAGGTGAGTATATGTGCTCCTGAGTGTGAAGGAAGTGACTCTTCCTCACTCTGCGTCCATTCATGAAAGGGTAGGATTTATTTACAAAGTTGGCGGGCGTCATAGAGAAAGGTCTTGAGAGGTCACCAGAATCATTTGGAGAATAAAAGGCTTGCGTTGGTCTGCTCCAGCTGCCATAATGAAATACCAATGGCTGAGTAGTTTAAACAACAGACATTTCACAGTTCTGAGGCTGGAAGTCCAAGTCAGGGTGCCGGCAGCTTCTGTTCCTGCAGAGAGCTCACTTCCTGGCTTGTGGATGGCTCCCTTCTCACTGAGTCTGTACATTGGATGGAGACAGAGAAAAAGCACTGGCGTCTCTTCCTCTTCTTATAAGGATACTGATCCCATCATGGGGCCACGCCTTCATGACCTCATCTCACCCTAATCACCTCCCAAATAATTCACTTCCAAATACTAGCACAGTGGAGGTTAGGACCTCCACAACATTTCATCTGTAACAAGGCTCATACTAAAACCGTAGTGAATAAAGGTCAGCTGATAGAAATCTGCAGCCATGGTGCCTTTCCGGGTCCTGCCTCACTCCATTTCCTACCCCTCCACCCGGGCCAACATCCCCTCGCCATTGTGGTCGACCTCCTGCCCTTGGGGTGTGCCAGGCATATAGCCACTCAAGGGTTCTAGAATTTGCTCTTCCCTCTGCTTGGAATATTTCCCCTGGCACTCTTCATAATCCACTCCCCCATTTCACGCCAGCCTCCGCTCAAATGTCACCTCCTCAAAAAAGCGTTTCTTGACCCTCCACATCCAGAACTGTCTGCCCTCTCTTCCCCGGGACTCACGCTCCTCTTTTGTCAGAGCCTTCCAGTCCCTGAGATGGGTTCACGGTTTGCAAGCCCATGTGCTCTCATTAAGTCCCTCATTTGCTCAGGACCAAGTTCCTATGCTTCAATACAGCGCCTTCAAAGTGTCTGTCACATAATGAGTACTTAGAGATATTTGTTGAAAGAATTAATTAAAACTATAATGTCGGCCGGGCGCGGTGGCTCACGCCTGTAATCCCAGCACTTTGGGAGGCTGAGGCGGGCAGATCACCTGAGTTCAGGAGTTCGAGACCAGCCTGGCCAACATGGTGAAACCCCATCTCTACTAAAAATACAAAAATTAGCTGGGCCTGGTGGCAGGCGCCTGTAGTCCCAGCTACTTGGGAGGCTGAGGCAGGAGAATCGCTTGAACCCAGGAGTCGGAAGTTGCAGTGAGCTGAGATGGTGCCATTGCACTCCAGCCTGGGCAACAAGAGGAAAACTGCGTCTCAAAAAAAAAGAAAAAAAGAAAAAAAACAGAAAAAGAAAAAATAAACAGAAAAGAAAAAAAAAACCTATAATGTCAGCCCATTCTCTCAAAGTGTGGAGGGGAAAGACAGAAGCATGAGTGAACACGGTTGCCATCGGGGAATGCACAGTTCCTGCGGGGTCTGCACGTGTCAATGCACTCCTATGGCTCTTGGCATAGGAAAGATAACCTGAAAAACACACCTTTTCCTTAAAATGGCTCACGTGCAACAGTGACAGTGATGATACCACACTCCAGGGGAGGGCAGACACTTAGGAAGCTGACCTCTCCCCCTTGCTAGCTAAGCACTTTTTAAACCTTAGCTCATTTGATCCACAAAACACTATGAGGTATTTACTATTCCTGTCCTAATCTCGTAAACATGAAATAATGTCCCCAAGGTCACCCAGCAGGTGGTTGTGGAGCTAGGATTCCAACTGGAGTCTGTCTAACTCCAAAATCTGTGGTTTCTTCATGTGCTCTCATTAAGAGCCTGATGGCGTGACACAGCAACGTGACAGGGTTAGGCAGATTTCTGGAAGCACAGCCTCCTGTGTGAAAATAGGCTGGTTTCTAACATTTTGGCTTATAAGGCAATCAGTTTAAAACTTAGCACTCACCACCTTAAAAGGGTAGGAAATTCTGACACAGGCTACAACAAGGATGAACCTATGGATGAACCTGGAGGATGTTATGCTACACGGAATAATCCAGGCACAAAGGACAAATACCATCAGATTCCAGTGAGATGAGCTTCCTAGACTCATCAAACTCACAGACAGAAAGTTGAATGGTGGGTGCCAGGGGCTGCGGGAGGAGGGAATGGGGAGCGCGTGTTGAATTAGCGCAGTTTCCGTTCGGGATAAGGAAAAGCCCTGGAGATGGATGGTGGAAAATGCCTGCACAGCAGTGTAAATGCCCTCATGCCACTGAACTGGGCACTGAAAAATGGCTAAGATGGTCAATGTTAGTATGCATGCTCTACTACAACAACACAATTTTTAAATGAGCGCATGCAGAAATAAATGCAAAAATTGTTCAGAAAAACTAGAATCTACCTGCAAAATCCATAGGAGTCTGCATTTAGTGCAAATTGTGCCCATTTGCAAGGCCAAGCCCACACTGAGGAGGGAGCTAGCATGAGCACCTGTGAAATGCACCTCAGCGGCCAGGAGCCCGTTCACAGAGATGGCTCCTCACAACCGCCTCACGAAGCAAACACCATGGCCTCTCCTTACATAAAGTCATGGGGATCTAATTGAGTAATTATTAATCAAATAAAAAAAGAATAAAATAGAATTAAATCGTTATTTCTACATTTTCTTGAAGGCTGGCCCTTACAGAAAAATGAATTAATTAGGAAGAGACTACACAGACTGTGAACCTTCTAGTTCTGGCTCTTCACATTCTAAGTTTACTCCCTTTAAGCACACAACTAAGACCATAATTGAGTGTATTCATCCCATTAAAATTATTTTTTGCTCATACTTGGAATTTTTTTTAAATGAAAGAATGTGAGGAAGAAAGAAAACGAGAGAGGAAGCGGATGGTGCAGGGCAAGACAGCAGGAAGGAGATGCCGAGAGGCACTAACTGAGCTGTGAGTGATAAAGACAGGCCAAGAGGGGAAGAGACGCGAACTCCATTTCCAGGGTCAGTCCCCAGGGCTGTGCTAATCCAGGTAGGTTTGATTTCTGTCTGCAAAGGCCTCAGCCTGGGTGGTGGGGAAGCTGGTCTGTAACCAAGCACACCTATGTGTCATGCATTCCCAGGATGGTGCACTCTAACCCCTGTATGCCGACTTACACTGATGCAGGGGGTCCTGGACGTGCCTCACAGAGCAGAACCTGCACTGGCAAACTATCAACTGTTCAGTCCCGTTGCTTTCCTATTTTAATTGCTTCCAATGAAAAGTTTTAGCTGTCTCTTTTGGCTTCTGTTTGCAAATTAAATTTTGAGCATGTCAACTAATGTGTTAATGGCCATTCCTTTTTATTCCCCAGGAAGCAATTTTTAAAAAAGCATCTCTGGACACCCACAGTATCTTGACTTCATATCTGAATAGGTAAATGAACAAGGCACAAGGGTGATGCTGTCATCCAGGGCGACCCCAGTCTGGGAGCTGGGCTAGGAAGTGACTGCCCACGCACGGCCAGGCACAGTGTGTTCAGCACAGGCACTGCGTGTTGGGGGCGACTCATGGTGGGGCAGGGGAGGGAGCGGTGAGTGCTGACCAGATGGCCATGTGCTTGCCTTGTCTTTCAGAAAATCCATGCTCTGCAATAACCTCATTCCTAATAAGGCATCCTAGGTTCCTCTCAAAACTCCCCGAGGAAGATGACTCAAACCGCCCTGTGTTACGCTTCATGCATAGCCATGATTAGCGAGCACCAGCCTTCAAATCCCAGGATCCTCCAAACCATTTCTGCCTGGAGAATGTGATCCGACAACATGAAAGCAGGCAGCAACCTCCACTGGGGCTGCCCCAGAGCAAACCTCCAGTAAGGGACTCTGATTGAGGCTCTCCCCACTCCCCGGGGGGTGGTCTCATCTCTGCTAGGGCACCTGTTCTCTCTGGGGTCTGCCTTTCTCCTCTTTACATCCCTCACACTGTCCAAATAAAGCCTGTTTTCAGGGACGGCCCTTGATAACTTCCTCCTGCCCGCATCATAAAACCAGGACGACGGCCCCTCTGGCTTCCCGGTATGTCTACGCATTTTCCCTGTTTCAAAGCACAGGATGAAAGCAATCAGGAGAGTTACAGGGAAAGGTCATGTTTGTGTAGATTTGGTTTTGGTTCCTTTGCTTGGTGTTTGGAAAAGAGGCATTTTCTGTCACCCCTGAAATCACGGGTCACAGGTATCTGCCCGGGTGTACACCTGGCCAGCTCCTCCCTGGTTCCTGAAATCCTGCTGTGCCTGGACTCAGAGGTGTCTGTTGCAGGGATTCAGGGAGGAATCGCTCTAGAGGCCATCCCACGGCACACAGACGTGTGCATTCAGGACAGCGGGATGCAGGGCCAGTCTGCAAGTGGGCCTTCGCCAGTGAGAGTCACGAAATATCAACCACTCCCACTTTCTCTCCTTTCAGAAGCTTGAGCCTACTCAGGAGAATGGGCAGAAGTACCATCCTGAGAGTAGGAGGAGGTGATATTTTTTCACTGCAACATTTTTTTGTTTGTTTTTTCTGTCTTTCTTTCTTTCTTTCTTTTTTTTTTTTTTTTTTTTTTTTTTGAGACAGAGTTTCACTCTGTCTCCCAGGCTGGAGTGCAGTGGCACAATCTCGGCTCACTGCAACCTCTGCCTCCCAGGTTCAAGTGATTCTTCTGCCTCAGCCTCCCGAGTAGCTGGGATTATAGGTGCCTGCCACCATGCCTGGCTAATTTTTGTACTTTTTAGTAGACACAGGGTTTTGCCATGTTGGCCAGGCTGGTCTTAAACTCCTAACCTCAAGCGATCCGCCCACCTCAGCCTCCCAAAGTGCTGGGATAACAGGTGTGAACCACCATGCCCGGCCCACTTCAACATTTGATTTGAAGATGAAAGAGCATTTCTTTTGGCAGAAAGCTAAAACCTCCCTGGTATCAGGAGCAGACCTTTGAATCAAACAGAGGGTTCCAAAACTGCATAGGGAGGCTCCTCAGAATGCTCAGGTGAGCTCATGCAAGCCTCTGCATGCTTCGAGTGTGAAAGGTGTTTCCACACCTGTCAGGCTAGGAAACTAGCTGTGCCTAAGTAATTAGAAATCCGCACTCACTTTCCTACAGAATGACTTCTCGTGTAGTGTGTTTACTTATTACATTAAGTATAGGTGAAACATCATCAGTAAAAATATGCAAGTATTCTATCAGGTTCTGAGGTAGAGAATTTAAAAGAATCTAGGTTGAGTATTTCTGCAAAGAAATTGAAGAGCTCTGAGTGACATTCAAACATTCAAATGCTTTTTTATTGGTGAGCCACCACCCAAGTTTAATGAATCAGCTAATTAAACTAAACAGTTGCTGAACTAACATTTTTCAAAAAAGATAAAGGTTATACAAACAGGACAAAGATCAACGAAGAGTTTAAATTTAGAAAAGATTGTAATATCATTTATCAACTACTCAAGAATCTACTGCTTTACCTTGTCACAAAATCTGACTGAGGCAGAGAAATCAATCATCTACTTGGGCTGATTTGATGAACATGAGACCACTCTCAACTCCCATCCAGCTGCCCATCCCCCCTCCCCCCCAAAAAATAAACACCCCTCCCATAGGCCTGTCTTGTATTCACAATTGATAACATGAGCCCTCAGGCATCAAAGAGTCCCTATTAAATGCATATATCCAGCCCAGCGTGGTGGCTCATGCCTATAATCCTAGCAATTTGGGAGGCCGAGGCAGGCAGATCACCTGAGGTCAGGGGTTCAAGACCAGCCTGGCCAACATGGCGAAACCCTGTCTCTACAAAAAATACAAAAATTAGCTGGGCATGATGGTGGGTTCCTGTAATCCCAGCTACTAGGGAGGATGAGGCAGGAGAATGGCTTGAACCCAAGAGGCGGAGGTTGCAGTGAGCCAAGATTGTGCTATTGCACTCCAGCCTGGGTGACAGAGTGAGACTCTATCTAAATAAATAAATAAATAAATAAATAAATAAATAAATGCATATATCTGCTATCCCATGAATATGATGTGTTTATTTATTGGATTATAACAATGAGACACCTGAATAAACACCTGGTGGACATTTTTCTGAGAAAATAGGAAAGCTAGGAATTATGGTTTGTAAAATTTAGCTAGAAAAGTCAGGCCAGAAGGTGGATTCTTTGAAAGGCAGGGGACATGTGGCAGCTCAGAGCTGGGCTGGGCACAGAGAGGCCAGCTGGGAAATAGCAGGCCAAGGGCAGCGTTAGCAATTCACTAACTTCCACATTCTGTTAAGGGTTGATCAAGTAACAGTTGAGGCTGGGTGTGGTGGCTCACGCCTGTAATCCCAGCACTTTGGGAGGCCAAGGCAGGTGGATCCCCAGAGGTCAGGAGTTTGAGACCAGCCTGGCCAACATGGAGAAACCCCACCTCTACTAATACAAAAATTAGCCGGGCGTGGTGGTGGGTGCCTGTAATCCCAGCTACTCAGGAGGCTGAGGCTGGAGAATCGCTTGAACCCAGGAGGCGGAAGGTTGCAGTGAGCCAAGATCATGCCATTTCACTCCAGCCTGGGTGACAATAGCAAAACTCTGTCTCAAAAATAAATAAATAAACAGTTGACACAAAGTTAGTTACAAACTTCAGCAACAGAAGTAAAGAAGAAAACACTGCCAGCCTGATCAGTATGGTGAAACCTCATCTCTACTAAAAATACAAAAACTAGCTGGGCGTGGTGGTGCGTGTCTTTAATCCCAGCTATTTGGGAGGCTGAGGCAGGAGAATCACTTGAACCCAGAGTTGGAGGTTTCAGTGGGCAGAGATCGGGCCATTGCACTCCCGTCTGGGTGACAGAGTGAGACTCCATCTCAAAAACAAACGAACGAACGAATGAACAAACAAAAGAAACACCCATCATGATTAGCTTCTAGGCCTAAATGCCTATGGGATTGATGGATATTGCGCAGGCCTGGAGCTGAGACAGGGAGGTCATGGTCCACCTTCATACCTGGCTGGCCAGGTATTCTCTCAGAGGCCACATATCAGAAGAGAACCACCTGCGAGGCTCAACCCTTTTCCTGTTTAGGAAAAAAATGCAGCTTGCCGTCAATGCTCATTTAATTTTATATTAACATGCTCTTTGAAGCTGAAGCAAATCTGATTTTCAATTTGAAAGTGAAATATAAAAACTGTTCTTGTTACTAACATCAGAATCATCTACTTTGGGAAAATTTAATTCATCTAATGAATCTTTGGTCAACAACTGTTGCGAACGATGTTAACATCATGCGTAGGAATGCTACGTTTTCTAGGATTTGACATTTTCAGCGATCGAGAATTACTATGTTTTGTAAATGGAAATACAACTACTAAAACCAGAATGCTGTAAATAGAATGATGTCTTTTGTTTCCAAAGACGATATGCTAGAACAATGCAAAAACAGTAACAAAAGTGAGATGTTTCGTGGCAAAATTATCCGGAGTAAACACTGCAGCCGCAAGCGCTGCCAGAGAACATTCTCAAAGCAAACAGGAAAAGGGTTAAAACATAGATTGCTGAGCCTCACCCCCAGAGATAATGATTCGGTGGGCTTGGGATAGGATGCCTGAGAATCTGCATTTCTAGGAATTTCCCAAGTGAGGCTGATGCTGCTGCCCCGGGGAGCACACTTTGAGAACCACTGGTCTAGCACCCCAATAAAAAGTCCAGTGGGGAGCCAGGAGGCTCGTACTTCTCCAGATTCCTGTGCTTGGCATACATCGCAGTAGTCGGCTGACTTCATGTTTGTGGTTTACGCTATAAGGTTATTATTCTAAACAACGCCATTATCCAATAGCTTTCAGAATTTCACTTACATTCCACAGTATAAAGTAAATTTCACGGCTGGGTGTGGTGGCTCATGCCTTCCCAGCACTTTGGGAAGCCGAGGCAGGTGAATCACAAGGTCAGGAGTTCGAGACCAGCCTGGCCAACATGGTAAAACCCTGTCTCTACTAAAAATACAAAAAATCAGTTGGGCGTGGTGGCAGGTGCCTGTAATCACAGCTACTCAGGAGGCTGAGGCAGGAGAATCGCTTGAACCCGGGAGGCGGAGGTTGCAGTGAGCCGAGATCGCGCCCACTGTCGCCTGGACAACAGTGCGAGACTCCGTCTCAAAAATCAATCAATCAATCAATCAATAATAAATTTTACAATCTAATTGCATACACACACAATTGAAATGAAGATTTCAGGAAATTATATTTACACTTACTCATGCTACACACTCTGATTTCTAATTGTTTCCTCTTCTGCTGTATTACTTAAAAATATATGTTGGGTATGTTCCTGTCAGACTTTTTAAAAAATGAGACTCTAGTAATAATTTTGGAGAAAAGTCAAGAAAACAAACCTATATCATAAAAACAGACTTTTGGCTTTTCAATTCAATGAAATTAATATTTATAAAGCACATGAACATACACCAGGTGTTGGTGGAGATTTTCTTATAAGGCCAAGCTTCTCAAATTGTTATAGAAATGCCAGATATTTGAATGCAGAAATATTTTGTCAGAGTCACTTGCAAAAGCCAGACTAGAAAAAATAAAATTTAAAAAAAAGTTCAAATTTGGTAAACTGTACACTTTGAAATTACACTAACTCAAAACATGGCCTAGCGCCTGTTGCCATCACACTGTGGCTCCAGGTTAACCAAGGCTAGTAGAAATGTCTCCTATGGCTGGCAAGGGGACCATCACACATAATGAGTTCCCTTTTAGTTAGGATCCTTCCGGGTCTCTGTCCACATCTGCCCCCACCTGTCACCTTAGCATGACCCTGGGAAGCTGCTAATGCGCCCCATTATTTGGAAACAATTATTGATCTTGTCAGTCCCTGTCTCTCAACAACTCCAATGGGACATGGAAAGCTCGTCGTTGCCTCCTCCCCTAAGAAAGGAAGAGAGCCATCTCTTGACAAGAACACCGACACTAATCATACATTTCCTTCTGTGACATCGAAGAGCATCTCAAAGACAACAAAATCAGAACGTTTTCCATGCGTGCTCAAACTCCTCCCTGTAAATTCATCTGCCAATCATATTGCATGCCTCTATTACTAAAGACAGTTCTGAGGAATTTCTAAGGCTTCACAGGGAGGGAATTGTATTGGGACTTGGGCAAATCTAAATGTCCTGATGATTACAAAGTCACATCTGCCTTTCATTGTTTCAACTTTCTGATTTTTTTTATCCCATTTAACTATTTTAATGGGTTCTACCTCACCCAATTCTTCCATCTCAAACTCATGAAACCTGTTGATTTAAAACATTCTGCTGATGTCATTCAACCTAAGCAGCGGTGCCTACCATGGTTGTACACTGCAATCACTTGGGGGGAACTCTCAGATTACCTAAATCTAAGAGCAGGAATCCTGCCGCGGACCAGTGAAGTCAGAATCTCTGCAGTTGCAAGCTAGGCACCTGCATTTTTTAAATTTCTTTCCATGAACGTTCCCGTGCAGCGGAAGCTGAGAACCACTGTGCCGATTCTGAAGTAACTCCCAACATATGTAACATCATCCAGTGCAAAAGTTAAGGCATCCGGTCAACCTCAAGGTACAGAATCATTTCTCTTCAGGGAAGAGATGGGAGGGGTATTTGGTTGTAGATGCAGGGAATCTTTTTCCCCGCTTTTTAATAAATCCTAGTACATTTGCCACTCGTTTTACCAGCTAGTCAAGCTGGCCCTTGAATTGCTCGCACTTTGTCTTCATCTTTGTAACTTGTGGTCAGCCAAACAGAATCTGCAGTCCTGTCAGTGAGAACACCCTAGCAGCCTGAGTTGCATTACTGTCTTTTTTCAGCCTCAGCAATTTTGCTCAGAGCCAGGCTCTGGAGCAGGTTATAAGCTGTGACAAGATAGCACCCCAGGTGCTGCAAGAGGAGTCTATGGAACCTGTCAGGAGCCCAGCAGCGCAGGCTTACCCCGGAAGATAGAGACAAGGCTCCCTTTCCCCTTCCCCACTTTTTTTTTTTTTTTTTTTTTTGAGACGGAGTCTCGCTCTGTCGCCCAGGCTGGAACGCAGTGGCGCGATCTCGGCTCACTGCAAGCTCCGCCTCCCAGGTTCACGCCATTCTCCTGCTTCAGCCTCCCGAGTAGCTGGGACTACAGGCGTCCGCCACCACGTGTGGCTAATTTTTGGTATTTTTAGTAGAGACGGGGTTTCACCGTGGCGTGTTAGTCAGGATGGTCTCGATCTCCTGACCTTGTGATCCGCCCGCCTCGGCCTCCCAAAGTACTGGGATTACAGGCATGAGCCACCGCGCCTGGCCCCCTTCCCCACTTTTAAGAAGGACGGTGAATGTGAACCGCAAGACCAGGCATGGTAATTAGGGTATCTGTGCTGTCTGAAGTCCATGCCACCTGGCGGACTCTGAGCATAAATGGACCACGCTGTGTTCCAGTGTGATCTGAACCTCATAGTTACACGTTCCCCTCCGATTCAAGCTGGTTCACAGGAAGAGAAGAAGGGGGGCTCATCTCTCCATAGAAAACAGGACACAATGGAGTGAGCTCTTCCGGTTCTTTGTTTCTCAGCTTTGACCAAAGGCAAGTGGAGATCGCACCTTGTCCTGTGGATTTTATGGTCTCTACTAAATCCGTATCATGATTGTGGTTCATTAAAATTGGTTCTAGTGCTATAAAGTTTATTTTTGTCTAATTTCTACTTTTCTTTTTGGGGGAAGTGTGACTGCCTAGCTTGGCAAAATCCAGAGAAGTATCTGCTTTGGGCAAGCCCTTTAATTCCATGTGGCTCAACAATAACCTACGGTGCAATGAATTTCTGAACTCGTCTATGTCTTGACATAATGGTGGATGAAGCTGCTTCCTTTCAGCCTGACACCAAGTCAAATGAACAGCCCATTTTCTGAGTCCAGTTGAGCCAGTTATTTGGTGGTATAAGCCCGGTGTAACTCACTGATAGAACCCTCCCACTTCTCTGGGTTGTCTGTAGATTGTGGAGGTCATCTGAGTGCTGGGGCAAAAATCTAATAGAAAGAAGCTTATCCTATGACTTCATTCAATAATGAATGTCAGCTGGGTGCCTACATTTTTTCAAGCTTCTTCCATGAATTTTCCCATGTAGCTGAAGTTGACAACTACTGTGCCGGTTCCGATGTAACTCCCAACATAGGTAACATCATCCAATGCAAAAGTTAAGACATCAAGTCAATCTCGAGGTGCAGAATGATTACTCCCATCAGGGAAGAGATGAGAGAGGTATTTGGTTCTAGATGCAGAGGATTTTTCCCTTTTTAACAAATCCTAGTACATTTGTCCTTTGGGAATGGGAGAACGGCAGCTACCTGGCTGTGACTAAGGTACTGCGACTAAGCTCACCGAAGGGATGCAGAGGAAACCCTGGGACTCTTCCAGAATGCAACCCCCCACCCCACCGCCCCTGCCCTCACCTCCTGCCCCTTGGTTTGTTCGCACAGCCTGGCAGGCGTCAAGCAGTTTTACAGCTTGTTAACTGGGGAGTTTCAGATCACATTCCTCTTGTTCTCATACATGAACTGGGTAATTCAAGAAACAAGGAGATGAGCTGGGCTGGCAGGTCGGTTTCTCCAGTGCGGCATAAGTGTGTGTGGGCCTGTAGCTGTGCTCTGCCTGTGGTGGGTGCACCTCTTCCTAACAGATGGACAATGAGTCTGAGGGCGGGGATGGTGACATCATCCATGTGAGTATGGTGAATTTCAAATGATGTACTATGCCACTTTTTTGTCAAAGTTGGGACAACAGTCTTTTCTAAAAGCTTATACTTATGATGAGTTTGATTTGTTTGTTTTTACTGGTTATATTTGTGTTTATATAGGCTGATTAGTTTATATTTAATGGTGGGTCTTCAAGGTAAGAAAGTAACTTTGAGGTAAGACCAGGGCACGGAAGCACAAGAGACCACTCCCGTCCCAAGCAAAGGGCTGGACAGACAACACACTCCCCACCGCCCTGACTTTCTGCTCACTAGCTGGAAAAGCAGGATTGCTGTTTTGTTTTTGTTTTTTGAAGACAGCTAAATAATTACCCAATTAATAACATTTTAAAATATTAACTTGTAGCAGATAAAAATGTTTCAGACACAGATGGCTACAGTTTAAAACATGTAACAGATGAAAATAAACCTGAGATAATGTTTTGTAGTAACTCAATGGTTAAAAATAGGCTAAATAAAAATAAGAGCACATGTTAGCTAAAGAAAGATGGCCAAATGTTCAAATGAAAGCATTTATATTAAATTCAGCTACAATAGAGTCTTAAAAAATAGACATTTTCAAAACAAGCAAATAAGCAAACCACCAGCTGTCAACCCACGGAGCATGGTTTTCCGCGCACGTGCTCAGACAGAGGGGACCAATCACCCATGGGGGCCACAGACACAGACAGCTCCCCTAGCCTCAGCCTGGAACTTGCAAGCCTTCTGTTTGGAGAACCCTGAGGTCCTCAATTTGAAGGCTCCCAACCTCAGCATTTCAGCTGGACAACTTTGAACCTTTTTATAAGTAAAAGGATTCAGTTATTCAGCTGCTTTCTTCAGCAACTTCCCCAAACACATAAAGCCCTACCCAACCCTCTCTTGAAGCACTGGGGACAAACTGGAATAAAACTGCCATTGAAAATTCCTGTTCTAGTAACTCATAGCACTTCTGGAACATTGAGCATTTCTTATAACAACTACATTTCCTCTTACTCTAAACAATGTTCAAAAGGCTCAACAGAGCCCTAGAGATCAGTTCATGGCCAACCCTCAGGAGGGCTGGTCACTGTGGCTGGCTTCTGTGGCCTTATACCAGGGCATCTCAATGCTGGCTGCCACTGTAGCCACTGGGAGAGCTTTGGAAACCCTCACTGGCAATGCCTAGGGCTCACCAAGAACAATGGGTGGAGGGGAGGAGGAAGGACCTAGACCATAGTCTTCTGAAAGCTCCTCCAGGTGGGTTATGATGACAGCCTTTCATGTGGGAATCCAACCTTCATGTGCACGGGAACCATCTGAGACCCTGCAAAACTGCAGTGATGGTTGGTGCAGGGACGAAGAGTCTCCACTCCAAACAAGCTCCAGTTGATGCTGATGTAGTGGAGCAGGGCTGCACTCGGAGCAGCCAGGCCTCCAGCCCAGGTGGCCTTGAATGGCTGCCTCATCAGAATAACCATGGGGTGCAAAGAGAGTGCAAGGTTGGCTCAGGGAGTACCTTCTAGAAGGATTTAAAACTCTATTGCGGCCAGGCATGGTGGCTCATACCTATAATCTCAGCACTTTGGGAGGCTGAGGTGGGTGGATCACTTGAGGTCAGGAGTTCAAGACCAGCCTGGCCAACATGGCAAAACCCCATCTCTACTAAAAATGCAAAAAAAAAAAAAAAATAGCATGGCATCATAAAGCACACCTGTAATCCCAGCTACTCAGGATGCTGAGGCAGGAGAATCGCTTGAACCCAGGAAGCAGACGTTGTGGTGAGCCAAGATGGTGCCACTGCATTCCAGTCTGGGCAACAGGGTGAAACTCCGTCTCAAAAAGCAAAAAACAAACAAAAAACTCTATTGCTAGGGAGGCAGTGGTATCTTTGTTGTACCGAATGACAAATAATTTTAGAGTTGGAACTGACTTTTGTGTTCACCTGGGAACCCGCAGGGCAGGAATCCCACTTGCAGGAGCCCTGAGAGAAGGCTGTCTGGCTTCTTTCCTGAGCGAAGCCACAGAAGCTGTTTCCAGGTCTGTGCAGCCTGCATCTCTCATATTGGTATTCATCTCCCTAGGACCAGCTATTGACTTCAGTTCTTCCAGTGTGAACAAGAAAGGATGACGCTGAGTTACTTTATGTGTTTTTAAGGCTGTAGCACAACCTCCCTGAATTCACCCTTTAGATACTCCTCAACAATGTTGGTCACAGGACACCTTCTCACAGTGGTTCCCCTCTTGTGGACCCAGTGACTGCAAGATGGTCAGTGTTCACCACCAGACAACGTGGCTTCTAGGGCTGAACCTGACACTCCAGATGTGAGCCATCATGGCAGACAAACTGCAGACCCTAAACTCAGCAGTGCAGTCGATAAGTCGATACCCTCTATGACTTTGGGCAAGTTACCTACTACTTCTTCTACTCCAATTCTCCATCTGTAAGGCAGGGATGATAATGCCTCCTTCATAATGCTATGTGTGGATTAAATAAGTTTATAAGTGTAAGTGTATGCCCGAGGGCTTACCAATGATGGGCAATACATTAACAATGATTAAATTACGTCCTTTTATTTGGACAAAATACCTATTCATTGCTGCTTCAACAACAGTGTCTCAATGTTGGTCCCTATGACCCCAATTCTTTTTTTTTTTTTTTTTTTTTGGCTAGCAATTATTCTCAAGATTTCTTTGCTCAGGTGTTTTTCAAAACTTTTGCTTTTTCTAACCAACAGAAAGCATTACCTTTATCTCTGTTAAGTTATGCCTTGCTGATGTTGACCTGTCATCTCACATGCATTTTCTAATGTAAACAAAAGACCGTGGTTTCACAAGTTTCCTGATGTCATCACCAGTGCAGGCAGGAAGAAACCTCAAATGTCCTTTCACTGTGGTGGTCTATCTCACTGTGACCTTCAGGTGGAGACTTTTCCGAGAAAATGAGGAACAAATACACTTTATTGGGTATCTTGAGCAGATGGTGGGCAGTGTGCTGTTAGTCAGCTTCTGCTTGTTATTGTCACTAGAAATCAATCTTGCAGTGACAACTTGCATTCCAGCAGGTAACTATCCAGTAGGCACACTCAGATCTTCTCATAGGCCACTGGCCTACGGAATCCAGCATCTTATTATACAGAATCTCAACGCTCAAATCTTCTCATAGCCCACTGGCCCACAGAATCCAGCACCTTACTATACAGAATCTCAATGCTGAAATCTTCTCATAGGCCACTGGCCCACAGAATCCAGCATCTTATTATACGGATCTTCTCAATAGGCCACTGGCCCATGGAGTTCAGCATCTGATTATACAGAATCTCAACACTCAAATCTTCTCGTAGGCCATTAGCCCCCGGAATCCAGCATCTTATTACACAGAATCTCATCAAGCTCAATAAAAATTCCATGCACAGCAGAAGGCAGGGCCAGAGCAGGCCATCAGTGATGAATTCTGGTGGGCGAGGGCAATATTTATGCTGCTTCCTGTTATTCTGAAGCCCCATACTAACTCTGTACTTATTTATCTCATATAATTGAATTTTTCTGGAATACAGTCATAAATCACACATGCTGGTCACTTAGAAAACAACTCATTGTTACGCCTTTCTAACCTAACACAAGCCAACCATCTTCTACCGTGCTTTCAGATTCTTTGTATAGAGCTGAGCCAACTAACATAGGATGTCAAGACTTTTGCTGGACAGCACTAAATCAAGTTTTCAGAGGTAGCAACACACGCATTCACAACCCTATTTCAGCACATTCTAAGAAAGTTTTCATGTCCTGAGAATTTCTCTGTCTGGAACGATCATCTTGTACGGGTTTGAGGTCAAGCTGGCCCCAGAAATAGTTTATAAGTATAAGTGTATGCCCTGGGACTGAAATTGTTGCTGTGAAAGGAAGAAATTGAAGGAAGTCACTCAAGAGGTTAGATCAAAGTATAGAGTCTTGGGAGATGAAAGAGGTTTGGAATTGGAGGTCTAGAGATGGCTGAATTTTCTCACAAATCCCACAGGGATTGGCTCTTTGATAGCTCCTCAGGCAGTGTCATCCTGGGCACCAAGATGATATTTTAAGAATAAATAAAGTTAATATAACACACTATTCCAACTTCTAAATGGCAGCTTGAAAACAGATTCATGCCAGCTTCAATTCTTAAAGAAATAAGAAAGGGAGGATCACTACTGGCATAGTAAAATGAGCTAGAAAGTGTCTAACGTCTAAATCTTACATCTCAAAGCCAAGCAGCACTCAGAAAAGCAAAATTTCCCCTGCATGCGGTCCTCCGGCAGCTCGCAGCTCGATCATTTCTGCCTGCCCAAGGAGATCGTTCTTGTCCTCTGTACCTTCCTACGGCGTTCTAGACTTTCTAGTTCTAATGCAGACATTTATACTTCCCAGAAAGGCTTCCTTGATTAGTCAAAACGTTTCTCTAACTCAAGTGCTGTAGTGTTTGACTATCTGACTGCCTCTCATTAAGTCCTGTGTTTGGGAAAGTGCCTTTTACACTTGATCACATAGAGTTCCATGCTCACCCATCTATTAGTACTTCATACATTCATTTATTCACGAGTTCATTCATTCCCTCCATAAATACTTTTGAGGGCTCACCATGCCAGACATTGTTCTAAGTATCTTGGTGGAAACAAATGAACAAAAAATGACAAGACCTCCTGCTCTCTGGGAGCTTGTGTGATAGTGAGGAGAAATGAAAATGAGCAAGCCACTGAAACTAAGCTGGAAAGGCAATGGTGCCATAAAGAATAAGGCAGGGGAAGAGGGGCCAGGAGCATAGGTGAGGAGGAGCAGGACACAGCAGAAGGCAGGGGCTGGGGGCTCCTGCAGAAGGAACCTTTCATCAAGGACTTGAAGGGGTGAGTAGAAGCCCATCCTGGTTTTCTCACCAGGCAGTGATCTCCTCCGGGGCAGGGGTGCTTCTCTGTATCTCTAACCCTTATCCCAACACCAACAGGGTTGGCAAATCTGAAATACTAACTAAATGAATGCCTTGTTAAGGCTTCACATGACTGATATTGCACATGGAGACAGACCACCCGAAACACCCAGCACGCAGGGGGCTTGTCCCAGAGTGCACCAAGGACTCCCTCTGCCACCCTTGGCACTGGCCTTTTGTTCTGTCCTTCTATGCTGTCTTCAGTCTTCTTGGGTATGTGCACCAGCACATGCATCACATTTCCTGAATTCAGCTGGCTACTAACAGTATTTCTGCTCATTCAGTTTTAAAAGAAGAATATTGTTTCTTGGCCAGGCGCAGTGTCTCACGCCTGTAATCCCAGCACTTTGGGAGGCCGAGGCAGGTGGATCACCTGAGGTCAGGAGTTCGAGACCAGCCTGGTCAGCATAGGGAAACCTCATCTCTACTAAAAACCCAAAAATTAGCCGGGCATGGTGGTGGCTGCCTGTAATCCCAGCCACTTGGGAGGCTGAGGCAGGAGAATTGCTTGAACCTGGGAGGCAGAGGTTGCAGTGAGCTGAGATCACGTCATTGCATTCCAGCCTGGGTGACAGAGCTAGACTTCATCTCAAAACAAAAGAAGAAATATTGTTTCTTGAACTGTAAAATCAATATTAGTAATGAGTATATCAAACAGACTCTAATAGTGATTGTGACCTTATGTGAAGGCAAGGAAAATAGGATAAGTGCAACTCTCCCAGAGGTCCTAGGGAACTGCCCCCACACGTCGAGTGCCATCCGCTTGCCACAGTCTCTCTCTGCCTCCAGCCACTGCTCTTACTTCCACCTGTATCTCTCACTTGTTGCTGTTTTTAGGGTTTCTTTGTAATACGGCGCACATGACACCTTTCAGACACATCTCCGCCATTTCAGAAACCACAGAGTGTTCACAGTTTACAAATTGAGATGGTTAGAAAAGCATATCTTAAAGCATAAAGCTTGTAAAGATGTGATCAAGTCCTAAAGACTGGGTCAGGTCTGCAGCAGGAATAAGGCCACAGCGAGGTCCTAACCCTCCATGGGTCCAGGTAATATATCCCCTCCTTACACTGACCTAGGCTGCACGGCTGAGCAGGTGAGCCAACTGGTATACCTCACAGTATAACTATGGTTGAGCTGACATACAAACATTTACTGTTTGTTGTAAGACAGGTTAAAGGAGAACAGATGATCTGCTCTAGACTGATTATCATAAAAATTAAAATCTTAACAAGTCAAGGTCCACAATCTACTCTGAGTTGTTCAGTATAAGTTTGTCTCTATTTGAGGGACACCACTGACATAATTCAAGAGTAACAAGGGAGCACTTCCGAGAAAGATTTCTTTTCTTTTCTTTTTTTTTTTTTTGAGACGAAGTTTCACATTGTCTTGTCACCCAGGCTGGAGTACAATGGTGCAATCTCAGCTCACTGCAACCTCTGCCTCCCGGGTTCAGGTGATTCTCCTGCCTCAGCCTCCCGAGTAGTTGGGATTACAGGCATGTGCCATCGGGCCCAGCTAATTTTTGTATTTTTAGTAGATATGGGGTTTCACCATGTTGGCCAGGCTGGTCTCAAACTCCTGACCTCAGGTGATCCACCCACCTCAGCCTCCCAAAGTGTTGGATTACAGGCATGAGCCACCAGGCCCAGCTAAAAGATATCTTTGCTAAAAGTGCTTTGGTGACTCCAATACCTCCCACAATTCTTTAGAAATGGAACATTTTCAAATCAGGTAATGAAAATCGAATAGTCCACCTGCTATGAGTTGCCTCGAGCCTGAATACATTACAGAGAAAAGGTGTTTATTTTCTGCCATTTTCAGGAGAGGATGTAAAAAGGCAACATTTATTGACCTTACCAAAGCCGTTGATGCAATTAACAGCAATTTGGCTAGAATAAAATTGCATGCAATTGACCTTACTTCATTAGTTTGAAGATTATTTTACAAAATGGACAGCAAAGTGCTGTAATTTAACAGATGAACTACGATAGCTGATTAAATGAATCTTATTTTCAATTGCAAAAAAAAAAAAAAAAGCCCCACATTACTTTCTAAAGATAATGCATTAATGAAACAGGCATATCCATGTTTGGTTTAAAATCAAAGAAAACTACTGTGTATGTTTTTTCATTTTAGATACATTTCTTTTTACTTTAACCTCTTGCTTTTACTATAGGTCAGCTATTCATTGTTCATGGTTCATTTAAAATATATTATGAGGATAATCAAATACAGTAGCTTAATTTCATTTTATCAATAGTGTTGTCTATGATGTGCTAGGTGTGGGTAAAACTTTTGTCCAATAAACTTTTAATTATATTTTTAAACCCCCAAAATTCAATGTAATATTGTCTAGATGGTAAAGCCTCAAGCTTCAGGAAATTTGAGCTGCTAATTAAGTAGTGTCAAATTTCAACAAAATTCGCTAATTGCCTTCCCATGTTTTTTTAATTCTTTCTATTTGCTATTCTTTTGTTCTTTTTATTCTTTATTTCATGCAGTCTGCATTTTACATTAATTTAACTAAAATGACCTTCAGCAAGATGTGACATAGTACAGAAACATTTGCAGGAAAATGTGTATATCTACTTCCGGAATTATTATTTTGTTTTAAAAGTTGTAATTTTTGAAATGATTGAGAAGCCCATGGAATTCAGTTACATTTAACTTCTTAGATAGAATTGTCTGACTATTGAAAAGATTGATATAATAAGTTAGAATTTTTTTTTTGGTGGGGGGGTTGGGGGATAAGGTCTTGCTATGTTGTCCAGGCTGGAGTGCAGTGGTACAATCACAGCTCACTACAACCTCAAACTCCTGGCCTCAAGCCATCCTCCCACCTCAGCCTCCCAAAGTGCTGGGATTACAGGCAAGGGCCACTGTGCCAGACCAAGTTAGAACTTTTAAGGTAACCCAGCTAGGACAAAAGTTATTTAAATAAATCATTAATCAACAAATCCACAAGTACTTAAGTATTTATTTGGTCAACATTGGGCTAAGTACTGTGAGAACAGGAAAAATAAACATCCAAATAAAATTACAAAACTGTATAAAATAAAATGCCAAGTTTTAAGTAAGGACTAAGAAAATGCAAAGTCAATATAAAATTAGTGTTAATTGTATTTCCATTTCACTCATATAAACACACAGAAAATGAACAGAATAGAAATTAAATAGAAAAAACAGAAAATGGAAATAAAATAATAAAACATTTATATTAGCCTCACCAACCCTCAAACACTTAGGAATGAACCTCATAAAAATAAGCAAGACCTTACATAGAAAACATTAAAATGAGGTTAAGAGAAATTAAAGATGATCTAAACAAATGGAGGAGTACATCACATTCATGGATTGGAAAATTTTATAATGTAAATATGTAAATTCTTACTAATTTAATCTTTCATAGAATGCAATCTCAACCACTATGTGAGTGAGTATGTGTGTGTAATTTGACAAGCCGATTCTAAAATTTTAATGAAAACGTAAAGGGCAAAGAATAATAAAGATAATCTTAAAGATGATATCTAAACCACTTAAACTACCAGTTAACAAGATATAGTAACTTACATATTGTGATTTCTCTCCAGGGGTAAACAAACCAGGGGAACAGATAGAAAGTCCAAAACTAGATCCACCTGTCACCTGATTTCTCACAAATGTTTCACAGCAGTAATGTGGGGGAAAGCATGGTGTCTTCACTGTATGGGGCTGTAAGAACTCAATATTCATATACAAATAAATGAATCATGACCCCTACCTCACACCATACTCAAAAAGATATTCTGGATCATCATAGATCTAAATGTTGAAGGTAAAATAATAAAGCTTCTAGCAAATAACAGAAACATTTTCATGATCTTGAATAACACTAGATATTTCATTAAAACTCTAAAAAAGCAAAGATTAACAAATTAGACTTCATCAAAATTGTAAAATTCTGTTCATCAAAAGACACCATTGTGAAAAATATTATATGAAAAGGCCAACTACAGAGAAAGGATATTTGCAATAATGTATCTGATGAAGGTCTCATACCTAGAATATATAAATAACTTTTGTAGTTCAAGTATAAGGGAGCCATACAATAACAACATAATACAAAATGAGCAAATAAAATACAATTTAAAAATGAGCAAAAAACTTGAATAGGTACTTGACTAAGGAGGCTACCCAAATGGCCAATAGCATCTAAAAAGGTGCTCAAGTCACCTAAGAAATGGAAATCAAAATGACAATGGGATCCTACCAGAATGGTAAAAACACCACCACCACCAAAACAGCCTCACCCCTCCCAAGGGCAGGTGAGGAGAGAATGTAAAGAAAATGACATTCTGGTTCACTGCTGATGGGAGTATAAATTGGTGCAACTACTCTGGAAATCTCTGGCAGAATCAACCAAAGCTGAACATGTTCATAGCTCACAACCATCAATATAAACGCATGCACTTATGCACTGAACATACAAGAGTGCCCGCAGCATTGTGCATAATGATCAAGTCTGGAAGCAATATGAACATCCACCAACAGCAGAAGGAATAAATGGTGCTACATTCCTAAAACAAAACACTTTACAGAAATGCGAAGAGTGAACCAGTACTACATGTGAGGCGACTTTCAGACATAATCTTAGGCAAATTAAGCTAGATGCAAACGAATATGTATTGCATGATTCTATTTATACAGGGTTCCAAAGCAAGCCAAACCGAATGGATGGTGAAGGTGTCAAAATAGTGTTTATCTTTGGGAAGAGAAAAGACACCCAGCGAAATCATAATTTAGGAATATTAATAGGGAAGCCATTTGCAGGATATACTGGAAAGGAGTAGCTTGGAATTGGAAGGGAAAGTTTACAAGCTGTTGCAGTGGCTTAGGCTCAGGATGAGGAGTGTCTGTCCCAGTCCCTAATATCTCATCAATAAAATAGGGTAAAGATAGTGCCTCCTATACGGCCATTGTATTAAATGGTAAAATGCATATAAAACACCACACTGGGCTTATCACATGACACATGACAATATTCAAGAAATGTTGGCTATTATTACTAGACTGAGAATTGTGGAACTCATAGAAAGAGAGCAAGTTGAGACGACTAGAAACACCAGTGTGTCTAGTGGTTGGATAGGGAAGATAGCTGAGAAGAAGGGTTTAGGTGGCAGTGATACTTCCCCAGGCGTGCACTTTGAGTTCTTTCCTCCTGCTTTCCTGATTTCACGGAGCCAGGGCTGGTGCACAGAGGGAGACTGTGGCTTGCCTGTTGCTCTTAATCCCCTGGGCTTAGCACAGTGCTTGACACATGGCAAAGGCTTCATAAATCTATGATGTGCTGAATAAGCCCCATCCTCAAGGACTTCAGGGAGAATTCTCCTTGGACATTAAGGGGCAGAGTAGAATGGGAAACAAAACTTGGCAACGGAATTTATTTTCTAAAAGAAGATGATTTTCTATGCAAAGGTCTTGCAACAAAAGTATATCATACTTGTTCTGTGAGCCACAGACACTTGCCTGCCATTTTCATATAAAGCTAGTATCCTCCAGCTTAATTTAAACTGCAGGCTTCCTGGCCCTAAATCAGTGTTAGTGTCAGAGTCGTCTTCCATGTGCAGGAGGTCTTTTGTTGATTTGCAGCAGGAAATCAGCTCTTATTTGGCTGGAGTTCAAGTTTAATAGGCTAGATGTCTAGTATGTTTTTGTCTTTTACATTAAAGACCCTGGTATCAGACCTAGGATTCATCACAAGCCCTGTCCACTTGCCAGAAGAGACACACATGGAAAGATTTAAAATGCCTCCTTCCATCACTCAATTGTCAGGAAGAATTCCCTCATCAGATTAGAATAACGGGCTGGTTCCTTTATGCTGGGGATGAACTCAGCGTGCACTCTTTCCAAATGCCCTCCCACTTTGCAGGGGTTCATTATTCTGGTTCTCGCTATACTGGGCACGTCTGCTTGCATGCTCATGTATCTCCCCTTCAATATCTACTCAAAAGATTCAGAACAACTGTAGTCCAGACTCTTGCTACGAGAAAATAACTGCCGTTCACGGAGGAAGAGAAAAGAAGCTTTATTGAAAGTTTCACTGAATAGTAAGCAAATCCCAGGCCTGCTTCTTTAAACAGAACTTCACAAAGTGGAATGTGGTTACAGGTCACCCAGGGGACCTGTTAAAATACAGGTCTGATTCAGTGCATCTGGGCTGGGCCCTAGGATTCTGCAGGTCTGAAGCCTACAGGTAGCACTGATGCTGCTGGCCCAGGGGCCACGGCTACAGAGCATGCTCGGAGCATCTCTTTCCTGGCCTCATATTGCTGAGATATACTTGTAGTTTATATCTCTAAAAACAAAATGTGTGGAGGCAGAAGCAAATTGGTCAGGACTCTAGCTTTTAAAACAATAAGTAAAAACAAACAAATTAAAGCATGCCTTATTAAATATTTAAGTCAGTGCATAAACATCTGCATCTAAAAAAAAATTTACTGAAGTTCTGGGATCCATGTGAAGAACGTGCAGGTTTGTTACATAGGTATACACATGCCACGGTGGTTTGCTGCACCTGTCAACCCATCATCTAGGTTTTAAGCCCCACATGCATGAGGTACTTGTCCTAATGTTCTCCCTCCCCTTACCCCACACCCCCCAATAGGCCCCAGTGTATGATGTTCCCCTCCCTGTGTCCATGTGTTCTCACTGTTCAACTTTCACTTATGAGTGAGAACATGTAGTCTTTGGTTTTCTGTTCCTGTTTTAGTTTGCTGAGAATGATGGCTTCCAGCTTCATCCATGTCCCTGCATTTTTAAGGACAAATTTTTAATTTGTCTTTAATTTTTATTTTAATTTTTATTTTTTTTGAGACAGAGTCTCACTCTGTTGCCCAGGCTGGAGTGCAGTGGCATGATCTCGGCTCACTGCAAGCTCCGCCTCCCGGGTTCTGGCCATTCTCCTGCCTCAGCCTCCTGAGTAGCTGGGACCACAGGCGCCCACCACCACTCCTGGCTAATTTTTTGTATTTTTAGTAGAGATGATGTCTCACTGTGTTAGCCAGGATGGTCTCGATCTCCTGACCTCATGATCTGCCCACCTCGGCCTCCCAAAGTGCTGGGATTACAGGCGTGAGCCACCGTGCCCGGCCTTGTCTTTAATGTTTAAGGAGGTAACCCAAGACACTCCAAAAGGTTTGCTTCCCCTCCACTTGAGCTCTGACCAGGTCCGCCTATGGAAGCAGCTCTGCAGCAGGGAGAAGAGGCCAGCACTGGCCGCCAGTGCTGGCCACCAGCAGTGCCCAAAGGGGCAGTGGGCAGGAGGACAGGAAGGCATTGCTATAGGAGCAGGCTGGTCGGCCAGTGCCCTGCTGGGATGTCATCATCCTCACTCCCACCTTCCAGAGGGCTGGGAGCAGATGCCCCAGACCAGGGAACCTTTCCAGGACCCCAGGGGAGCAGAGGTGCCATGCAGTAGCCTGTTCTTGAGACAAGCCGGTGCTCAGCTGGAGCAAAGATGATACACCCAGAGGCCCCCCATGCAGGCTCTGGAGTCCTGTCTTGGCTCCAATTCCAAGGCTGCTTGTTAACATCCTCATGGGCACATTAATTGGCCTCTTCCTTACTTAACTTTCCCCTCCTTAAAATGGCTTTGACTGTGGTTACCCTTGTAGATCAGCTGAGAACTGACAGCACATTCCAGGCTCTCCTGCCACCTGGCACAGGGTACACCCTGCTAGATGCAGGCTGTGGCCACCACCGAGTGTGGGCAGGCAGGGTCCCTCCAGGTGCAGGTGCAGGTGGGGGTGCTGACTCAGGGAGGAGTTGGGGTCTGGAGAGTGGGAGGCCACCCCTTTTGATCTCTAATCCCCTGTCTTAATGAAAATTTACACTCAGCTGCTATTTTTGGCTCCTGGGTTCTGAGCTGGAGACCAAGGCCTCCCCACTGTTTCCACCCGAGCTAGGGTCCTGGGAGAAGAGAAGAGATGGTGGTGGGGCCACAGGAAAATGGGGTGATCAGTGAAGCTGTGGGATCCCGCCTCTACTGCAGACTCTTAGCTGTTGGATCCCTCTCTGTGGAGCCAAATGCTCACCAGGGAAACCGTCCTCATAAAATTAATAAAACCAAATTGCTAAATTTTTAACAAAAGCATAAGCTTTAAGTAGAAGCACAGTGACGCATTAACCAGCTTGTCCTTTGGCCCACTTTCTGATAGCTGCTTGCTGCTTAGAAGTCACGTGCCCCCGTCACATGCTCCTAACTTCTCTAGGTAACACCTTAAATGTTAAGAAACCTCAAATTTTCCATTTGGAGATATTTTCCAGAACCTACAGTCCAATGGGCCCACTGACTCCAGCCCATCTGAAAATGCCCTCCGAGGAACAGCCTCAGCGCAGGAGTGCAATTTCTACATCCTTATGATTTCATTTCCCACACACTGTCCAGTCAGTGATCTCCAGCTCCTAAGCCCCCTAACCAAAATTCCCTTAAAAACACCCATGTAAAGCTCCTCAGAGAGGCGGATTTGAGGTTTCCTCCTGTCTCCTTGTTCAGCTGCCCTATGATTATTAAACACATTGTCTGCTCCACATCCTGCTGTTTTGGTGTACTGGTGGTCTGTTACCATGCAACGGGCAGTTGAACCTGATAGTCCCATAACACCAGGGTGCACCTGTTCAAGGCAGAGCAGTGATACCCAACTCACTCTGAACTACACATCTTCCTGGCCTGGGTCAGACCACAGGCCCCCAGCCCGTCTTCAAATGTCTTTAGTGGACACCGCTGATCTAGACCACAGTAGTCCCCCATCATGAATGTCTCCATGATACTCGGTTGACATTTAACAACACAGTCATTTTAAGTAATGGGTCTACGACTTAGCACGCCATACCACACACAAGCTCCATGAAGGCTGGGTTTGCGTGTGATCCAGGACAGAATCCTCTGTGGATTCCACTGCATCACACATATGACAGGCTCAGTAAGTCATGAATGGAAGACCACTCTCCCACCCTTCAAGGCCGTGTTCCTCCCCATGTCACTGAAAATTATCCCAACCTTACACCAGTGTCTCAGATCAAACTGTTTCCCCTGTTCCTGCTTCCTTCTCCCCTTCCTAAAATCCCACTGAACCTTCCAGCCCCAGACCACATGTCCATCAACCATAGGGTGAAGTCTTCTCCACATTCTCCAGGGGAGGTGACCAGGGTCTCATCTCCATCCCCACAGCCCTTGGTGGTGGTTTTGTCCTACGGTTCATCTGTCTGACTGATATTTTACTTAATCATCACCCCCCAGGTCTGCCTGTCCTCCTCCTAAGTTAAGAGACAAGGCCATGCCCAAGTTGGCATCATCATCAAAACATTTTATTTATGGAATGTAACTCTAGCCAGTTTCCTGACTCAAAGGATTACCCATGTGAAAAATACATAAGTGAGTCTGAAAATTTGTTTTTTACTCTACTTCTAGAATAACTGACTAAAATGCTAATTCTGACCTATAATAATACATGTTTTTTTTCAGCACTTGGGTACTGAGAAGGAAGAATCTTTACAGAGGTCTTCAGAAGTATTAAAGCCATAGAAGGTCCGGTTTGGATGTGCTGCACACTTACTCTAGCTGACACGGCGTTAAGTCACACAGGCGAACATATTACAAGTTTATTATTTCCTAAAATGCATATAATTCACAACAATCTCCAGGAGACAACCTATAAACACAAGTCCATTTTTACTGTGGCACTGATGATCCATAGCTTAGCATACCCAGCCGTATTAAAGGAATTGTGTCCTTGGGTCAAGTATGTGTTTAAATGAAAATGTCAACTTCTCTGTACCTGGACATCAAAAAAGAAATTGGCCGAGTGTGTTGGCTCATGCCTGTAATCCCAGCATTTTGGGAGGCCAAGGCAGGTGGATCACCTGAGGTCAGGAGTTCGAGACAAGCCTGGCCGACATGGTGAAACCCCATCTCTACTAAAGATACAAAAATTAGCCAGGTGTGGTGGCGTGCGCCTGTAATCCCAGCTACTTGGGAGGCTGAGGCAGAAGCATCACTTGAACCTGGGAAGTGGAGGTTGCAGTGAGCCAAGATCACACCACTGCACTCCAGCCTGGGTGACAGAGCGAGACTCCGTCTCAAAAAACAAAACAAAACAACAACAACAAACAACAACAACAACAAAAATTAACTATTAAAATCCACATGTCACCCCCTTCCTCACTGGCCTGGGTTTCATGGCATATGTTTGCCTCCACTTACAGCTGTGGACCCCTCTGTGCTCCCATCCTCTGCCCAGTTGGAAGGTGTATTAATGAGATATAGTTTTTTATATTGAGCTGAATGCTTCATCGAAACAACAGAGAACAGGCAACTTGTGTTGCACATTTGTTAACCTTGTCATAGTCCCTTTACTTTGTGTCACCTTAAGGGTCATTCAGCCAAATGGCAGAATAAAGAAGGAAGATGGTTCTAGAAAATGACTGTCCAGGCTACCAGAGAAGAGGGTGAATGTCTGTGAAGTAGGCAAAAAGTAACCCTTCCTGAAACTGTGATTTTAATCTTTATCAAATCATTAAGGATATTAGTCCTTTTTTAAGCCTCCACTCAGCAACTTTTAGAAATTTTGTCAGAAGTAGTTATTTTAGAGAACTTCCAATTATGCAACCGAGAAGAGTGACGATAATGAAATGAACAGAACCTGACCCAAAAGTCTTCCTGAGATGAAGATGCTGTGCAAGCCTCTTTCATCTTCTACCTTTCATGAGTCTAAAATGACTTCTACGTGCTTTGGGTTTGTTTCTATGATGCTATCCTTTAAATAATCAGCGATTTCACCACTTATGTTCTATTTTAATCACAGAGGATGTTGGGCGAGAATAAAAAATGATATTGGAAACTTCAGGTCTGGGAAGTAGGATTTCAGATTTAATTAAGACTTTCATTTCTGTAGGGATTTTGATTAAAACCTACAATGCTTTATAAAAATCATATTTTAGTCCAATTATTTGTAAGCCTATAACTGAACTGTCAGTAAGTCTGCCACTTAAGTAACGAAAACCTCTCTATTTCAAGAATAGAATCGTATGACTTTCAGATCACTTTAAAAAATTAATATAAGTATATTTGACTTTCAGAAGCTCAGAAAAGAGGATGATTTCATTACACCACCTGAGGTGTGTTACATATGTCTCCTGTTTAAATTGCATCTAGTGGGAGAACTTTGCAGCATCAGGAGGTGGGGGTGGGAGCTGAGAGTTCCATAAAACCTCCTCTGCCTTTGGCTGTACTTACAGCATAGTTCCTCAAACCGTCAAAAGGCAACACTGCCAAATACTGCTGCTAAAAAACAAATGATTTCAACGTTTTCAAAGCCACCTCTTGTCTATCAAAGTCCACTTGCCTCAAGGGGCTTAATTATATGCAGATTTTTCCACCACCAAGCCAGGATTCATTGGCAGGGCTGGTTCACTCCACAAGTTGGCACTCTTCTTGTTCACAGTTAAAGGAGGAGCCATTGGGGAAAAAAGAAAACTACTTTGTGGTAAGCATCCCATTCTTGTGTTACCTCACTCTGCTCCTCTAATGGGATCACAGTCTACAAACACCTGCTACCATTGTTGCTAAAATACCCATTCTTCTAATGCTGCCCTCAGTTTGGCAGCATCTGAAAGGGACAAAATAAAAATGGTAATTTATTTCTAGAAATGTTCATGTAGGAGAGGAGATAGGCATATTTATATGTATACAGATTAAACACCAAAACACTAATTAAGTAAATTTAGTTTTCCCTTTAATCAGACTTCCAGGTAATTAGCTGTCAGCAAAGATAAATTATAGTTTATTCCATTTTTATATCATGCTTTGGTCAAATAAAGATTATGCTTTAATGGCCAGATTTAGTTGCTAAATTTTCATGCAGATGAAAGGATTTGCAAATATTATCACTGGAATCTTTTAATGTTCTGAAAACTCACTTCTGTCTAAAACATCATTTTGCAAACAAACAGTTTCATCCAAGGCTAGGGAATATTGGTCTGATCTTTTCCATTTAATACACAACCATTCAGACTTTTCAAACCCTGAATCGAGAGTTGGTAGTCTCTGTGAATGTGCACCCAACCTTAGTCAAGACTGGAAGGATAATGGTAAATGCTAAGAACAGGTCTCCTGTACGTTACATGAACCGAGCAGGAGATGTCATTCACAATCGCTGAGTTTGGCCAAAGGCAACAATCTGACATGGAATAACATTACAGGGCTAATTTGTGCACGTGTGTGTGTGTACGTGCATGCACATACATGATACCTACTGATTTCAGTAGAGTTTGCTGAGATACAGGATGGTTCCTGTATTATCTTTCTCACATCCATCTCTAGAGTAGAACTACATGAAAGGAAAAATAGAAAATGGAAAACATTATACTCTGGGCGAAAGTTCACTGAGATTAGTAGATTTTAAGTTACTTGAAACTCCAGAGTCAATATTAAATGTGTGGTAGCTTTAGTGTATCCCCAAAAAGCATTTGTTATTTTGCAGTAAAATAAGTGACGATGGAAGGCACAGGAAAGCTCAGGAAGCCTTGATACAGATGCTCAGCCTACCTGGGCATGAACACCTGCTTGGTGCTCTCAGTGATAGGATTAATGGCAAAGTGACTCCACTGTAATGCCACTCAGAGTCCCTCAAGACACAGGGGGGGTCCCAATTAAAAGTGTGAAGGAGGGCCTGGGCACTGTGGCTCACGCCTGTAATCCCAGCTCTTTGGGAGGCTGAGGTGGGTGGATTACCTGAGATCAGGAGTTCAAGAGCAGCCTGGCCAACATGGTGAAACCTCGTCTCTAATAAAAATACAAAAATTAGACGGGCATGGTGGTGAGTGCCTGTAATCCCAGATACTTGGGAGGCTGAGGCAGGAGAATCGCTTGAACCTGGGAGGTGGAGGTTGCAGTGAGCCGAGATTGCGCCATTCATTGCACTCCAGCCTGGGAGACAGAGCAAGACTCCATCTCAAAGAAAAAAAAAGAAAGATGAAAGAGAGAATCACTGTAAAGTAGGTTTGAGAGGCTTGAAAAGTCTTCAGTTTTGTTTCCTCCCAGTATGTGAAGACCCAAATGGTCTTTCCTTTATCCTGGGAGTCTGGGCCAACCTCTGAGAAAGAGTGAGATATACTCGCAAATAATTTCACCATTGGAAAATTCAGAGGGGCTGGTAAACAGGAAGTGCTTGTCTTTTTAATTGCGGCCCATTTTCTCAAGGATTGGAAAGTGGGGAGGAAGGCTTCTACCCCTCTGGGAAGATCCATTTGCTGATACGTAACAGAAAGAATCGGCTCACCTTGCTCCCTAATCAAAGTATGTTTCAGTTCAAAAGCATGTCTGTCTGACTGACAGAAAGTTTTCTGGTGGCATTTAGAAGGTACTTTGCATGCGAAGAAATGATGGATGGAACGAGGGAGCAGCAGGGCTTGCTCTGGAATGAGAATGTCCTCTCCCTCTCCAGTTGGAAACATCAGGAGAAGGAAGCAAGGGGTAGCACAGACAGGGTCCCAGTTCCAGGGACCATAAATGAGGGATGCAGAGTGTGGCTGGCAGTGGCCTTTATGGATGCATATGGCAGAGTCCACACAGAATGGGAAGCATAGCTGACCTCTGGGCTCTCAGCCAATGTGGGGCGGAAGGAGGAACAGCAAAGCCCAAGGTAGGGGCGTGGACAGCAACAGGTCCCAAGACTAAGCAAATCCACCTTAGGATTTCCACCTTGGGAAATCCACCTCTATCTGCTTACCTGTATCAGCAAATGGATCTTCCCAGACCAGTAGGATGCCTTCCTCCCCACTTTCCAACCCATGGGAAAATGGACTGCAAATAAGAATTGCAATGACATGCACTTCCTATTGACCAGCCCCTCAGAATTTTCCAGCAGTGAAATTATTTGCAAGTAGCACAATCTAAAATATAGAATGAATGTGTGCCCCCTCAATTCCATGCTGAAATCGTCACCCTAGTGGGATGGTATCAGGTGGTAAGACCTTGGGAAGTGGTGAGTCATGAGGGTGAGGCCCTCACCATGGGATTAGTGCTTTTGCGAGAAGAGACAGGTGAGAGCCTCTTTCCACTCTCTCTCCCCTCCTGCCCGGTGTGGAGACCAAGAAGAGAGCCCTCACCAGACACCAAAGCTGCCCGCACCCTCATCCTCGACTTTCAGCCTCTAGAACTTCAGGAAACTTCAGGAAATAAATGTCTGTTGTTTGAGCCACCTAGTCTATGGTATCTTGGTATAGCAGCCCAAACCAACTAACGGTACCAGCGATATTTGCCGAGCGGTCACATGATCACTTTTTCCACTTATGTTTAAGTGCCAGCTATTAAGCATTTAAACATATTCTCATATTTAATCCCCACAACAGCACTTGGAGGTTATTATTCATCTTTTATTTTTTGTTGAGATGGAGTTTCACTCTGTCACCCAGGCTGGAGTGCAGTGACATGATCTCAGCTCACTGCAACCTCCGCCTCCTGGGTTCAAGCAATTCTCCTGCCTCAGCCTCCCGAGTAGTTGGGACTACAGGTGTGCACCAAGACGCCCAGCTAATTTTTTGTATTTTTAGTAGAGATGGGGGTCTCACCGGAAAATGTGAATCAGAGTTGCCAAGAAACTCGTACAAGCTTCCACAGCCCCTAAATCTTGAAGCTGGGGTTTTAACTGGATCTCTCTCACGTAGCACCTGAGTCCTTAGCATGTATCGCAGGCTGGTACAGCTGGTAGCAGTACTCTTGTTAAAACCTTTCCCTGGTAGCTCAATTTTCAGTTTGTTAAGGAACCTCCATACTACTCTCCATAGTGGCTGTGCTAATTTACCTTCCCACCAACAGCGTATGAGGGTTCCCTTTTCTCCACATCCTCGCCAGCATTTGTTACTGCTTGTCTTTTGGATATAAGCCATTTTAGCTGGGGTGAGATGATACCTCATTGCAGTTTTGATTTGCATTTCTCTGATGAGCAATGATGTTTAGCACCTTTTCATACGCCTGTCTGCCAGTTAGAAAATTTACTTCTTACCTTATTGTTATTGAGAGAAAGTAGGTAAGAAGCGGGTGTTAGAACACAGACGTGAGGGTGTGCTTGGGAACAGACAATTGTGGGTGTGGAATTTTCCCAAGGAAATAACCTTAACAGGAATGACTGCAGATAAGAGAGGAAAAGGCTTGGGACCAAAGACAGGGCAGTGCCCCTCCTGCCTACCTTTCATCAGTCTCTTCTTCTGCCATGTCATGGTTCTTTTAAAAGAACTTAGAGTAGAAAAGTGAAGCAGAGGGTGGGGCACGGTGGCTCACGCCTATAATCCGAGCACTTTCGGAGGCTGAGGCTGGCGGATCACTTGAGGTCAGGATTTCGATACCAGCCTGGCCAACACGGTGAAACCCCGTCTCTACTAATAATACAAAAATTAGCCAGGCATGGTGGCACACGCCTGTAATCCCAGCACTGTGGGAGGCCAAGGCGGGAGGATCACTTGAGGTCAGGATTTCGATACCAGCCTGGCCAACATGGTGAAACCCCATCTGTACTAATAATACAAAAATTAGCTAGGCATGGTGGCACACGCCTGTAATCCCACCTGCTCAGGAGGCTGAGGCCGGAGAATCGCCTGAACCCAGGAGGCAGAGGGTGCAGTGAGCCGAGATCGCACCATTGCACTCCAGCCAGGGTGACAGAGAAAGACTCTGTTTCAAAAACAAAAACTAAAACAAAAACAAGAAAAGTGAAGCAGAGTGCCATATTTATCAACTCTTCCCTGCAGGGGACAGGTCCACTGATACGTGAGACAACAATCCTACATGTGCACGGGTGTGATTTTGGACTTCAAGCCGCTGAATAGCACTGGCTGAGACCCAAACTGTCTCAAAATCAAGACCGCAGCAGCTGTCAGTTTCAGTGCCCGGACTGACGCTGCCTGTGCACTTGCGAAGATGCAGTGAGATGCCCCTTGGAGACAGGCAGTCTTTGGAGCTGTTTGGAATTTCGCTCCACCGCTGATTAGCTGTGTGCCTTTGGGGAATCTGCATACTCCTTCAGAATCTTGGTTTTCTCATCTGTAAAATCAGGAAGCCACAAAGTGTGTGGCGTTGCAGTGAGTAAATGAGGTAATGACACAAGGCACTCAGGGAACACGGAAGCAGCAGTTCCCTTCCTCTTTTCAGGCCATTCAAACCAGTGTCATTTTAGCAATTTACAATCCATTTGCCCCAGAAGCAAATCTACGGTCAAGTCATTTTCAGCAAAGCTGAACAATCTTGCTGTACCTTGGTTAGCGGCGAGATGGTTTGAAATGCCTTCAAGTGAGGCACATCAATATTGGCCACTGGATGCTCTTGGTCTCATCTTGGTTTCTTTAATAAATAAATTTTGATTATCCTACTATAAATACATTGATCATTTCAGTTTACCTTGAGAGCTTTGGCCACGATTGGCTTGCCAGTTCAGCACTGGTAGCCTCACTCAAGCAGTTCTACCTTTAACTTTTAGGAAGTGGACGGAAATTCTGCTGTCATTTGGAATCTCGCATTTGGAAGGAAAAAAGTGATCTAATTCATTTATGGTTTCCTTAAATCACAAAATTCACCATGCAGTGCTTGAAGATTGAAAGGTACAGAAGCTGTCAGATGTTCACATCAGTTCCTGGATAACAGGCATTGACTGTTCTGTTAATGCACAGGATCTTCTAGTTCGCCTCCAGGAAATTTATCCTTAAGGTGATGAATCTTTCAGGCAGTCTCAAAGCCTGTCCTCTGAAAACTGCCCCGGGGCTTACAGCCCACTTCACCCCCAACTCAGCAGCTAAAGGAGGATACTCTAATGTTGCTTCTGCAACCTGATTACTTTGCCAAAGTTTAATGCATTGAGAAAAGGTAGGCTGGACAGAATCTGTCCCTCCTAGAACCCCCAAACATGTGAAGGCCTCAGTTCTGTCTCTCCACCTGACCACACCCTATCCCCGGCTCAAATCCCAGTGTGTCTGCCTGTTCTGCCTCAGCTTAGTAGGCCAATTCAGAGGCATTCCTTTCCATGCTGTGCCCACACGATCAGATATCCTGGGGCTGCTGACCGTAACCTGGTTGTCAGACCCTGCTGGCTAATCATTAGTTCCTTTTGCTTCACAGCCTAGACATTCTCTCCCTCCCAACCATCTCAGCTGTAATGTCTTTTCTTCATCAGTCTTCATAATTAACCAATTATTAACAATATCTTTTTCTAGAGGGAAGCTGTGCCAACATTTTCTCCCTCTGATAACAAGAAAAGAATCACAGGTGATGAGATGATTTCCTCCCCAAAGGACCCATCGTTGACACAAGTCCATAGTTTCTAGTGCAGGTGAATGGCAACTCATTCCCAGCAACTTCGGTTTTTATGAACTCTTGTAAGCGCCACACCCTGTGCTAAAAATGTTCTCTTTAATTGGTTCTAAATGTATTGCCTTTTAAATTCAACCATTCTTCTTGCGTCATTATAGGAGAAGGTAACCAAGGAACAGACAGCCATTTTGACAAGATCTACAACACCTGGAACATAAAAATGGGTGCAGTCTTAAATGTCATCAAGGAGAAAAGTGAAACACAAACACACGTACACACATGCATACACACCCCAAGACTAAACAGAAGGGACAAGAAATTGAATAATAGGATTATTATTACATATTATTATTATATAATCCTATTATTCAATTTCTTGAACAATAAAGCAAAGTAATGATGCAGCTTCCAAGAAAGAATCAAAATCTTATATCTTTCCTTTTTTGGACAGTCAAGAAGTAAAGCCCGACCCAGGAGTGAGGGTTTTCTCTGTTCTGTCTCTCACTTTTCTCATCAGATCTGCGACTACAGAGTATGAGAAAGGCACATGCGATTGTAGATTTCATTTCTAAAACCTGAATAAATGGAATGCTCACAATTATGTATTTCCCTGAGTCCTACATAACCACCTCTCCAGGTGGACCACAGCCACCGCAGATGTCAGAAGGACAGAGCCAGACACCGCAGCCTGCACTGACGCTGACATACCCCCACACAAGGAAAGAGCTGCAGGAATCCTCGCTGCACTTGACACCTTCACCTTTCGCCCCATTCTTAAAAACCCTATTTGGCATCATCAGCATGTTTTTGATGTTTTCTAAATGCCAAATGGGGACAGAGTAATTTTGTTAGCATTTGGATTGCATGATATTTAAGTGTGATTGATTACAAGCATAAAAACTAGTATCTCTGCCAGGAGCCTTGAATCCATTCATTAGAGAATGTAATTTATAAGTTTATGTTATAATAATTCAATTTATATATTTATATATGCTGAAAAAACTACAAATACTATAAGAAAAGGATGTCTCAAGGGAAATGTTTTTCAAAAAATCGTAAGCACACTCAGAGCCAAAAAGAGCAGCGCCAGGCATTCTGTAGTGGACACGGGTTTCATGGTACTCCCTGCCTAGAAGACCTCAAGCAAGTGGTTTTAGCTGCTCAAGCCTCACTGTTCTGGGGCAAGGTAGGTATAATAACAGCGACTAAGGTGGTGGCTGTATTAATTGCAATAACGTATGTAAAGCATTTTTTTGCAATAATTGCCACCTATTCATGAAAAACACATGTTAGTTATTGCTGCTATCACCAGTGCTTCTGGATTCAATATCTAAAAAATTAATGGAAGTATTTTTTTCAAATATAGTTTTAAACAAAGAGATAGCATGAAGATCAGTTTGGGTCCCTACTTTTTAAAAACACAATAAAATACACTCATTAAAATCAGAGGGATAAATTATTCACCATAGCCAGTGAGCCAGGAAACCTGAGCGAAGGTGAAGAGAATGAAGGGCTTTCCTTCAAGACGGCCACACAGCAATGTGCTGAAAGCTGGGGATGGAGAGGAAGCAAAGAACCAAGGACCCAATGGACACCTGTGAGGCTGAGCTGACTGGGAAGTGTTTGGGGATTTTGGATTTATTTCATTGTTCAGCTGCTTGTACATTGCAATATGTTCACAGAATACAAATAACATTCGTGATTGTAAAGTAGGTTTCATTAAAGCATTAAGATTTTTTGCCACTCTCTACATAAAAGAGATTAGTTAAAATCTATGGTATGTCCTTTTATAACTGCCAAATATTTGATTTTTGCACATCAATCTTAACCAACTAAGATGGCTCCAAAACAATTTTGATGTTGTGTTTCTAATGGTCAACCACATTAATTTTTTTTTTCTTTGCGAGGTGGAGTCTTGCTCTGTCACCCAGGCTGGAGTGCAGTGGCGCAATCTTGGCTCACTGCAAACTCTGCCTCCTAGGTTCAAGCAATTCTCTTGCCTCAGCCTCCCGAGTAGCTGGAATTACAGGCGTGTGCACCCATGCCCAGCTAATTTTTGTATTTTTAGTAGAGACGGGGTTTCTCCATGTTGGCCAGGCTGGTTTTGAACTCCTGACCTCGTGATCCGCCCATCTCAGGCTCCCAAAGTGCTGGGATTACAGGCGTGAGCCACTACGCCCAGCCAACCACATTAAACTACTGCTCACATAACAGCAGAGCACTTGTAACAAGTGCATTCCAAGGCACTTAAAATATGCCACTTTCATACCAAAGACTGCTTCCTATTTTAATTTACCAGCTGCAAACTTCCTAACCCAATGCAATGAAAAAAAAAAACTAGTGTGTTTAAGCAGCCATTCATTAGATGGGGACTGAATATTAGATGATTGATTCCTATGAATTGCTAGGCAAATTAGTGCAGAGTTCAAATGAGCTTTTATGCAGAACGTGCTCACTGACTTCAGGAAGCTTCTCAGGAGCCTACGGGAAGTAGACGTTTTCTATTCGGTGGGCTCTTTAGGAAAGACCTTTTAGTAAACACCAGCTCCGCTGAGAGGACCGTAAAGCCTCCTCCCCATTGGGAAGAGCAGGCAGCCACAGCCTCCTCCCACTCCGCGTTCCCACTGGCCAAACTACTGTATGAAAGATAAATCAGCCTGAAGCCCTGTCCCACCACCCCACGTCCCTGTCCTCTGGGGTTCCTCACTCTCCTTCCTTTCCTTGTAAACTCTGAATTACTTGCATTTGCAATGCATTGCACGCACTGCTTAACGCGTGCCAAAGAAGAAAAAGTGGCAGAATGTTTCATTAAACCACATTTTCCTACAGTCTATGAATGTTGATTACATGCAGTGACCACCAAGGACCGGCCCCACACAACCCAACCATCAAGCACTTATTTTAAGAGGAAACAAATAATCTGGCCTGTTCACAGCCAGTCTGCTGCAAGTTTAGAAATCTGGAGATTAAATAGCAACGTTAGATGCTGAATAACCTCGGGGAGACAGATTGGCACCCGCACATCGGTAGAGCATTGAGGCTGCTCCGTAAGAGAAACGGATGAACGCGCAGATGAATGGGGCAGGGCAATGCCACCCGCCGCCATGCAGGGGGGTTCCAACATCTTCTTTCAGGTCATGTTCAGAAGGGAAAAAAGGCGAGGAAGAGAGGTGCTAAATGACTGAATAAGCATTTAGGGTTAAAGAGGGCATTCAGTGTGAGAATGGTTGTTTTCCTCTATTCAATGGGGGTTCTGTTTAGAAAAGGCCCAGACATTTGTAAAGAAGCTGACAATGTAGGAAAATTACTTTCTCCCTTTCTGAGGCTAACAGAAGAAATAAGATGGATGAACCCGAGCACACTCTTTCAAAACGATGTGCTTAAAGACAGCGATGGAAATTAACACTGGCCCTGGGGAAGGATGCAGACTCTCATAGTTAATTGGTTCTTCTTCTTTTCTTTCTTTTTCTTTTGGCTTCAGTCATTTGCATGCTGTTAAGTACCTGACATTTTTTATTTCACGGTGTATCTCCAGTTTTATATGTCCCTGGATCACGAGTTACTATTAGGTTTTCCTGAGATCGTTTCTTTTCTTGATGCTTTACAAGCTTTTATTATGCTTCAGGTATTTGCTTTCATATTAAGATATCTCTCAGACAAGAGCATTCCAAACATTCAAAAAAGGCCTTTCAGATACTGTATCAGAGGGGCTCTGGGACATCAAGATTCTTGGAAAGCCGCCCCTGACCAGCTGGAGAGTCCAATTTGGAGTGACAGTCCTGCTGGAGTACAACTGCTCATGGAGCCCTTCGAAGAAATTTAAGCAACTTTGAACTTTGCCCAAACTGTGACATCTTGGTGAAGAAGAATCTCACCTTCTGGAAAAAAAAAATGTGAATCCAGACTAAAGTTAAGTGAAATGCCACGTGAAAACAATCTGCGAGAAGGCAAGACAGATATACGCTCAGTGAGAAATGCAGTCAACGGAGGAGGGGCTGGAGTCACCTTCTCCTGTGGCCTGCATGCCACACGGGCCGAGAGCTGAACAGGCTTACGCGCAAGAAGGTACAGCCTTGGGCACCAGGCAAGAGTCCCCAGACAACAAATCCTTCAGGAGCACCCAAATCAGCCCAGCAAACTGCAACTACCTTAGAGCTGGTGCTTAAACGTCTCTCTTATCCACCTTCTCCCTGGGCGTGAGCCTTCATTCTCATCAAAGTGCAAACTCTGCTAAAAGAGGTGACTTCCTCCATCTTTTATCCCTTGCGTTCTGGTTTCCTGGAATGCCTTCCTGAGCCCAGGATGGCTGAGATCTGCCTGGGAAGAACCCTGGGAGTTTAGGCTGCCTGCCTGGGTAAGGAGGCACACAGAGGACATCTCTGAGCTCTTTGAAGACTCAGAAATGACAGATGGTGCAAGGATAGACCTTGGCCTGTGTCATAATTTGCCACTGAGTCCGGTAGGGATGTATCTACTGTGTGGATATCGTCCTGCTGATAACTCGAGATTTTAGACGTTTTCTAAAAATTCAGATTGTGGGCAAATGCTGCTCTTCTTGAAGAGCCTATTACAATATTGAAAACTACTCCATGTTTTACAACACAAACTTCCACCTGGGTTAATTTTATGTTTTCAAAAAGAATAGGGATAATTTAGGAGGAGACTGAGAAAGTCATGTGCAGATGTGTGTGGGTACCACCCTGGCCGGGGGCATTTGCACAAACGAGGGTTCCATTTGGGAGGCAGTATGGCCAGTGCCTCAGCCTCACAGTTCAGCATCACTGAAAGTCACTTGTCCCTAGTCTGCCTCCCAACAGGAGTTAGTTTAGGTTCAACTTTGCAGTGAGGACAATTGATGAACCAAATTGCAAGAGTGATGTAACTTTCTATACCTGGGATGTTTGGAAAGGAGATTTGAGGCACTGATGTTTAAATGCTTCTCCTTTTCTACCCTAGCTGCTCGGGCCCCGGATAATATCATCAGATGCTCACTGGGAAAGACAGGGTTGTCCCTGCCGGGTCTCGGCTGCCACTTCCAGCTGGTGACTTGCCTAACCAAGGGAACTACAAAGACCCCTTCTTCGTTGCCCCTCAGTTCAGGTGTGCAAGGCTGTGTAGGCTCCACGGGGGATCCTGCTCTGCATGGAGCCTGCCCACTTCCTGGGAATCAGACAGGTCCTCTTCCCCACTCCGACCACTTCCCGCATCTGTAACCATGGCCCGCCCAACTCCCTTCCAGTTGCCACAATCCTACCCAAGCCGCTTCCATGCTGCTTCCCTGACTCACGTGCCCACAGTGGGGTTTTCTCCCCACAACTCTGAATGGTCTTGGCAGTTAGCTTGAATCACATGCCTTTTGGAATTCACTACAAACTCTACTTTGAATCATACTCCAAGGTGTGAAGTGGGCGTTACGTTCCAGCTCTGGCAAATCCTGTGATACCAGGAAGCCCTGTCCTATGGTACCAGTGTTGCGGGACCTGGTGCCTCCATAGCAGGAGTGGCGGCCGTGTGGCTGCGTTCTCCATACCCCGCCTGCCCAGTGGCCACGGCACCTGCTGCTATCACCACTCCTCTCATGCTAGTCACTGAAGCAAGATGGACCAAGAGCCCTCCAGGGAGAATGGAGAGCACATACCATCCCGGCACCACCACTGTGTATCTGAGATGAGACGCCGTGCATCTTCTGCCTGCAGTTCCACGGTCTATCAGGAGAAAGGGCTGGGTCACAGATCACTGAGACTTCCTTCCAGGTTGCTAAGTCTGTATTATGACCATGTGGGCATGCTGATTGCAGGAACCTGAGTGCTGTGTGCCACGCTGCATTTCAGAGGCTGCAAGATGTCCTGGAATGCAGGCTCAGGAAAGTGACTGACGCCCTGTGTTCTAATATGGATTTCTACAGGTATTTGTGGAAAAACATCAATACAGTAGTAAAACATGGACCATTTCTGGTGGTGGATGAGACCTGCCTGGGAAGAGATCTGGGGGTACAGATCACAGCATGAACCGCTTTCATGGAGCCCACATTTCAGGATGTCTTGCAACCCCTAGAATGCAATGTGGCAAATAGCATGCTCTATCTCCGCCCTAGCCGCTTGAGACAAAATAACACCTCTTTAAATATATCCCATGGAGTGCCCCACAGACTCATCCCATGCAGCACCAGCAACACCAGAAACGGTCCAGGTTTTGCTAATGTATTGATGTTTTTCCACGAATACCTGTAGAATTCCACATTAGAACACAGCGCATCAGTCACTTTCCTGAGCCTGCATTGCAGGACATCTTGCAACCTCTGATGTGCAGCGTGGCACACAGCACTCAGGTTCCTGCAATCTTGTGCTACAGTATCCAACTCTAAATTATTGGCTTCTTGGATTGATTCTGTACTCTTAATCTACTACGGTAATTGCTTATTAACATGTGAAACATCTCCCACCAGGGGCACTACTTGGATTTCGAGTGTCACAGTTTATGACCTACGTCTGCACATTGTTTATAGGTTAGTTGTGTGTACTGTGCCTGACAAATCATATTAATGGTCATTTATACAACCCATAAGTGGCAAAATATCAATATTTGTTAGGTATTTGTTAGGTGAAATAAGTACTCACAATTCAGGTATATGTGGCATTGAGAGTTTGTTTTGTTTTGTTTTGTTTTGTTTTTTAAGAAATACTCTTACTTGATGTGTAAGAGATGTGAGAAGCATCCTGCATTCACTGCAATAAGCCGTAACAAAAATATGGCAATTACCCATTGCTTTCTATAACCGGCATTAACATTAACGTGGCAATGTTAAGTAGACAGTGCGTGACATCAGCTGCTCCTTTCCACCACCTTCATCTTCATGTGGTTCTCACCCCTCCCTTATGGGTCACAAATTACCTGCCTGTTTTCCACGCTTAAGCATTGAAAAAACTGAAATCATCATTTCAGTCCCAGGAAGAGGATCTGCTGGCTTATGAAACCTGAAGTAACATACAAACTTGGCACAATGCTTTGAGGCAGAAATAAGCTTGGCTTGAATACAAGGACCACACATTGTTGTATTTTTTTTTTCTGTTCCTTTTCTTTTGAGACAGAGTCTTCCTCTGTTGCTCAGGTCTGAGTGCAGTGGTACAATCTTGGCTCACTGTAACCTCTGCCTACCAGCTTCAAGCGATTCGCCCACCTCAGCCTCCTGAGTAGCTGGGACTACAGGTGCGTGCCACCATGCCTGGCTATTTTTTGTATTTTTAGTAGAGATGGGGTTTCACTATGTTAGCCAGACTGATCTCGAACTTCTGACCTCAAGTGATCTGCCACCGCGGCCTCCCAAAGTGCTGGGATTACAGGCGTGAGCCACTGTGCCCAGGCTTGTATTTTTTTTAAATTCTGGATAATGTTACTGAATCTCGAGAGTGATCGCCACCAGGGTTTATTGAGCAGCAACTAGACTCCAGACATGGTATGGTGAAAGGCATCTTGGCTTTTCCACGCAGCCAGTGCCGCTTGCCATTGATGGCAGAAGTGAGGGTGGACTTGGGGACCTCCAAACCCTGCAGTCAGGAAAGAGGTGTTTGTTCCAGCATCACAACTGATAAGAGGGGAGACAGCTATTACTGTGAGTATGAACATCATCTGTCCTTCTTGCTTTTGCATCTTACTGCTTTCCCTTCCAAACATTCATTCTAGAAGATATAATATGAAGGGCACATTCCTGGCAGAGCAGCCGGCATCCTTAGGGATCAGGAAAAGCTAGCACTCAAAAGAGAATCTTTGCAAAGGTTTTTTTTTTTTTTTCCATTTTCTGTATGTTTTTAAACGAATAACAAAATGCAAATTCCACATAAATTTGGTCAGCCCATATTTAAAATCCTTGCTGAAGATAAGGTGTTGATGATACACCTATAACCGGAATAATTTAAACTAGCACAGCACATAATAAAATAACAAAGCTGAAATTATTTTGTATTTATACTATTAAGTTATAAAAATAATTCTGAAATGTATTATGGAAACAGTCTACTAAAATCTAATTTCTAATTACAGCAGATGATATTAAGTAATTTGGATTGGGTTACTTCCTCATTTTTTCCAGTTTTGTCCATGACTGTGAGCATTTTTAAAAGGCTGATATAAATCATTACAAATTATAATGCAATACCAATGGCTGACCCCAATAATTAAAATTACATAAAGTCAGATATTGGTTAAACTGCCAAATACCAAACTGAATGTTGTTTTGGATCTCGAATTCTTGAATTGAATGAGGAGATTGTTTTTCTGATTCCAGTTTTCACAATGATTCAAAACAGTCTTCACATCCCTAGTGCATCTTACAATGAAGAAAAACTATGCTTCACCAATATTCTCTACAGCAAGCAACATATGAGCCATGGAGATTAACCAACCTTTCCTCATTTTTTTGGCAGCCAATAACTTAAGAGTTGTCAGAGAGAGAAATCAATGCTTTAAACCATCTAAATGCAGCCTGGGAGTACAGCTTTGAAACTGTATAAAGCATTAATCGATAGTGCTAGCAGTTCACGATTTAAGTACAGAATTACAGACGAGTAACTGTCACTATGTTGCTATATTGGCAAGACCAGTCTAGAGCTTCTAAAATTGGGAACATTTTCAGGAACTGATAGAAAATGAATGTGTTTGCCTTTCACATTAAAGACTGCCTGGAAATCAAACATCAAAGTCCAATAACACTCAATTTAAAAAAAAAAGCCCTGAGAAATATGTATATTTCCTCACATAGTCAAACATGTCATATCTCTCCAAACTGGGCTACAGAGTATAGAACAGATCTTTCTCAAAGATGCTAGGAAATAAGGAAAAACAAATACGCTTGAAGCAGAACTATTAAAACAGCCAAAAGGGAACATTTGCTATCACGACGTGGAGGCATAGAGCTGTCTTCTCTGAGACGGGAGCTGGCTTTAGAAGCCTCCATCACAGGCATTTCCTCCTACAGGAACACAGCAGCTGTTCCCCGGACCCATCGCGAGCCTCCCGCGCCTGAGATCCTCCAGTGCCCAAGACCCAGATAAGAATCTCATTTCCAAGGCAAGAACTTTCTACTCTTTCCCAATTATGGTGCTTCCAAAGTACTGCAGGGATACTGGGCGGGCACGGTGAGTGGGAAATGGCCAAACGCACCTTCCCAAAAATGCATCTGACGCAGAAAAATTATTCCTAGAGCTCGACAAAGAAAGACTACATTTTGCTAATTTTAAGGTTGGAGGGGGGAGACAGAATCTCAAAATGTATACACACTTTATAAACCTAGATCCATGAACAAACAACTGTCCTTTATTTACCAGATTTCCTTGGTCCTGGAACTTCAAACTCTAACAGGCTCCTATCTAAACGCTTTGGCAAATGCGCTGGCACTTTCCTCCTAATGGACAGACACACCATGTGTGGACACACAAAGACCCCAAACGTTGCTACCCAGAGGGTCATCCATGGACCAACATCAACTGCATGGCCTGGGAGCCCGTGAGAGACGCGGGATCTCAGGACCTATGCCCAACCAGCTGAAGCAGCATCTGTACTTTAACAAACACTTCCAGTAATTTCCATGCACATTAAAGTTTGAAAACCATGGCCGGGTGTGGTGGCTCACGCTTGTAATCCCAGCACTTTGGGAGGCTGAGGCGGGTGGATCACCTGAGGCCAGGAGTTTGAGACCAGCCTGGCCAACATGGTGAAACCCTGTCCCTACTAAAAATACACAAATTAGCCGGGCGTGGTGGCATGTGCCTGTAATCCCAGCTACTCAGGAAGCTGAGGCAGGAGAATCACTTGAACCCAGGAGACGGAGGTTGCAGTGAGCTGGGATTGCACCACTGCACTCCAGCCTGAGTGACAGAGTGAGACTCTGTCTCAAAAAAAAAAAAAAAAGTTTAAAAAGCACGAGGTGAAGACATAATGAAGAACACATTTTTGAGTCCTGTATTTCTTACTTTCTATGATCTTTGGTCACAGACCCCATCACCCAAATTGGTGAGAATATGAAACTCCTAATAGGATTAGCTTCTTCCCAAATAAACCCACATTCCACAGGTGGGTATTTAGCTATGTGCACCATAAGAAGAGAACATCCTGGGATTTGCTAGTGCATGTATAGTAACTGTATTTTGGGAAAGTCACAGAGTGTTTTTACGACCCTGAAAAAGTGGCTGTATTCTTTGGCAGGCTATTAGTTTTTCACGAGATCTCTATATTTGGCCACACCTGCTGTGTGGATGACCATATAGTGACACCTCGTCTACCTTGAGAGCACACAGGCACAGCACAGCACGCTCCCATGTGCTGCGGGATGGTAGAGCTCACACACGTGGCAAATTGATGGCTATTCCCTCGTGGATACCTTCCAAAGCTGCATCTTCTTGATCCAACAGCAACCCCCTCCTGTTCCATTTCTTGTAAAATTAGCTTCCCCACAGATGAGTGTGACCATCAGCTGAAGTGGGAATTCAAGGGCCACAAAATCAAAAGCCTGAGTGGCTCATTTACAAAGGTGAGTTCTTTCTTCCTGTCTACACTCTCCTGGTCTACCAGTTATCCCCCCGTCTATTAGTGCAGCTCAAGTGAGGTCCCTCAGACCTCGGCAGAGACCTTTTGTACCATGCCAGCAGGTAGGTCATAGAGAAAAATAAATCTTACATCCCTCTCACAAAAAGCCACACAGAGACAGTCCCTGCGTACTGAGAACACTGCCAATTGAGGTAATGATAGATGAATGAATTGCCAATGTCGTCTCTCTGGCTGCCAGTTCCAAATACTACCCAGTCTTTACACAGTATCCCTAGAGTACCCATGTATCTTTGGGGTCTAAAATACCTGAGGGGGAGAAAAAAATGTGGAAACAGCACAGGCACTCAGAGCACAAAACTGTTGTCGGAGGGGAGATGACTGCCACCAGCAATCGTGGTAACTGGGAGGATCTTGAGGTGCCCTCATTAAATAGCACCCAGTGTTAAAGAGGAGGCCAAGAAGCTTCTCATTGTCTTGAGGGAAGGCCACTGCAGGAGCTGGAGAATGCAACAGAAGCTTGTAAGGACTAAGCCCAGATCTGAGAAGGAGTCATACAGCTGCTCTGCCCTGCCTTCGGGGAGTGGAGAGGAGACTGAAGTCCAGAAAGGTAGATGCATTTGTCCAACTTCACACAGAGCACTATGGTGAACAAGGGCTGAGACGCAGAACACCGCAGGCGACTTCTTGCCAAGCTGCCTGCTAGTTCACCTCCCCAGAGGGTGTGTACACCAACGTGCACGCAGAAGTACACCAGAAGTACACGGTTGCCTCTGGCGCTCTGCTCTTTACACTGCTGAGAATGTATGTTTGCTCCATTGTTGAAAATTCCTTTCTCTTCATGTTCATCTCAGATGTCTGGAGCGGTCTCAGTCCGTTCGTAAAGACAGGAACATCTGCTCTTTGTCAAACTGCCCTGATGCTTGCCCGCCCCAAAGAGGAATCATATCACGCTCATCTTTTCCGTGCTCTCACAGGACCTTATTCCCACAGTGACATAACTGGCCACACTCCAGTGTGACAATTGTTTACCTGTCTCTCCTCATCCCTGCCACTCTCGGCTGTGAATACCTTGTCCTCAGAGATCATGACTTGTCTTTTTTCTTTTCTCCCTCGACCCAATACCAGAGTCTGAAACTGACATGAAAGCCTCTGCCATCTGTGGTGATCTCAATTTCAATTAATTAGAACTAACTACAGTTAAGAATTGCATCTCTCAGTCACCAGCCACATGTTTAAAAATTTTTACTTTAAGTTCTGGGATACATGTGCACAACGTGCAGGTTTGTTACATAGGTATACATGTGCCATGGTGGTTTGCTGCACCTATCAACCCATCATCTAGGTTTTAAGCCCTGCATGCATTAGGTATTTGTCCTAATGGTCTCCCTCCCCTTCCCCTCCACCGCCCGACAGGCCCCAGTGTGTGATGTTCCCCTCCCTGTGTCGTCCATGTGTTCTCATTGTTCAACTCCCGCTTGTGAGTGAGAACATGCAGTGTTTGGTTTTCTGTTCCTGTGTTAGTTTGCTGAGAATGATGGTTTCCAGCTTCATCCATTTCTCTGCAAAGGACATGAACTCATTCTTTTTTATGGCTGCATAGTATTCCATGGTGTATATGTGCCACATTTTCTTTATTCAGTCTATCATTGATGGGCATTTGGGTTGGTTCCAAGTCTTTGTTATTGTAAATAGTGCTGCAAGAAACATATGTGTGCAAGTGTCCTTATAGAATGATTTATAATCCTTTGGGTATATACCCAGTAATGGGATTGCTGGGTCAAATGGTATTTCTGGTTCTAGGCCCTTGAGGAATCACCACACTGTCTTCCATGATTAAACTAATTTACACTCCCCCCAACAGTGTGAAAGCGTTCCTATTTCTCCACATCCTCTCCAGCATCTGTTGTGTCCTGACTTTTTAATGATCGCCATTCTAACTGGCGTGAGATAGTATCTCCTTGTGGTTTTCACTTGCATTTCTCTAATAACAAATAAGCCAATCAAAAAGTGGGTGACGGATATGAACAGACACTTCGCAAAAGAAGACATTTATGCAGCCAACAGATATATGAGAAAAGCTCATCGTCCCTGATCACCAGCCACATTTTAAGACTGCGACAGCAACATGTGGCTAGTGGCTGCAACGCTGGCCAGTGCGGATGCAACACAATTCCACCATTGCTGAAAGCTCTATGGGACCATGCTGGACTGTATGTGGTGCACAGTAAAGCTTTGTTGAAATCATGAATAAAATAAATGTGTACACCGGAGCTTTCATAGGGAATATTTAAGTAAATCCACAAACTTAAGCAAAACACCTGTACTGTTCCAATCTATTCTTCCTTAAGAGATAAGTAGGGCTAAAACCATGGTTTCCACTTCTCATTCAAAATTGTTCCAGGAATAAAAAAATGTAATAAGTGTTAGAAAGATGGAAAACCCTACTTACAGAGCTATCCACAGTTAGCAACATTTTTCAATGTTTCTAAACAACCCTGGCTGATGAGAACTGGGAAGACAGTAACCCAGTGGATGACTGTGGATCTGGTCATGTCCATGAAGCCACACAGTTCCCTTCCCAAGGTTTTGGCTCTGGCATCACCCACACTGTGTCTGTCAAAGTGTGACCACCGGCTTCTCTTCTCTCCAGGGCAACGGGGTTAATGACAAGGAGCCAGTGGGTGTGTTCTAGACCTGGTTCCTGCCCCTAATACCATGTACACCCTCCATTAAGTAAACCCTCCATTTCTGTGGGCTTGATTTTTCTCATTTCAGAATGAATTTAATGATCACTAAGTCTCCTTTCTGCTTTAATATTTTATAGTTCCTGGATAGTAACCTGAAATCAATAGGATTCTCAAAGCTTCCCCTGCTACTTTAGACAACACCAGGCAAGCCAGTAAAGATTATTTTCAGACCCACATCTATGGCAAATTAATTGCTTCCCTATCCCTGTCTGTCCCCTCATTCTATCTCACTTTACATGAACATCATCCATAAATTCATCTTCAAAACAACACTTCTGTAAATATTCCACTAATTGAACAGGAATCCCTTCCAGGCCCGTCGTTACTTCCCTGCTTCGGGATGTAGCTTCATGTCGATTCCAGATTTCAGTTCTTCAAGAGCCTTGGAATGCCTGTCCTCCCCTCTCTGTGCCTCCAGCGCTGGACTATTTCTCTAGGAGGCCATGCCCACAGAAGCAAGACCTGCTCCCACCACTTGCTTTCTAACCCTGATCACATATTACACTCAGGGTGTGGGCCAAGCAACCCAGGGATCCGAGCAAACCATTTTTCCCTTTTCTTTTAGTCTCTGGCTATTGGAGTTCTGTGGTTCTGAGGCCAGGACCTGCTTGAGCTCACAGACGTGGGGAGGACTGTTCCAGCAAGCATGAATAACAACCACCTCCACCAGAGGGGTCTCAGGAAACAAACTCCAAATGCACTCCCGCTAAAAGCATTAAGGTGTCTGGAATTACTCATAGTAATGCATATTTCTATTCCATTCTATGTGTATTTCCACTGAAGGCAGAACAGAAATGTAATAGCCTGGGCAAATGAGATTTCTTTGCAAATGATCACAGGGCTTATAATATCTGTGTTTTTACTATTCTGGAAACCCAAATCACATGTCCAGTATAAATGGTGGTAATTAAGAGACAAGCTCATAATAGAGGAAAGAATGTGTCCCATACATTTTTATATCCCATTATTTCTTTTGCTTTTTCCATTTTCCCCGGCAATGTAGGGTGGGGGTTAGTATAGGAAATGAGGTTTTTGAGTTCTAAATTCTAGTTCCGTCTTTGAAAGGAAATTTCACAACGGCCTAAGCAAAATTTTATTATTTTTTTACCTTCATTTTTTTCTTCTAAGACATGAGGTCAACACTACTCCTCAAGTAAAATTAGAGATTGATATAGATATCAAATTACGGTGTAGTATAAGGGGACTTCAAAATTGATTTTACCTTTATCTTCACTCGCAATCTGTTCCTATATTAAGATCCTAATTCTTCATCAATATATATGTTGACCATATGACTTATTGCCCAAACTGGGACGCTATTGAGAATAAAAGGGAATGTTACTAAAACTCAAGTCAGGGCAATTGCCATAAACCAGGACTGGCCTAAGCAAATTGGGATATACGGTCCTCCTACCTACAAAGCACTTAACACGGCTTTTTACCCTAATAATTCTAATAACTAATGATTCTTCTATTTTATCCTGCCACCCATCATTCCAAGTCTTTACTCTTCATTCTCCACTTTGCCTGGAAGCCTAAATCTTTTTTTTCTCTGAGAGGTATCCATCACCATTCAGACCCCCCAAATGACCTGTGGGAACCAGACACCAAGCAGAACATTAGGACTGAACCAAAGACACCTAGACACAGGCGTCTCTCTTATCTGTCTAACGATCCTGTGACCTCCCCGGAGACAGGAACTCTGACACACGCCTTTTTGCGTCCCTCTCTGCCCACCCTCTAGCGACCCAGTGAAT